>NC_000023.11:150536212-150839242 GCF_000001405.40 Homo sapiens
TACAACGTGTATGAACCACGCAAACATTTTGCTAAGTGAAGGAAGCCAGTCACAAAAGGCCACATTTATTTGATTCCATTTATAAGAAATATCCAGAACAGACAAAGCCACAGAGAGAGTTGCCAGGGGATTAGGGGCTAAGATATAGGAAGTGACTGCTAATGGGTATGGGGTCTTCTCTTTTGGTAACAAAAATGTTCTGGGACTAGATAATGGTGATGGTTGCCCAATGTTGTGAATGTCCTAAATGCTGCTGAATTGTACACCTTAAAATGGTTATGATGGTAGATTTCGGTTATGTACACTTTACCACAATAAAACGGAGATTAAGGAGAGATGGCCTCTTGGCAGAGGAGCTGAAGAGGGGCTTCCTAGGGGCAGGGGCAGCATGAATCCTCTGTGAAGTCTTTTTCAAAGCCTGTGTTCTGTAAGAGCAGAGGCTCACCACATGTACCCTTTCTGATGGCTCCCGGTATGAAAACTTCAGGAGGCTCCCTCATCTTTCCCTTGTCCCAGTCCAGGCTTCCCAGGGTGTGAAGAGAAGGCCCAGTGTCTTGTCGTTGAGTTAGAGCCCCAGGATGTTGAGAACTCCTGCTGTGACCATAAGGAAATCAGGCTTCAGTTGGAAATGAGACCCGAGAGGACTTGAGAAAGATGATAATTTGCCCATGGCTGGAAGGAGACAGATGGTCCCCTGCTGGTGGTGAGGAGAAGGTACAGTTAGCCAAGGCTGGCCAGAAGCTGACTTCTGCCACAGGCCACGTTCTTGCTGTCCCCCCCCACCCCCACTCTGATGCCACCATATCTGACTGTGGTGTCACTGCAGGCGTCTTTGGAGGGGCAGTAGCAAGGACCTCCCTCACTGCCACAGGCCCGAGAAGCCAATTGGCAGGATGGACCTCCACCAAAGAGGTAGAGTCCCTGACCATACTAGCCACAAAGACCCTTCACTGCTCCCACCCCTAAGCCCTGGCCATGGTAACTTGTGAAATTGTGCTAGCCTATATGACCAGCTTGCTTTATGAACTTGGGCAGGTTCCTTCCTCCTCCACGCCCCCATGCATCAGTTTCCCCACTTAGAGATGAAGAGGTTTGATTAAACTCTCAAGATCTTAGTGGCAACACTTAGTTCGAGAGAATGGTTCTGTTTTGGAGTTCTGGAGCCAGACTCTATGGATTCAAATCCTTCTGCTGCCACTTACCAACTACATGATCTCAAAGCGATTTACTTCCACTGAGCCCCAATCTACTCATTGGTAAACTGGGCGTAATAATAAGATCTGCCCCAGAGGGTGGCTGCAAGGAACAAGTGAAATACTCCACTATAGGGAAAGCAGCTGGCCCAGTGCCTGCCACGTGGTCAGTTCTCAATGAGTGTTAGGTATTAGCATCTTATTAGCACACAGTCTCTCTTGGTCCTGAAATGCACCTAATGCCTACAGATCATTACAAGTGCTGCCAAACTTAAATCCTGAAGCTGTTGTAAAGGAGGGGCATCCCCCTTTCCATAAATCCTTTGAGAATAATCCAATCAAGATTGATTTCATTTTTCATGATGGCAGGACCTGGGGATTGGAGAACCCACCACACACAGCTCTCCTGAGGTCTAGGAGGGTGTAGCTGGAAAGAGAGGGCTGTTTCCTCGGCATCTGGGCACTTGGCTGGATTCTACATTCCTGGGGAGGCTGTTTCTGATACAGAACTGATTATTCTAATCAAGGCACTGCAGTGCTCAAACTGTTAAATATAAATAGGTTAGAACAGTGTGAAAGTGTGGCTGAAAGGAATTAAATGCGAGCAGACTTTCCAGAGAGGAGTCTAAAATAAGCACGTGGGTAGCATGCAGAAATAGCAATAAAAGAAACCCCAGGCTCTGAGTGATGTGGCCGCTGCAAATGAGGCTCCACATGGTCCCAAAGCAATCACTCTTCGAGACGCAATCTGGAGGCTGCCAACAAACCCAGAATGAGATCTTCTTCAGTCTAGGGAAAACCACAAATGGGTGGGACAATGAAGTGCAGTAAGGATGCCCATAAGAAGGGAACCTGTGTGCCACTAAAGGCACTCTAGGGCTCTTGGTAGTAGACAAATGAAGGTCCTTTCTGCATGGGGGCTCCAAGGATTCCTGCTGCAAGAAAGCCCGGAATAACAAGATCAGGACTCTAGAACAAATCTGGAAGTTCGAAGTTACCTTGGACTTGGCCACAGGATAGGGGCAGGAAGCTTACAGGAAACAGGGGACCAAGGCATGTGAAACAGCCGTAGGTGGCCTTGAGCAAACATGTCCTGGGGAAGTAATACTGGAGACAGTCACTCAAAATCCCTCTCCCCATCACCTCTAGTGGATGCAAGTAGGAGACTGTATCTCGTTCTCTTCTGTTATTAGGCAGGCTCTGGCAAAATTTGAGAAGCCCCAGCATGTTGGAATAGAAAGTGGCCTTTGGCATCAGATGAACTTGAATTTCCATTCTACCTCTGTTATGGGTTGAATTATGTCCCCACAAAGTTCATATGCTGAAGTCCTCATTGTCAGTACCTCAGAGGGTGACGTTATTTGGAGATGGGGTTGTTGCAGATGGAATGAGTTCTGTTAGAATAAGGTCATACTAGAATGGGTAGGTCCTACTCCAATCTGACTAGGGTCCTAACAAGAAGGGAACATTTGGGCCGGGCACGGTGGCTCACACCTGTATCCCAGCACTTTGGGAGGCCGAGGCGGGCAGATCAGCTGAGGTCAGAAGTTCAAGACCAGCCTGGCCAACATGGTGAAACCCCATCTCTACTAAAAATACAAAAATTAGCCTGGTGTGGTGGTGGGCATCTGTAGTCCCAGCTACTCAGGAGGCTGAGGCAGGAGAATCGCTTGAACCCAGGAGGCAGAGGTTGTAGTGAGCCAAGATCATGCCACTACACTCTAGCCTGGGTGACAGACTGAGACTCCATCTCAAAAAAAGAAAAAAAAGAAGGGGACATTTGGACACAGAGACGGAGACACAGGGAGAACACCATGTGAAGATGAAGGCAGAGATTAGGGTGATGCTTCTATAAGCCAAGGAACAATGCCAAAGATTGTTAGCAAACTCCCAGAAACTAAATGAGGGGCCCGGAACAGATTCTGCCTCACAACACTCAGAAGGAACCTACCCTGCTGACACCTTAATCTCAGACTTCCAGCTTCCAGAACTGTGTGTGAAACAGTCCATTTCTGTTGTTTGAGTCCCTCTTTGTGGTACTTTGTGAGGCAACTGGAGCAAACTAAGACACCCTTCCTCCATAGCTTGGCCAATTGCACAGAGTGGGCAGAGAGGCTAAGCCACTCTATCTCTTGAGGTCATGGAGAGGCCAGACCAGGGAAGGCTGATCTAGAAGCTGAGCTGGCCATGGAGGAGAGGAGGAAGGTGCTTCTCCAAGGGCACTCAGTGGCCAAGTTAGAGCCTTCCTGGGTTCTCAACTCCTTGCCTTTTCTCCTCCCCAATACCCCAGAGGACCCCAGACTTCTCTGGGAAGGAAAATGAAAGGAAATTATGGTGGTAAAGTGCTCAGCCCAGTGCCTGGTAGAGCAGACAGAGTGTAGGAGTTGGTCTCCCTTTCCTGAGTGGTGGGAAAGGCTAATGATTCCACTTAGGGGTCCACAAGGCTTGGGAATGCCCACACCCCCACTAGCCTACAAAGGAAGAAGCCAGGGCAAGGCACTCAAAGTGGCAGGTCCAGAACAGCAGGCACTTCCACTCCACACCCATGTCGGGGGTGGGGTCACACCAACTCCCCCGTCTCCATTTGGCGAGGTTGTCAGGTTTGTAACCCCAGGCAGGGGGCTGTACAGGGCCTACTTTCCTTCATTAGTCCTCATGCCTATCTCTAAGGCAGGCGTCATCATCCGTGATATAGTTTTGATATTTTTCTCCTCCAAATCTCATGTTGAAATGTAATCAATCCCCAGTGTTGAAGGTGGGACCTAGTGGAAGGTGTTTGGATCATGGAGGCGGATTCCTCATGAATGGCTAGCGCCATCCCCTTGGTGATGAATGAGTTCAGGGGAGATCTGGTTGTTTAAGTGTATGTGGCACTTCCCTGCTCTCTCTGTTGCTCCTGCTATCATCATATGATGTGCCTGCTCCCTTTTTGCCTTCTGCCATGATTGTAGGCTTCCTGAGGTCTTCACCAGAGGCAGATGCTGGCGCTGTGCTTCCTGTAAGCCTGCAGAACCTCTAGCCAATTAAACCTCTTTTCTTTATAAATTACCCAGCCTCAGGTATTTCTTTATAGCAATGCAAGAACGGACTCACACAATCCCTAAGAATTAGAATCACCCATTCAAGGGCCCAACGATCTCATCAGTGGTGAAGTCAAGCTGCAGGGGGAGGTGGGATGGGAATCTGAGTCCATCTGATGATAAAGGCCACCTTTTCCCACCCCCAACATGCTGGGTCTCCCTAACAACTGAAGAGAATGAAATGCAGGCCCTGGGGGCAGTCTGGGGGCACAGCCCAAAGTTGCCGTTTTGACACCTTATGCTATAGCTCCAAGATTCAGTGAAGTTTGCATTCTAAAACATAATACATCCATGTTTGTTTAAATATAAGAAAGTAATATTTATGTTACCTACCAGTTAAATTAACCCTCCCTGCCCTGCCGCATTTTAGAGCAAAATTGACCCTCCAGGGGAATGGGTCATAGGCTGTAAGGCTCCCAGCTGGAGACCCCTGGCATTCTACCATGCTGCCATTGAACACTGACAAGTCCTGTCACTTCCCTATTCGAAGGGAGCAGGAATTGCTTCCAGCATACTGCCCTTAGGACTTAAGCCAAGAGCATCACTGCTCACTGCCCCCCTCCCCCAGCCCTACATCTGGCACCTGTTCATCCAGCAGGCCCTACGCCTCCCTTACCAGGCCCTGTGTGTGCTCCCTACCCCTGTGAGGGCTCGGGGCCTTGCAAACCTCTGCCAGGCAGTGGTCCAGCTCCGCCACATGTTTCCAATGCCTGGCAATGAGCCCTGCCTACCTGCCTACCACCACTTGGGATGCCAGAGCCGTGCCTGGGGACCAGAGGCACTCGGTGGGATTGGCATGACTTATCTCTCCTGGCCTTATCTCTTGATAGAGGATCATCACTAACTTGCTCATTCTCAAGAGTATTTACTGTATGCCAGGTACTTGTAAGTGACAACAAGAAGTGGTCACAGGGTCGTGGGAGGAAAAGATGTTATAGTACAGGATGGTAAGTGCTGTGGCCCAGGCAAACTCAGGGGGCTATGACCACAAGGAAGGAAGCCAAGCCTAGCCAGAGGAGAGGGCACAGAGGAGGTGTCACTCCTGGAGGAAGTGATATCTATGATAAGCCTGGAAGACCCCCATGAGTCTGGGGAAGGAAGAGCATTCCAACCTAAGCCTGTGGCAGCACACACTCCTAGCATGGGCTGCCCTTTCAACGATCCAAGAAGCCACTAGCCTTTTTAGCTAAGGATCCCCAAGCACCGCCACAAGGCTGGCAGGCCTAGTATACTAGGGTTAGCACCCAAGAGCACATCAGCCCCGTTTGTCAAGGCAGGGCCCCCTTGGCCCAGGCTGAGTGATCCATGGTTGTCTCATTGGTGGGGCATTCTCCTCACCTCCATGCACATGCACATGCCCATGGCAGAGGAGGGTGGCAAATTACAGAGTGCCCAGAAAATCACTTGAGGCCACAGGCTGTGTCCCTAGAAAGTAGCTTGTGTATACGTGGGATCCTATAAAGCAAATGTTCTCTTCCCCTCGGCCACAGTGATTGTGATTTCAGAGGAATTTTAGGTTTATGGTAGAGGGAAGTGTTCTCCAGCTGGCTCAGTCAAGCCCCAAAGAGTTTACCCACAGTGGCCCCAAGAGGGCCTCCTGGGCTCCGGACTGTCTGACGTATGTGCCCATTTCATGACCGAATGGCTGAGGGTTCCAGCAGAACCCTGGGAAAAGTTTGGCAAAGGCTGGGGGCTGGATGCTGGTATCACATCATTTGCCTTCTCCAAGCTGCACCAGGAAACCCCCCAGGTCCTCCCCTGCAGAAATGTAGTGGCCTTGGGCGCTGGGTTCCAGTCCTCTGTTTAATGGGCCACTGGGGACATGTGAATGGATTTATCCTGTACTACTGGAGGTGAGGGTTGTGGGTGTGATGGGGGGATACGTTTCCCTAGGTTAGCTCTCCTGACACTGAGAGATCATAGCTGCACTGAGGGCAGAGACCTTGGCCTTTGTCTCCAGTACCCAGCTAGCTTAGCGCCTGGCACATAGTAGGTGCCCAAAAGATATTTGTCACACAAATAAATGAATGAGTATGTGGATGGATGGATGGATGGATGGATGGATGGATGGATGGATGGATGGAAGGACAGATGGATGGATGGATGGGGAGGAAATCTGGGTGATAAAGGGCAGGTTGGGAGATGACAGGAAGACTTATAGAAAGAGTGGGCTCGCATTCTGGAGGGGTCCTTGGGAGGTAGGAAGTTGTATCTGGGCAGCCCAGTGAATGATAACTGGTGCCAGGTAACTGCCAAGCGCTTCATATGCATGGGCCCATCTACCCCTCAGCATCCCACGAAATGCTCAGTAGAATCCTTTGAGGTGAGGACTCTCACTCCTCCCCAGCCACCACTATAGATGAGATAACTGAGGCTTAGAAAGCTAAGGTAACTTGTCCGGGCCCCAAGCTACTAAGTAGCAGAGCTGGAATTCAAACCTAGGCTGAGCCTCAGAGTCCCCTGAGCAGATGGGGAAGTGAGGAGGCAGGGATCCTGTCCCCAACACCTAACCAGAGCAAGTTCATTGTGATCCATTTTTCTACAGGGACTTCACCTAAAATTTCCCCTGAAAGACAGATCCGCTGCTTTTGCACTGCACTGCGCCCTGACTTGGGCCGTAACTAAGATCCTGCCTCTCCTGACACAACAAGGGACTCATAACCCCTAGGCAAGTCCCCTCTGTTTGAACCCCCAACCAGTGCCCCTCTGGGACCTGGGGAGATTCCTATGTCACTGTGTGGTTGAGAGGAGATCCAGTGCCTGGTGCAGCCCTAGCCCAGGCCTGGTGCTGAGAAAGTGCTCTGGAAACAGGCTGTATTAGGATGACCCACAAGCATTATTAATAACCAGACAGAGGGCACCGGTGTGTGTCAAACCCAGAAGGTGAGACAAGGACAGGCAGGCAAAGGAGGAGTGAAGTCAGTGGCTAAGAAAGGCCAGTGTGAGGGAGGGAGGATGGGTCAGACCTGAGCGGGCCCAGCTACTTAAAGAAGCCACAAAGGCCTGCCTCTGGTCAGCCCAGGCTCCCTGTGGCTGCTGGCCCGGGCTTTCCCCTGGGGGGAAACAGCTCAGGCTTTGTGCTACTTCGATGCTCACACACAGGCACACCCACTTCCATGGGCCCCTGCACATGGGAACCCATGCGTATTGATGGCCTTCCTCATCCACACCCCATGTCATTCTCATCCCCATGCGTACACCATTCAGACGTTGCGCCAACCAACCACTCCTCCACTCCCCTTCATTTAACAAATACCACAAAGCAGCCCTTCTGGGACAATCCCTGGGGCTACAGAAGACCCAAGACAACCCCTGTCCTCTCAGAACTGACAGTAAAAACCTCAATGACCACACAGTGGCTACACAGTGCTGTGACAGAGTGAAGCACGGAGGTTGAGGGAGCCTTGAGAAGGAGCTACCTGACTCAGCCTGGAGGCGTGGGCAGGGATGGAGCCTGGCGACACACAGCTCCGGATGAAACTTGGGAACCTAGCTTTAAGCCAAACAGCATGTGGTGTTTCCTTCCATGACAGTCACTGATCCAGGGGTGAGCAGGTGAACTAGGCAGACCCATCAAGATCTTTACTGACTCTCTCACCCAGTGAATTCCAACAAGGAGTTGTACAGCCAGAATCGCTATAGACAGTCATGTTAGGGACACAAGGGGAATCAGCCTTCAGATGAATGCCATGGATGGCAACAAAGAGAAGCAGAAAGAATCTGGGCGCTTGGAGATAGAGTTGGGCCAGCCCTATCTTTGGACTTCCTGTCTCATGAGCTAATAACTTTCCTAATTGTTTAAAATTTTGAAAGCAGGCATAGGTGCATTGCAAGCTGAGACAATGGGCCAAGAGAGGCTCCCGGGACTGGATTGTCAGACATCTTACAGGGCCTAGGTGGCGACTTTGAGATGCTGTAAAGCCAAAACCAGGAGGCTTCCACCCAGCCCATCGAGAGCAGCTCAGGGCAGACCTGGAGCACAGCTGCTGTGGCTTCAGGAACTTGGTCTGTTGTCCTGGGACTTGGGCCATGTCTCAGAGTGACTGATAGTGTCGCACAGCAGGCTCATGTCTCCCTGGCCCCTCTGGACTCCAGGGCCTGGCTCACCGAGGCCCACTCCCTTCTCCACTCCAGAATGCAGGCCCTGGCTGGTGAGGTGACGGGAGAGAGGTGTGGAGGGGGAGCGAGCGTTGGGCAAGTGGCGGAAGATGAGGCTAGAGACGGTGGAAGAGACGTGGGATCTGCAAATGTTCTGAAATGCAAGCTAGGGAGCTTGAATTTCATCCAGAAGGCAATGGGGAGGCCCAGGAAAGTTTTAAGCAGGGGCAGGACATGTTCAGATCTGCGCTTCAGAAACATCTCTCTGGCATCAGGAGATGTGATTGAAGGTTACGTTAATTAATGTATGGATTCTTCCCTATGTGCTTTCAAACTGGATTTGAGGCCAACTTCTAGGCACTAAGTTCAGAGAATAGAGAGAATGGAGTTTGAACCATGGCCTCTCCGCTCACTTGCTGTATGACCTTGCACAAAGCTTTTCCTTGTCTGGGCCTCAGTTTTCCCATCTGTAAAATGGGAATAATAACATGCCTTGTCAGAATCGTTGTGAGAATTAGAGGTTGTATAGCATGGAAAAATGAAATTGAGAAATAGAACTCTTCTTCTTTATTTATATATATCTGTTCCCTAGTTCACAGCTAAGGCCACTTTGTACTTGGAGCATCTGAATAGCCCAGCAGAACAGCACCCTCTGGAGAGGCAAATGGCCACCCTGCATCCTATCCCAAGTGTATTCCAAATGGGACACAGGGTAGTGGGCACCAACCACTAGAAGGAGAGTTGCCGAGAAAATGAAAGAGCCACTTGTCTAACAGTCAATATCCCTTTCAGAATCAAGGCATGTTCTGGGTCAACATCAATGGAGCAAGGCAGAGAGCTGAAATTCACCGTTCTATTTTCTTTTGAGTGACATGGAATGCTCTTTTTCTAAGCAAAGAAAAACAAAACAGCCCATGCCATTGTTCTGATATCAATTCAAAGTACTTTTGGTGGGAGCAGTTCCCTCCCACTCCACCCTCCAAGGTTGATTCCCTTACAATCCACAGCAGCTGGACAAGCTCCAGCTACGCTTGCCAGAGAAAATGCAGGGAGCCCTGTTACATTTGTTTTTCAGACAAACAACGAATAATTTCATAGTATAAGTATGTTCCAAAGATCGCATGGAACATACTTCTACTACAAAAGATTTGTTGTTTATCTGACATTCAAATTTAACTGGGCATCCTGTATCTTTATTGACTAAAACTGGGAAACCCTAGCTCCAGCCAAACCCTGCAGGAGTTAGACCAGCGCCTGGCCACAAATCTGGGTTACTAGGCAAATTGCAGGGGGCATAAAGCCTGCCTGAGCTCCAACCCCAGCTCTGCCCACGCCTCCAGAGGCAGCCATCTTGTGGATGGCACAGAAATTGGGAGGCAGCCAAGTACACTGCATCCTACCTGTGCTGGGCTATGGAGGCAGGTGAAGGGAGTTGATCCCTCTGCACACCCAATTCTAAAAGCATCCGGTCACGGGGGTGGGTACTTTTTGAACCACTACCCCAGACTGTCAGCCTCTGCTTCCCTCCCCCAGCCCCAGAAGCTGCCTGCAAGCTCAGCTGTGCCCAGTTTGGGAACCACTCCTGGCCAAGCAAGACAGTGCAGCAATAGCTCACACAACACTTTTGTGTGTGTGTGTGTGACCAAGTCCTGCTCTGTCGCTCAGGCTGGAGTGCAGGGGCATGATCTCGGATCACTGCAACTTCGGCCTCCCAGGTTCAAGCCATTCTCCTGCCTCAGCATCCTGAGTAGCTGGGACTACAGGCGGGAGCCACTGTGCCCTGCTACTTTTTGTATTTTTGGTAGAGATGGTGTTTTGCCATGTTGGCCAGGCTGGTCTCAAAGTCCTGGCTTCAAGCGGTCTGCACCCAACACATTTTTGTGGAGCACCTACTGCACACCAGGCTGTCTGCTTGGTGTGAGAGAGAGAGAGAGAGAGAGAGAGGGAGAGAGAGAGAGAGATGGTGGTAAGCAAAGAAGGCACTGCCCCTATCCTCCAGGAGCTCAAAAACTGCTATTTGCCAAGGACTGCTTCTGTGCCAGACACTTTACAGGAGTCCTTGTGTTCAGGCCTCATAATAATCCTAGTGCTATTATGATCATCCTGTTTTATAAATGCAGATAAAGAGGCTCAGAAACAAGCTAGGAAAAGGGAGGTAGATTTCAACTGAGGTTTCTCAGACTCAAGGAGACAGGAAGTGCTCAGAGGGTGGAACCACAACACAGTGAATGTGCTGGGGATAACCCTGGGGAAGGAGGGGTCCCTCGTGTTTGGTGGAAGGGGGCGGGAGGCTTCTTAAAGGCGGAGGCATGCACAGCTGGCTCTGCAGAGCTGGAGGCCCTCTAAGGCAGCGAGGTGTGAAGGAGTGGACTTTGGGACAAAAAGGAGGTTTGTTTTACTACGTTGTTCAAACTTATGACATCCTCCCAAAGTGGGCACTGTCGTTATTTGGCTTGAGCCCCAGCTACGCTTGGCAGCGGAAGACAACAGCTTCCTCTCGCATGGCCCTGCCCTGGAGAATTGTCACAGCTCCTCAGATGGAGACATCACAGTTAGGAAGTGTCACCCAAGAAGCAAGTCTTCACCCCCAGCCACAACTGCCAGATTTCATTCATTCATCCATTTGTTTCTTCAGCAACAAGCACTTCCTAAGCACCTGCTAGCTGCCAGGTCCTATGCTGGGCATGGGGTGAGTGTGGGGTTGATGAACCCTGTATTGATAGCGAACGGTATTGGGGCCCCCTCACTAACCATCCCTACCCCTCCCGCCACTCTTTCGGGCTCTAGGGATGCGGAACAGGGCAGACGCGGTTCTCAGAAGCTGCCCCTCCCCCAGCACAACGCGAGGGTGGGCTTTGGAGCTTATGGCTTGTCAGCAAAAGAGAGCGCATGCAGGGCCTTGGCCGGTGGCAACCTGAGGGTAGCAGGTTCCCATCCCAGAATTCCCCTGGGCAGGCCAGCTTCTGAGGGAGTGTCCTGTTCCCTCCGGACTTGGCTCGATGGGGAGCCCCAGCCGAGTTACTGGCAGTCACCACCCTCCCGGGTCCCACCCACGCAGCGGCCAACGGAAAGCTCTGGCCCTCCCAGGCTGGAGTTTGTGCCAGGCAGGCTCCAGTAGCGGGGCAGGGCCCGGGTGCTTCGCTCGGCAGCCCCCACGCCCCTTCCTCCACACCCGAGGGTTGGCAGAGGTCCCCTAAGCCCTCGGCCTGTTCCGACCGCGCGCGAGTCTCCGCACCACTCGGTGCCCTTGACCGCGGACCTCGCTGCCTCTCCATTGGCCCGGCCGGTCACGTGCGCGGCCGCCGGTCCCAGCCGGCTACAGAGCCGCTGCTGTGCCCGGTCTTGCAAATCGCCGCCGTCCAGCCGCCTGCTCTGGTGCGAGTCTTCTCCGCTTTACGACTCGGACTCAGAAAAGCCGGCCTGGGCTTCGGCCACTTCCCCAGCACCCGTGTCTGCCCTTCCAATTGCCCCTTTCCTGCCTGGCACGACCTGGCCTTGCTCACTGCACGCTTCCCTTCTAAGTGAGCCTTCTTTTTCCTTTCCCTCAGCCAGCCTTGAAGTCTCCTTCGACAGAGAGTGAGACCTGCTGTCCTCCCTGCCCTTAGTCACTGTCCACTCAGCCTAATGCCTCTGTGGAAGAGGAGGAGCCGCCATCTCTGAACTGTTAATGGAGGTGGGGAAAGAGAGCCAAGCTAGGAAACAGGTTGATAGACGGATCGGCCCAGTCAACTGTGAACACAGCTGCTGATTCATGCAATATGTGTTTACTGAGCACCTACTGGGTATCAGCAAGGTGTTAGGTGCTAGAGACGGAGCAGGGAACAAAACAGGTAAGATCCCTGCCCTTAGAGACCCACCATTCTAGAGGATAAAGCCAGACATCCCAGGTGTGGCCTTTCACAAGACCGCCCCTTAGATGCAATCAGGGGCATTCATTCATTCATTCATTCATGCAAGTGTTCTCTCACCAAGTCATTTCTGAGCTCTCCCCACCCTGGGTCCTGAATTCTGCTGGGCACTGTAAGGAGAGGAGAGAGGAGATCCATCAGCACCAGTCCTAGCCCTCAAGAAGCTCAAAGCCCAGTAGATGTGAAACCCTATAATTATACTGGAAGCTAGTAAGGGCTGTGCCTAAGGTATTACTCTGGGCACAGAGGACAATGCAGTCTGAGCATGGCTGGGTGTTCTGCAGAGAGCAAGAGCAGAGCCACTTACTGAGAAGGGTAGGAAAGCTCAAACTTGTTTTCTGACACCACGGTTGGTATCATGTCTCCAGCCTAGGCTGGTGGCTTGACTTGCTGTCCTGTGAAAACACCAGTGTGGTTGTGACTCATTAGGCTGGGCGGGTGGCAGGAGGATTGCCAATTACATTTGAATTTCAGACACACACACTCACCACACACACATCATTTTTAATGTAAGTATATTTCAAATATTACATGGGACATACTTATACAACAAAATTCATTGTTTACATGACATTCAAATGTAAGTGAGTGACCTGTATTTTTATTTTCCAATTCTGGCAACTTTTGAAGGTGAGGTGTGGGAATGGGCCGAGGTGAACTTGTCTAGGAAGAGCAGGGGCCCCAATGACTACAGTGCCCAGTCTGGTGCTCCCCTCAAATGAAAAGGTGTCCTGGAGCCCTGCAGCCTTGAACTGGAGTCCAGGCTATTGCTCGCTGACCCTGCTGCAGGGGTGGGCCTGCATGATAGAGGAGGGGAGCCTACAGCAGAGGAGGGGAGGAAGAGAGGAAGTAGGATGTGTCCTACCCAAGGAATAAAGGCGGGAGGCCCAGAGGCTTCTTGAAGTTGACTTCTAAAAGGGGCTTAGGACCTACCCACCAAGGACAATTCCCTGAGAGCTCAGGGAGGTTGGGGAGTTTGTCCCTCTCACCCAGCTTGGGAAGGTGGTGCCCGCCTGTCTGCTTCCCCATGGGGGTGGGCAGTGAAGTCCTTGAGTGCAAAGGGAGAGAGCCAGGAAGGGCGGAGTTCAAGCCTGGTTTGAGGTCAAGTAGGGGAGGGGAGCCTGAACTGGTACAGTCCTGAGAGCAACTTGGGGGCTCCCTGGGATCACGTGTGGCCCCAGGAACTGCTGTCAGAGGAGGCCAAGTTTCCTCTGGGTAGCACTCTTAGGATTTGTGCCTCATTACACATTCCTTTCTGTCTGAGGATACCTGGGGAAACCTAGCAGGCTTTCCCTACAAGCTCTGCCCTCGTGGGATTGTAGTGCAAACTGGGAAGCCAAGTCTGAAAGACAGTTGCCTGCACTTTTCCCATACTCAGCTTGACGGTATGCCAGGCGCAACAGCTGTCTAAACTCCCAAAATCACCAAAAGTGGAGAGAAGGGGTCATCGGGGCTCATCATTGGATGATATATGGTGGATGCGGGTTATATGTAAAATCAGAGCTTAATTTGGCCTAAAATAAATATGCTAACCACTGTAAATAGGAAGTAAACTTCAAACTAGCAATGCTTTTGTTTGCTTTTTTATAAGTTAGAGGTATTTGGGGAAATTATTTAAAAGGTCGAGATCTCTCCTGAAACAGGCACCCCCAAGGGTGGTTGAGCCAGTGCCTTCTTTTTAGCTCCATAAACTGACTATAGGAAGAAGAGAGCTTAGGAGGCAGCCCATGGGCAGGTCCTGGCAATGAATGAAAAAAAAAAAAAAACAAAAAAAAAAAGAGGCAGCTGCTGAATATGGTTAGGGGTGATGTGGCTGTGGCTGAAGCTCACCCTCTGCAAAGCACATCTGCAAACAAGGGGTGCAGCAGGGCAAGGAGCAAACGCAGAGGGGCTGGAGTCCAGCAACCTCGGGTTGAAATCTCTGGGTCACTTAAGAGACATGTGACTTTGGGAAGATCCCTAAACATCTGTGAACTTCTGTGTCCTCCTCTCTGAAGTGGGCATCATAATCATCCTTCCCTCGAAGGGCAGTTGTGAGGATTCATCATGATATGGGAAAATAAGATAAGTTCCATGCTCGAGAAACAGGCACTCTTGGTAGGATGGGAGTAAGTAGATGGCCCTGAGACAGCCAGGTGTGGGAGTCAAGCTTGGGGTGTTTTGTTCACACAATTGCCACTCTTCACCCTTCACTGAGGCAGATTTCTCAAAAGGAGTTTCCCGATAACAGCTCCCAGAGTTGAAACAACCAAGACCCAGCCGGCATGGGCTTAACTGTGCCCCACTTCCTATCAGCCTGTGGGAGGCCGTAGATAGAGGGTACAGGATGGATGGCATGTCGGGGAGGGTAGCAGGGTTTTCTTCGGTTAATGTTTGTCCACAGAGGTTGTGCTGGCCAGCCTGTGCTGGTTAGGCTGGGCCATGCAGAAGGGCCAGGGCTGCTACTGCAATCACTGTGCGTGGGATATGTTGACCTTGAGAAAAGAAGTGAGGGGAGCAGAAGTGGTCCAGACTTGGCCCTCCCTTGTCTAGACTTCTCCCAATAGCATTCTGGAGCTCACAGCCAGCCCTTGCTGAGCTGGTGAGAAAGAGGACGAGGATGAGGACGCAGGAAAGCAGCAAGTGTCCCAGCTCCAGCAAGACTGTGAGGAAGCATGTGGAAATGGATGTGGTCTGTCCCTCCCCTTCTGCCAGAACAAAGTATTGTACCACAAACTCCATGGCTTAAAACATCAGAAATGTTTTGTCTCATAAGTCTAGAGGCTTGGAAGTCCAAAATCATGGTGATGGCAGGGCCATGCTCTCTGAGGGCCCTAGGGGAGGATCCTTCCTTGCTGCTTCCAGCTTCTGGTAGCCCCAGGTGTTCCTTGGTCTGTGGCCACATCACTTCAACCTCTGCCTCCATCTTCACATGGCTCTCTGCTCTCTTTGTGTCTCTGTGTCCTCTCCCCTTCTTATAAGAACACACCAGGCTGGGCACAGTGGCTCACACCTGTAATCCCAGCACTTTGGGAAGCCGAGGTGGATGGATCACGAGGTCAGGAGATCGAGACCATCCTGGCTAACACAGTGAAACTCCGTGTTAAAATTAAAATGCAAAAAAATTAGCCGGGCATGGTGGCAAGCGCTTGTAGTCCCAGCTACTTGGAAGGCTGAGGCAGGAGAATTGCTTGAACCTGCGAGGCAGAGGTTGCAGTCCGCCGAGATCGTGCCACTGCACTCTGGCCTGGGCAACAGAGAGAGACTCTGTCTCAAAAACAAAACACAAACACACACACACACACACGCACATGTCTTTGGATGCAGGGCCCACCCTAAATCCAGGATGATTTCACCTCGAGATCCTTAACTCATTTCATCTGCAAAGACCCTATTTCCAAATAAGGCCACATCCTGAGGTTCTCTATGGACGTTAATTTGGGTCAGAGGGGGGTGGGGGTGGGCGTTATTCAACCCACTACACGCTCCTAACTAAATTCTGTGCCTATGCAGGCATTCCAGAAATGGCCTTTCTTAGATCCTATTAGGATATCATTGGTTGAGAAAAATGTGCTCCATAATGGCTTCCACTGTCACCAAATTCCCCTCCAAAGAGGTAACCACAGAAACACATGCCTGTACACTGTCATCTCTCTTGAACAGTGTCAGGTATGCAGTAGGTGCTCAATAGTTTCTGGATGAAGGAATACCGTGGACTCCATTTAATGATCAAACGGGTTTGCCCTTAGGCCGAGAGAAGCTGGCTGTGGGGACAAAGTCCCAGGTTTTCCCAACTTTTTACAAAAAGAGTGCAAGGCAGTTTTCAGACAAATCTGACAAGTGTAAAAGCAGCCCAAGCTCAGCTTCTCTGGTCTGCCCTCTCCACCCCCCAGGCAGTTCTAGGGCACTTCTGGAAGCACCATTGGACCCTAGAGTTCCATGAAGCCATGTGGAAACCCCTGTTGGAGGTCAGGAATCAAAGGCAAATGAGATTTTTGTGTGCTGATGATACATCACACACAACAGCAAAGCATTGACAACCATACCTAAAGTTAACCCATAAGATTAAACAACTTTGTATTCCACCCCACAAGCATGTACTGAAAGTCATCCTACACTGTGTATTCTAATAGAGAAAGCAATTGTTATCTTGCAAGCTAGGGTAGTAAAAATGATTTGAGAGTGAGAAAATAACCTTTCGATTAAAACGATTCCATTGTTTTCAGGATTCATATTTTGCCTTCCTTGATTCCCAAAAGGAAGTGCAATACTAAAGAAGGTATTTTTATAACTGGGGGGAGAATTTTAAAAGCCAAAAAAGCATTGTCTATCTCCAATTGGACCAAATTAAAGGACTGGGCTGCCAGGGTTACTGTTTTGAAACAGACTAAACTGTACTCCAGCTCACAAACTGGTCACAGTTCCCCATGATTTTCAGGACAGACTAGACTAGCGTGGCATTCTTTCACAGCTATAATCGTCTTCTGCCTCATTATTAAGGGTTGAATTTTGTTCCCCCAAAAGATGTTGAAGTCCTAACCCCAGTGTTTGTGAATGTGACCTTATTTGGAAAAAGGGTCTTTTCAGATGATCAAGTTCAGATGAAGTCACTGGGGTGAACCCTAATCCAATATGAATGGTTTCCTCATAGAAAGAGGAAATTTGAACCCAGAGATAGACACCCACATAAGGAGACCACCATGTTAGGATAGGAGTTATACTGACACAAGCCAGGGAACTACCAGAAACTAGGAGAGAGGCCGGGAACACATCTTAGCCTAGTGCCTTCCAAGGGAGCGTGGCCTTGCCAACATCGTGATTTCCAACTTCTAGTCTCCAGAAGAGGGCCAATTTCTGTGGCTTAAGCCACTCAGTGTGTGGTTCTTGTTATGGCAGCTCTAGCAAACTCATGTACTCACTTTCCAACCCAGTCCCTCCCACTCCCAATTCTACATTCTAACAGCTTGGGTGTCATTACGCTCACCATTTTGTGCTTTTGCTAGGGACGTCACATGTCCAGGTTTACAGGGACAGCCCCAGCTTATGCCTGTTGTTTCTGCATCATAGTGAATAGTGCCAGCTTTCAAAGGTCTCCTGGTTTGGACCATGTGTTCTGTGGTCACCCTAGCTTGTGTCTGTGCTAACTCCAGCTCAGGGTGATCCTCCTTTCGTATTCTACCTGGTCATTGATCAAAGCCCGTTCCAAACATCACTGTTGCTATGAAACATACCCTACCTCACCCAAGATTTCATCAGTTCATCTCCTGAACTACCGTGGCAATTTGCACATCTCCAGCCTATAGCACGTATCACTATATGCCATGTGAACTCCAATGTACCTTCTTCAGGGATGTTCCCTGGTCACTGCTCTCATAACACCCTTCATGGTCTGTAGCCCAGGCTGTGATTAGCTATTTGTGGGAGTTGGTATCCATTATGGTAATCCATTAATTGCTCCTAACTAGTGGTAGTGGGGACCATGTTTGTGTCCTGGCACACAATAAAAACTTGCCAAATTTGAATGAAGAAACATCTTCCCTGTAAAGCTGTCATTGCCTGCCTATCTTGGCTGTGTCTTAATCCTCTCTGTGTCCCCTCTAGTGCATAATCCTGTGCCTAGAACATCAGAGGTACTCAATCCTGGTTTATTGAGGTAATGTTTAGTTTAATTTAATTCAAGCATGTAACACACTAGCTGAACAATACTATGAGTCAAAAAAAGATACTATATTTACCTCCATCCCTGAAGGGATATCATGTGATATTGGGGGCTTCCTGAACAATAAATACAACTGGGACAATAGTGGGTCTCATAGTGACTCTTCCACCTGGATGGCAAAGTGATAATAGTCACTGTAGTTTGCTGTCCAATGATAGCTGCAGTATGGGTGGAGGTATAGGAAATGGGCCACTTCCACCTCTGATCCAGATGATTTCAAGGAAGAGTTGTTATAGAAATGCACAACTAATAACTCCTCACGTGTATTTAATCCTTGACAGTCTATGAAAGATTTACACTTATGTGAGCTACATTAAGTCTCACAATGCCTTTATGAACTAGCTAGGGTACAGGAAAAAAGCCCTGGGAGCTACTTTTATTTAAAAAGTCAGAGAGCATGTCTTCAAAGTCATACCTTTTTAAAAACTTTTGGTTTGTGACTTTTTTTGACCAACATCTCCCCAGCCCTCTACACCCAGTCCCTGGTAACCACCATTCTACTCTCTGCTTCTCTGAGTTCAACTTTTTTAGATTCTACATACGAGTGAGATCATGCAGTATATGGCTCTCTGTGCCTGGCTTATTTCACGTAACATGATGTTCTGCAGGTTCATGCATGTTGTTGCAAATGACAGAATTTCCTTCCTTTTTAAGGCTGAATAGTATCCCATTGTGTATGTATGTAGTTGTACCTTTTAAAGAGCAAAGTGTGCTGTCCAGGAAGGAGCTTAGTTTTACAGGTGAAAGCTGGGATTCTGGTCTCAATTCCACCACCTACCAGCACAATTACCTTGAGATACTCACAGCCTCCCTGAGACTCAGTTTCCTCATCTGCAAAAGAGGGATGGTCACCTATGTATTTGTCTTCTAAGGCTGTTTTGTGGGCCAGATAAGAAGAGGAATTTAGAGTGCTTGAAGACCTTGAAAGCACTAGATGTATTAGGAGTCACCCAAGGTGGCCTTCCCAATGAACCTGGAGAGAAAAGACAGAGAGAGAGAAGTGTGGTACTGGCATTAGCATAGACAGATCAATGGAATAGAATTGAGGGTCTGGAAATAAGCCCTCACATTTATGGTCAGATTTTGACAAAGGTGCCAAGACAATTCAATGGGAGAAAAAATAGTTTTTTCAAAAACTAGTGCTGAAACAATTGGGTATCCATGTACAGAATTATGAAGTTGGACCCCTACCTCACATCATATTAAAACATTAATTCAAAGTGGATTATAGACCTATAGGTAAGAGCTAACTAAAACTATAAAACTCCCAGAAGAAAACATAGTGGTAAATCTTCATGACTTTGGATTTAATGATGGTTTCTTAAGATATGGCACCAAAAACACAACCGATGAAATAAGAAAACAGATAAATTGGCTGGGTGCGGTGGCTCATGCCTGTAATCCCAGCACTTTGGGAGGCCGAGGTGGGAGGATCAAGAGGTCAGGAGATCGAGACCATCCTGGCTAACAAGTCAAACCCCCATCTCTACTAAAAATACAAAAAAAAAAAAAAAAGAAGCTGGGCATGGTGGCGGGCAGCTGTAGTCCCAGCTACTCAGGAGGCTGGTGTGAACCCAGGAGGCGGAGCTTGCATTGAGCCGAGATCACGCCACTGCACTCCAGCCTGGGCAACACAGCAAAACTCCGTCTCAAAAAAAGAAAGAAAGAAAGAAAGAAAGAAAACAGATAAATTGGACTTCCTCAAAATGAGAAACTTATATGTTTCAACAGACCCTAACTAAAAAGTGAAAATAGAATGCACAGAATGGGAGAAAATTTTTGCAAATTGTATATAGTTGATAATGGAGTTGTATTCAAAATAGATAAAGAATTCTCGCCGGGCACGGTGGCTCACGCCTGTAATCCCAGCACTTTGGGAGGCCAAGGTGGGTGGATCAAGAGGTCAGCAGTTCAAGACCAGCCTGACCAACATGGTGAAACCCCGTCTCTACTAAAAATACAAAAAAATTAGCTGGGTGTGGTGGTGGGCATCTGTAATCCCAGCTACTTGGGAGGCTGAGGCAGGAGAATCTCTTGAAACTGGAAGGTGGAGGTTGCAGTGAGCCGAGATTGCACCACTACACTCTAGCCTGGGCAACGAAACGAGAGCAAAACTCCGTCTCAAAAAAAAAAAAGAATTATTACAACTTAATAATAGAAAAACTAATTACCCAGTTTAAAAAAAAAAAACAGGCAAAATAGTTGAGTAGACATTTCTTCAAAGATGATATACACATAAATGACCAGTAAGCAAATAAAAATATGTTCAACTTTATTACTTATTGGGATATGCAAATCAAAACTATAATGAGGTACCATGTCACACTATAATACAAATGATGGTCAATAACAAGTGTTGGTGAGGACATGTAGACAGTGGAACCTTCATACGTTGCTGGTGGAAATGTAAAATTGTGCAGCCTCTGTGGAAAACAGTCTGGCAGTTCCTCCAAATGTTAAACATGAAGCTACGCTATGACTTAGTAATTCCACTCCTTATGATGTACCCAAGAGAAATGAAAACATATGTCTGCACAAAAAGTTATACAGAAATGTTCATAACTGCATTATTCATAAGAGCCAAAAGGTGGAAACTACCCAAATGTCCATCAACAGATGAATGAATAAACAAAAGATGGTAGGAAATATTCCAATGAAATATTATTCCACCATACTTGCTAGTTTGGAACCTATGTAACCCTACCCTGTATGTATGGAAATGGATGGAGGAGGAACCACCTACTAGACTAGTATCGCTACCAGCAATCTGGACCAGCACAGTGGCCAAACTTAGTGTCCCTTCCAAAGGTGGAAAAGTTTGGGTAAAAATAAATGACAAATGGAGAAAAGAAGGAATAATAGCCAAGGGTAAATAAATGAGTAAGCGGGTTATAAATTGTGGGAAATCCAGTATTGCACTAACAACTCAAAGGAATATCAGAGCAAGAGACGACATCGTCTCTTAGCTCAATTATTCCAGGTGCCTGAAAGGCTAAAGCTGTATGTTTGCTAAGACCAGTTTTGGAACCTGACAAGACTGAAAGAAATTCTACTAACCTGAGTGCCCTCACCCTGGGAGATATTCATACAATATGATGGACTGGACTACTTATTAATAATTGTGCATATTCGTTTTTTGTAAGGGATCCGTGGTCAAAAACCAGGGTATGGCTTGTAGTGTTATGATATCTATTGGTTTTCATCCAGGATTCCTGGCTCATGACTCCCATAGCCCTTGTAATGGTCATTGATTAAAATGTTGGGTTTGTTAGGCCTCAGGAGCAGGCCTCAGGAAACAGAATCTCTGGGACCTTCTCCTGCCCCCCTCTCACCTGCTCCAAGGCAAGACTCTAATCTTCCCTAGCCTTTCCAATTGTGTGTCTTAAGATCCTCTCCAGAGAGGGTCCTGGGGGAAGGAATGCTGACATCATGAAGCTTCCATAAAAACCAAAGGACTGGGTTCAGGGGGCTTCCAGATAGCTGAACATGTGGAGGTTCCTGAAGGGTGGTGTTCCCAGGGAGGGCATAGAAGCTCCATGTCCTTTCCCCCATACCTCACCCTATGTATCTCTTCATCTGTATCCTTTGTAATATCCTTTATAATAAACTGGTAAACATAAAAAAGAAATATTATTCAGCCATAAAAAGGAATGAAGCAGTTATTCATGCTACAAAATGGATGAACCTCAAAAACATGATGCTAAGTGAAAGAAGCCAGACATAAAAGGCCACATATTCTATGATTTCATTTATATGAAATTTTCAGAGTATGCAAATTCATAGAGAAAGTGATTGCCAAGGGATAGTGGAGAAGGAGAAATGGCGAACGACTGCTAATGGTTCTCGGTTTTCCTTGGGGATGATGCGATATTCTGGACATAGATAGCAGTGATGGTTGTAGAGCTCTGAATATACTAAAAACCATTTAATTGTACACTTTATGTGGGTGAATTTTATAGTGAGTAAATCATATCTCAAGCCATTAAACAAGAACATGCACAATGTTCTATGTTGGGGGGCAGGTGTTGGGGGATGAGGGCTTGGGGGTTTGAGGGACGGTTAGCCTAAACAGGTAGGTTTCCATGTGCAGCGCTGAGAACCCAGGCTCTTAGTCTGGGCAGTTGCCAATGCTCTCACTCCCTAGCGCTTCGGCTTCGTTCCCATGAGCCCTCATGGTATGAGGAAGGGCAGGTGGGTGGTCTCCAGCTGTCACTAGAAATACTCCTGCTGGAAATGCTACATTTTTACTTCCTAGGGGCCTGACAGGGGTAGGGGTAGGGGATTGGGGAGGTGGCTGAGACTCCATTCTGTTCACAAATAGCTACCCCCGGAGGCCCTCACCTGAAGATTAATAGGGTTAACAGGCTTCCTGGGGAGTGGGGGAGTGCACTTCCCCCATCCATTGGTCAATGACCTTTTTGAAGTGATCCCTGGAGGCTCTAACTGGAGAGGGCGTGCCTTTGTTAGACTCCATCTGAAGCATTCTGTCAAAGAACTGCACCTCAGCTGCCTACCTCCTGACGAGTGGGATCCTTAGAAGGCAGTTTCTAAGGCGATTCCATCGCGTCCTGCTCCCCTACACAGCCCCGCCTGCCTTCTCTCTGGTGTTTGCTCTCCTGAGTGGAGAGGAGGGGTCTGGGAAGATATTCTGGGAAAAGATCCCCCTCCCACCGCCTTCACAACTCTCATGGGTTTTTGGCAGTGAAACAAAGAGGGGTAGTATTTATTTTGGAAAGGACACATATTCTGGCTTCCTCATCCTTCTAGTCGCCTGGGACTTGGGCTCTTAGTTACTTCTGGCTCCCTGTGGGAGGCTTTGTTTCTGAAGCAGGACATGAGACCTCCTGTCCTGGGTGGAAGCTGACCTTGAAAGGTACAATCACGTCTGAGATGAACCACAGAGAATGTTATCAATGAGTCTGAGTTTTTGGTCCCCTAAGCTCAAGCTACTTGTGAGGGCTTAATTAATTTTTTTCAATGGTGGTAAAATAAATATGACATAAAATTTTATGATAAAATTATGATAACATGATAAAATTACCATCTTAATCATTTTTGAGCATACAGTTCAATAGTGTTAGGTACATTCACATTGTTGTGAAACCAATCTCCAGAACTCTCTTCATCCTGCAAAACTGAAACGCTATACCCACTAAACAATAACTCCTTTTTTCTCCCTTCCCCCAGCCCCTGGCCCCCATCATTCTACTGTCTGCCTCTATGAATTTGACTACTCTAGGGACCTCATATCTTACAGTATTTGCCTTTTTTTTTTTTTTTAATTTTGAGACGGAGTCACGCTCTGTCACCCAGGCTGGAGGGCAGTGGCGCAATCTTGGTGCGCTGCAACCTCCACCTCCCGGGTTCAAGCAATTCTCCGGCCTCGGCCTCCCGAGTAGCTGGGATTACAGGCGTGCGCCACCATGCCCAGCTAATTTTGTTGTTGTTATTTTAGTAGAGATGGGGTTTCATCACATTGGTCAGGCTGGTCTTGGACTCCTGACCTCAGGTGATCTGCCCTCCTCAGCTTCCCAAAGTGCTGGGATTACAGGTGTGAGCTACTGTTCCCAGCCTGTATTTGCCTTTTTGACTGGCTTATTTCATTTAACATGATGTCCCCAAGGTTTATCTATGTTGTAGCATGTGTCAGAATTTTCCTCCTTTTTAAGACTAATATTCCATTGTATGTATATGCCAAATTTTGTTTATCTATCTCTCTCCTTTGATCATCAATGAACACTTGCATTGCCTCCAGCTTTTGGCTATCCTGAATGATGCTGCTATGAACATGGGTGTACAAACATCTCTTTATGACCCTGCTTTCTATTCTGGTGGGTATATACCCAAAAGGGGAATTGCTGGATCCTATGGTAATTCTGTATTTAATATTTTGAGGAGCCATCATACTGTGTTCCACAGCAGATGCACCACTTTACATTACCACCAGCAATGCACGAGGCTTCCAATTTCTCCACATGCTCATAAATATTTGCTATTTTCTGTGGGGTTTTACTTGTATTTTTTTTTTTTTTTGACAAAGTCATGCTTTGTTGTCTAGGCTGGAGTGCAGTGGTGCCATCATGGCTCACTGCAGCCTTGACCTCTCAGTTTCAAACAGTCCTCTAGCCTCAACCTCCTGTGTAGCTAGGACTACAGGCATGTACCACCACACCTGGCTAATTTTTTGAATATTTTGTAGAGACAGGGGTTTCTTTATGTTGCCCAGGCTGGTCTTGAACTCCTGGGCCCAAGCAATTCTCCCGGCTTGGCCTCCCAAAATGCTGGGTTTACAGGTATGAGCCATCACACCTGGCTTGTGTTTTTTAAAAATAGTAGCTATCCTAATGGGTGTGAGCTGATATCTCATTGCGGTTTTGATTTGCATTTCCCTATTTTAATGGAGTTTTTTGTTGTTGACTTGTAGGGGTTCTTTTTTTTTTTTTTTTGAGACTGAGTCTCGATCTGTCGCCCAGGCTGGAGGACAGTGGCGTGATCTCAGCTCATGGCAAGCTCCGCCTCCCGGGTTCACGCCATTCTCCTGCCTCACCCTCCCGAGTAGCTGGGACTACAGGCACCCGCCACCACACCCGGCTAATTTTTTGTATTTTTAGTAGAGACGGAGTTTCACCGTGTTAGCCAGGATGGTCTCGATCTCCTGGCCTCGTGATCCGCCCGCCTCGGTCTCCCAAAGTGCTGGGATTACAGGCGTGAGCCACCACACCCAGCCGGGGTTCTTTATATATTCTGGATATTAATCCTTCATCAGATATGTGATTTGCAAATATTTTCTTACATTCTTTAGGTTGCATTTTCACTCTTTTGTTTCTTTTGACGCACAGAAGTTTTAAATTTTGATGTACTTCATTTATCTACTTTACATTTGTTGCTGTGCTTTTGGTGTCATAGCTAAAAAATGATTGCCAAATCCTGTCAAGAAGCTTTCCCCTGTGTTTTCTGCTGAAAGTTTTATAGTTTTAGCTCTTACATTTGGATCTTTCATCCATTTCCAGTTAATTTTTGTATATGGTGTATGGTTAGGGTCTAACTTCATTCTTTTGCATGTGGATATCTGGTTTTCCCAACAGCATTTGTTGAAAAGATGCCCTCTCCCCATTGAATGGTCTTGGCACCTTTGTCTGAAAATCATTTGACCATATATTTTAAGGTTTCTGTCTGGTCTCTTTATTCTATCCCATTGGTATAAATGTCTGTCTTTATGCCAGTATCACACTATTTTGATTACTATAGGTTTGTAAGGTTTTGAAATCAGGAAATGTGAGATCTCCAACTTCATTCTTCTTTTTCAAGATTGTTTTGGCTATTTGGGGCCCCTTGATTTTCATGTGAATTTTATGATGTATTTTTCTAGTCTAAAAATAAAATATCTCTGCTGTTGAGATTTTGATAGCGACTACATTGAATTTGTGGATCACTTTGGAATGTATTTACATGTTAACAATATTGAGTCTTCTAATCCCTGAACACAGCTGTCTTTCCATTTATTTGTGTCTAATTTATTTTAGCAATATTTTGCAGTTTTCATTGTAAAAGTCTTTTGCCTCCTTGATTAAGTTTATTCCTATTTTATTCATTTTAATTAATCTTAAATAACACAATTTCGTTCAGGTTCAGCAAATATTTGCTGACATTCAGTTTTGTTTTTGTTTTTGTTTTTTGAGGCAGTCTCACTCTGTCACCCAGGCTGGAGTGCGGTGGTGCAATCTCGGCTCACGGCAGCCTCTACCTCCTGGGTTCAAGCGATTCTCCTGCCTCAGCCTCCCAAGTAGCTGGGATTACAGGCACCTGCCACCACACCTGGCTAATTTTTGTATTTTTAGTGGAGACGAGGTTTCACCATGTTGGCCAGACTGGTCTCAAACCTCAAGTGGGACCTCAACTGATCCACCTGCCTTGGTCTCCTAAAGTGTTGGGATTACAGGCATGAGCCGCTGAACCCGACCTCAGGTTTTTTTAATCTTTTATTTTTTCCCTTCTCATATATTCTCTCTTGGTTTTAATCTTGGGTCTACAAATCTGTGTTTGAGAAGTAGCATACTACACACCTCAACATGAATCAGGCCCTTCAAATAAAAGATAAAGCTCTTTTTAAAAAGCCTGTTTTGAGTAAAACACACTTGACTGTATCGTGAAACATTTCCTCATAGGGCTTACTTTCTTAAAAGTTATTTAGTGTAACAACTGAGGTTTCTTTTATTTTTATCTTATTTAAGTCTTTGTAATTGGGGGTAGAAGGAGAGGATCTTGTGAGTTGGGTTTAGTTTTATTTGTGATCTGACTGGGGCAATTTTGTCATGGTGTTGCCTGTGGACTAGACTTCAAAGTCCTCGGTGAATACCCTATATGTGCCTAGTGATGAAGGAAGCAAACAGGACTGGCACTTGGAAACATTGTGATGTCATGACCATAAGCCCTTTGTGCTGGCCCCGGTGTCCAAGAAGCCCTGAGACAAAGAACCTGGGTTTCTCTCTGTATGTGTTTTCATGTCCCATTACTTGGCTCAAACTTCCATCTAGCACCTGGCAAAATAGAACCTGCTGACCAGCGGGGCCTCCTCAAGGAGGCTCCAACTTAACATTGAGCTCTGTGAGAAAGTGGAAGCAAAATACCAGTGAGAAGCAATAGCAGTCTCGTCTGCCCAGGAGCAGAGTGTACAGGTTGGCTTTCACGGTCTCCTGGAGCCCCACTGCACATGTGCCTGCAGATCACTGGCAGCTCCCAGAGAGAAGCTGGGGGAAGCTTCTGATCCCTGGGGCCCACAAGGGTAATGCTCTCTCTGTCTGGGATGTAGATCCCAGGTCTCCTGCATCCAGGTAAGCTCTCTCTGTCCTGCCCCCATTAGGCTGGGCTCTGTCTTCTCCTGCTTCGGGAATGATAGAAATGTTCTATTTCTTGATTGTGATGGTGAACAGACTGGGTAGCACATCCTTGTTATTTTCACGGCAAGCATCACCACTCTCTCCCCTTCAAGACCCCAGTCCTCTTAGAAAACAACCAACCCACCAACCAACCAAAAAGAGATAGACAATTCTGGGCAGCCTTAGGAATCTTAACTGAGGCTATGTCTTCTTGTCTTCTTCCCATGCTTAAATCTCAGCTTTTTTTTTTTTTTTTTTTTTTTTTTTGAGACAGAGTCTTGCTTTGTCACCCAGGCTGGAGTGCAGTGCAGTGATCTTGGCTCACTGCAACCTCTGCCTTCCGGGTTCAAGCGATTCTCCTGACTCAGTCTCCTGAGTAGCTGGGACTACAGGCACGTGCCACCACACCTGGCTAATTTTTGTATTTTTAGTAGAGACGGGGTTTCACCACGTTGGTTAGGCTGGTCTTGAACTCCTGACCTCGTGATCTGCTTGCCTCGGCCTCCCAAAGTGCTGGGATTAAATCTCAGCTTTATTGGGCCGGGCACGATGGCTCACGCCTGTAATCCCAGCACTTTGGGAAGCTGTGGCAGGTGGATCACCTGAGGTCAGGAGTTCAAGACCAGCCTGGCCAACATGGTGAAACCCCGTCTCTACTAAAAATACAAAAATTAGCTGGGCGTGATGGTGCACACCTGTAATCCCAGCTACTTGGGAAGCTGAGGCAGGAGACTCACTTGAACCTGGAAGGCAAAGGTTGCAGTGAGCCAAGATTGTGCCACTGCACTCCAACCTGGAAGGCAGAGTAAAACTCTGTCTCAAAACAAACAAACAAAAAAAACAAACTCAGCTTTACCGAAGTATAACTTATCTGCAGTGAAATTCGCCCATCTCATGTTTATAGTATAATGATTTGGGGGCAATTGTATATGGTTTCATGATCGTGTCAACAATCAAGACACAGAACATTTCTATCAATCACCCCCAAAACTTTCCTCTTGCCTCTTTGGAGTCAATCCCCCACCCACCTCTAGGCTGACCTCTGGCCCCAGTCAACCATAAATCTGCTTTCTATCATTATTGTTTTGCCTTTTCCAAAATGTAATATAAATGGCATCATGCAGTATATAATATTTTGTGTACAGTTTATTTCATTTAGCATGATATTTTTGAGATTCATTCAAGTTGTAGCATATATCAATAGTTCTTCCTTTTTATTGCTGAGTAATATTCCATTGGGTGCATATATCACCATTGGCTTAGCTATGGGTTTAATCAGTGGGGATTTGAGATGCTTACATTCTTTTACTATTTTTTATTATTATTATTATTATTTTGAGAGGAGTCTCACTCTGTCGCCAGGCTGGAGTGCAGTGGCACGATCTCGGCTCAGTGCAACCTCCGCCTCCCGGGTTCAAGCGATTCTCCTGCCTCAGCTTCCTGAGTAGCTGGGATTACAGGTGCACGCCACCAAGGCTGGCTATTTTTTGTATTTTTAGTAGAGACGGGGTTTCACCATGTTGGCCAGGATGGTCTCGATCTCTTGACCTTGTGATCCACCCACCTCGGCCTCCCAAAGTGCTGGGATTACAGGCGTGAACCACCGCGCCCAGCTTTTGACTATTATTTTTGAAAGGCTGCTGTGAATATTTGAATACACGTCTTTTTGTGAACGTATGTTTCCATATATCTTGGATAAATACCTAGGAATAGTATTGCTCGGCCATATGTACATTTACCTTTGTAATTCACTGCCAAACCATTTTCCAAAGGGGCTGCACTATCCTGCTGAGGCTGCTTTTTAAATACAGACTGGGGTTGGGGAGGAGGAGGTAGGCAGAGCTGCTTTGCAGTTCTCCTAGATTCAGAAGTTAGACCTGGCATTCATGTGCTTCACAACAAGCTTATGAAGGAGTTAATGAATAAAACCCATTTCACAGATGAGGAAGTAGAGGTTTGGAGAGGTGTACTTGCCCGAAGTCACACACCTAACAAATGGAAGAGCTAGGATTTAAACCCTGGAACCTTTGTGTCAGTGCACAGGGGCTTACCCCCTATCCTCTCCCATCTCTCTCCCCAGTGATCACCGTGGCAACTTGGGAATTCTGCTGCCTTGACACTCTATACATCACATTTACATCTATCCTCAAGGGGACACAACGACCCTGGGAGGTGGCATTCAACCCCTTTTTTTCAGAGGAAGCAGTTAATGATCAGAGAGGTGAAGTGACTTTCCCAAGGCCAACAGCTTGCCTATAGAATTTCTGGGACCTGAATCAGGTTTCCTAGTTCCAAGTGCTTTCTGCTAGAGCATGGTAACCCACAGCTACATTTAAAATTTTTCATTCCTAATTTTCTTTTTCTTCAGCCTTCTCTTTCCTCAGTAAGAATGCCCCTCCCTTTCCTCCACCTTCCCCTGCCTCAGGCCCAATACATTGAACCTGGTAGGATTAAGTTGAGGCAGGAGTGGGGACTGGGGAGATCAGAGCATAGAGGCCAAGGGAGAAGTAGCAGGAAACAGGCCATTTCCTCGCTCGGGCCTGCTTCTTATCTAGGAGGTGAGAGGCCAGAGGTGGAGGTAAGGGATGAAGCCAACCAAATCCAGAGTGCAGGCTCCTCCTGGTGCTGCCTAGCCTGCCTCCCCCAACTGCAGAGAACAGGATGAAGCCTCTGAAGGTAGGAGGTGCCTCCAGCCCTCCAGCCTGTGCCTTAGCAAAAGCGGGAGGACTCTGGGGGAGAGGGGCGGAAACAGGTGTAGGCTGTGCTACTCAGAAGGGTTGTGGAAGAAGCAGCCTGAGGTCGCATCTATTGCCCCCTCCTCTCTATTGTCCTGGAGCCCTGGAGAGGGAGGCCAGCCATCTTCTCACAGGCCTCCTGCATGATGGGGGGGTGTATGTGTGCAAAATGCAGGGAAGCCTGAAGATTCCTACACACACACACACACACACACACACACACACACACACACTGAAATGTGAGTGCAGCCCCAGCCTGGAAGAGGGCAGGCTCAGTCAAGAATACAGCGATGTCACCAAGGGCAAGGCGGTAACCCCTCCATAGTGTACAACCTTGTTTGTTTGTTTGTTTTGAGATGGAATCTCACTCTGTCACCCAGGCTGAAGTGTAGTGGTGCAATCTCAGCTCACTGCAACCTTCACCACCCGGGTTCAAGTAATTCTCCTGCCTCAGCCTCCCGATTAGCTGGGATTACAGGCGCCCACCACCACGCCTGGCTAATTTTTTTGTATTTTTAGTAGAGACGGGGTTTCACCATGTTGGCCAGGTTGGTTTCGAACTCCTGACCTCAAGTGATCCGCCCGCCTCGGCCTCCCAAGGTGCTGGGATCACAGGCCTGAGCCACCGCGCCCAGCCCATAGTGTACAACCTTTACAGTTTTCAAAGTGCTTCCTCATCTGTTGCCTCATTCGATCTCTGCACCTACACCGTGAGACAGGCACGGCAGGGGTTACTCTCTCCATTTCACAGGCCAAAGGCTAATCTTCTCTACTGGCCCTTTCTGGTTGAATTGCATCTTTCTAGAGGTGGGGCTGGGCTGGGGCTGGACCCTGGAAAAATCTTCAGGAATTACCTCCTTAGGATGAGACCATCCCTGCTCTGCACCTTCCCCACCTCCTAACCCCCAGCTCCTCCCAGCTCCATCGAAAAGCTTTGGCCTCATCTTGGGACACTTAACCAGGCCTATTATATGCAAGGTATCCCAGGCAGCTGCTGCCCTCCCTCCACCCATCCCCATTTTCCTCTATCCCTCTGCCCTAAGATTCACAGATACCAGGAATCCAGAGTTATTCAGCAGCCCACCAGGGAGCCTCTCTAGCATGCAAATTTACTGAGCGTGCTTTGAAATTCAGCACAAAAGTGAATGAGATTCAAAGGAGTTCATAGTCTGGGGAGGGGAGTTGGCAGAGCAGACGTGTAAGCAAATGATGACATCAGTACAACAAGAAGGGCTGGGTGGGGGAGACTTCTAATTGTGCGGGGGCCCAGGAGCAGCTGCTATTCTGCTGTCTTTCCAGGAGTTTGGCAAATCCAGGAGAGAGGACCAAGTGGAAAGGGCTGGAGGAAAGAAAAAACCCAGTGCATCAAGTTCCCTGGAACTAGGCCAGAGCTTGGGGTGAAGAGCAAAAAGAGGCACACTGGGAGAAGTGGCTAAAGAGTGGGTTGGGTTGGATTCTGGATGGCTTTGTTACTCTTCTAAGAAGTCTAGACTCTTCAATAAAGCATATATATATGCATATATAAATGATATATGAATATATGTGTATATGTGTGTGACTATGTAGAAACACACGTACACATATACACTGGTATCAGGTAAAATGCTGTTTTTAGATGCTGGAGAACTAACACATACAAGAGAAAAAAAACAGGTCATGATAAAGTCATCCTATTTACTCGAACTGCTCGCGTATAAGTATTATGCAGTACAAAGAATATTATGCTCATTTTTCTATGTGCCAGGTTGTCTTTTCTTTTTTTAATTTTTTTGACACGCAGTCTCGCTTTGTCACACAGGCTGGAGTGCAGTGGTGCCATCTCAGCTCACTGCAACCTCTCCCTCCCGGGTTCAAGCGATTCTCTTGCCTCAGCTTCCCGAGCAGCTGGTATTACAGACACCTGCCACCACGCCTGGATAATTTTTGTATTTTTAGTAGAGACGAGGTTTCACCATGTCGTCCAGGCTGGTCTCGAACTCCTGACCTCAGGTGATCCGCCTGCGTTGGCCTCCCAAAGTGCTAGGATTACAGGCGTGAGCCACCGCGCCCGGCCCAGATTGTTTGTTTTATTTGATTACACAATGAATTCTCTTCTTGAAGTTTGCCTTTCTTCTCTTTTTCCTGTCCCTTTCTTTTTACTGTATCAATAGTTGTCTGACCCAAACCTCAACAAGTAGAAGGAATTTTGGACTGAAATGTTTCCGTTCACTAAGTCTCAATTGCGTTCTTGGAAAGGTGCTGGCACAGCTGAGGGACACCCCAGCTGTTAGTTGAGTTTGTGAATTGCAGATCCTGCCCCAGAGTCAGTGAAATTTCTTTTTCCCTTATACTATCTCAACTTTACGCAGCCAACCCTGTGTACCCAATAATAGCTCAATTTAGTGGCATCCGCTAAAGTCTTGTATAGAGAAGTTTTCCCTCTGGATTTCCCCTTTACTGAAGAAAAATGGGGAGACCCAGACAAGGGTCCCGGGACTACGCTTCCCAGCCGCCTCCGCCCGGCGCCCAGTCCAACTTCCCTTACAGGGATGGCCCCTGGCATCTTGGCCCCGCCCATCCCCAGCACCATATTGCGAACTACAATTCCCAGCTGCCTCCATGCGTCGGACCCTTCAAAATGGGCTTCCCAGCAGCCTCTCGGGCGAAGAGCCCCGCCCTTCGGAGCTGCTCCCCAGGTCGACCCGGCGCACTCTTCCTGCCCCCTGCCCCGTCACGTGATGCAGTCCCGCCAACCGGCACGGGGAGGCGGGCAGCGGGCGGTGGCCGGGGGCGGGCAGGCCGTGGGGGGCGGACCCCAGAGGGGGCGGAGCAGGGCCCGGCAGCCGAGCAGCCTGGCAACGGCGGTGGCGCCCGGAGCCCGAGGTGGGTGCGCGCTCACGGCTGGCCTGGCTCGGAGCCGGGCACTGCGGGGACCCGTGGTGAGGGGATCGGGAGGAGGAAGTTGGGACTCCTTGGGCCAGCGGGTCGCGCGGGGCCTTGCCGCACCGTCAGGGTTGGGTGGGGGTTTCGTCCAAGCGCCGTCGCTGTCCCCGCGGGGCAGGGCTGAGGCCAGGGAGCAGCAGGCAGGTACCTCCGGCTTCCTCCCGTTCTCCCCGCCCAAGGTGGCCGGCCGGCGGCGGGCGAAGGTCGGGACGGGGGTAGGGGTTGGCTGGCCGTGGAGCTGGGGGCGGACGTCTCAGCCACTGCCTGGACTTTGCTTCCCCGTCCCGGGGCGGTGAGTGGGCCGGGCGTCCGCCCTGCCTCCCCGGCGACGCTCCGCGGCTGGTCCTCGCCTTGGCCCTCCGCACGGAGCGGGCGTCCGTCGCATCCCCGGTGGGCCCTGCGGAGCGGCCGCAGCCCGGCACTGGCCGCGAAGCCTCGATGGCCGCTCTCGGCCAGTGTTTCTGTGTCATACACGAGAGGTTTATCTGCTTTTGCAACAGTTGAGGGAAGATCTTAGAGGGAACGGTTAGTTCCCTGATACGCAGTCGGAAGTATGTACAGGCACGAGCAAGCGCCCGTGGCCGGGTTGCCTCCCTTAACTGTCTTTTGCTGCGCTCAGGAAGTGAAAACTAATTTTAGTATTTGCCTAAGCAAGTAAGAAGTGAATCTGCTGCAAAAATTATATTAGAGCTTTATAGACGCACGCATCGTTTGAGGCGAAGTGGGTTGCGACTGGTTTTGAAACAGATACACCAGATCTTCACAAGAATAAAATTATAGCATTTTAGAATTGACTGGCATCCTGAAGTTTACATTGTTCATTTGTTTCCTGGATGGGGGAACTGAGGCCCAGAGAGGGTAACTAATATGTCCCGGGCTTCAGGGCAACTTAATGGCAAAGCTAATATCACAAGCCAGCTCTTTGGGGGTATCTTGGTGTCTGTCTAGTCTGGATTCTTTTTACCACAGCTCAGTATTATTCCTTGTGAAATAAGCACCTTAGAGTCTTGAGACTGAGCCAGCAATTTTGCTAGACTGCAAACCATTTTGAATTTCCTTCAAAATCGGTTTACCAACCAAATAAGACAATCAGGCCTGTTACTTTGCAGACACGTTTGCCTTCATCCAACATATATATTGGGCACGATCATGTATTCACCAGATTTGATTCTGAATGGCTTTTGGCTGCTTCACAAAATCAAATCTACTTTTCAGAGATTCCACACCATGGGGGAGATTTGAACCAGTGGTGCTGCCTGCAGCACCAGTGTATAGTACCCTCCCGGGTGCTTGAGGGTGGATAACATTCACGGGGGGCTTGTAGATTCTAGTGTAGTTAGTAAATGATTGGTCTCTTTAACTTAAAGTTCTAACTACATTTATTAAGTTGTCGATGGTTTCATTCATTCATCAAACACAAGAATGCCAACGGTGGGCACTGGGAAGACAGCAAAGAGCCCCACTGCTGAGGTCCCTGCCTTATAGAGTTTATATGTGGGGAGGCACACAATAAAAAAATAAACAATGATATATTTTCTGGCAGAGATGAGCGCTATGAGAAAAAATAGAGCTCTGAAACCTTACAATGACAGTGAAACAGGCTGGCATGATTGAGAATGACTTGGGCATTACTTTGAATTTCTAGTTTTAGATTGCCAGCTGCTGCTCCAGTAAAGGAAATAAATCCAAAAGTAAATCTCTGAATCAAAGAGATTTTTTGGAGTCATCATTTCTCCAATGAGTGTCTTTTAGATGGTAAGCTCATCCCAGCCTCATTTTTACTCACATTTCCCCCCACCCCGACATGCAAACAGTAAGTGATTTCAAATACCTAGAGAGGTATTTTTCAAATCCTTTGCTGTTTTCATAGTTAGATAGCTGACTGTAGCTACAGAAAGCTCTGCTGAGGTCAATATTGGTTGTTGATTTCATGCCGGTGTCTGCTGGACTCTCAGGCTACCTTGCACAAGGGTTTCTCTTCCTGTGCAATGGTTTGTACTGTGAACCTCTTATCTGAAATGATCATCAGTCCTTGTGTGGTTTGTAAAGAAACTAGTTCATTTTGAAATAGCTCAAGAGAAAAGAAGCACTCATTCTTAGGAACAAGAGTGCTCGCTAATAAAATGGCATTAATGAGAGTTGACTGTAAAAGTTCATCTGTTTAATACCTTCTAAGTTCTCTCATATTCTGTATGTTCAATGGCTTCAAAGCAAAATTTTAAACTTTTACAGGTCTGAAAAATAATTAAAGTTACAAAAAATACTTTAATATTTTTTGTTCCAAAATGAGAGGCAGATTAACAAAATGTAGTTACTTAGAAACCACTGAAAACACATGGTTCTTGCTCTTATTGAGGGCTCCAAAATAAAGAGAAAAGTGGAGACTCTCAACGATTAATAGGTGACATTTTAAAGGGGTAACCAGAGGATTTCAAAGGCTGGAGTTTCTCATTTCTAAAGTTTATTCGATTTTGTAACAGAATAATAGATTGTTTTCATTATTCTTTAGTAATTTTCCTTTCCTGTTTTCGACCTCTTTGAAGTTCTGCTTTCATTATTTTCTAGTTTTCTAGTTCTTTATTTCCTTTTTGGCAGATGTGGGGGATAGGGACCGTCATTTGCCTAGAAGATTTTGACTCTGGATTGGGCAGCCTGCCCCAATTTGAATCCTGGACCTAATATTATCTGTGTGACTTTAGGCAAGGTACTTAACTCTGTGCTTTAGTTTCCTTATCTGTCAAATGAGAATAATAATAGTACCTTTCTCAAAGGGTTGCTGGAGGGACTGAGTGAATAATCTATGCTAAGTGCTTAGAAAAGTGTCTTGCATGTAGTAGACACTAAAGAAAAGCTGTTATTGACTTGAACGATATGGAACTCTTTTGTTTTTAAGAAAATACATTATTCTAGCTATGTCTTAATAAACTTTTGGAATCCAGTAGCTTGCTTTTCTCGACATTTCTCTGCATTTCCTTGTTGGCACGAGCTTTTGGTTCCAGGCGACGCTGGCAGCAGTGTCCTCCGTTCTTGCAGTGCTATATTCCCTTTACCATTTGGACTTAGAAATTTCTTGAGGCCAAATTTTGTTGCTACAAACAATAATAGAGCAAGAGAGGCCTTCTTCTAGTTTATCTGCCTTGAAAGTGAGAGTGTATCAGGAGACCCAGTAGGAGTTACTGAGTTAGGTCCCGTTGTCATCCTGTAGTTGGGGGAAGATTTTTCATTGGAAATCTTTGCAGTGTATTTTTCCACTGTGAGTACCACGACAGTCTCATCTTTTTCTTTTTAAGAATGTGGAGGCATCTCTTTAGATAATTGGCATTGTGTACTACTAGTGCTTTCTATTTCTACCAGAGGAACTATGGTAAATGAGCCTTTTGTTTGTGTGAGGTGGTAGAAAGCTTCCTGCATTTGGATTCCAGAAGCTGAGTTCAGGTCCCAGTTCTCTTCCTTAACTCTGTGTCACTGGACAAGTCATTTAACCTTGCTGCTAGTGGCTCTTCCATCTGTAAGATAGAGCTAATAAAACCTGCCCTGCCAAGTTTCCAGAGTTCGTCAGAGAATCAAATGTGCCTCAGAGCCCTTTGTAAAGTGTGCAGCATTATTATTATTGCATGAATGTGTTGTATAAGCAGTTGCTATTTGGAGAACTGGTATAAGAGGGCAGTTGTCCTTCCTGTTCTTGGACTGTCTTCCCTGTGGCTGTAGGTGTGGCCTCTCTGCCTCAATCTCCCTCTTCTGTCATCATTAAAATATGCAGGTATTTATATTGCCTCTTTCATAGGGGCCTGATGTCACTGGTATACCATAACAAGTTTTTGTTTTATGTATTCCTAAAATGGTAGTAGTGTATAACCAACAATCACAGGGTGACAGCAAGGCAAGCTCAGCCTCAGGGAATGTTGCCTGCCTCTCCCAAGTGTCTCAGAATGGAAGACTTTCTCTTTTCCAATCGAGACCTGACCGCAGCTCCTGAGTCCATACTAGACTGGATGCTTGTGCTTCTGGGGTTAGAATAAAAAGCGATCCAGGCTCTGGGGAAGAGATGGTTGATAGCTCCCCAGGTCTGTACCATCCTCCTTGCTGGAACAGGGCAGGCTCCTGAGTGATAGGGCAGGCGCCTGAGCGGCCTTTTCTCGTTAAAGTTGTTTCTCAGTATCTTGAAATGTCTCTGTAAGTTGCACTTTGCAATGAATTTCATGTACTTGTATTAGTTTAGTATTGCTGTTCCTTGACTGTTTGTCTTAATAGGTAACTCCTACATATTTCAGTATGTTTTTCATTTTCTATGATTGTAATAAAAAGGGCGAGGTTGGAGATATTTTTTCTGATTGTCTGAAACCTAAGATGGTCCTATACACACAGTAGACATTTAGTAAACATTATTTAACTTGAACTAGACAAAGGAGGCCAGCTTAGAATTGTTCACACATGATCATTGTAACCAATTCTGTTGCATGTCTAGAGATCATGCTCCCTGTCTGCCAGATGAAATGGAGCTCATGCTTAACCTTTCTTGCCGTGGTCAAACAGCAAATGAGAAAGTTCTTTGAATCAGTCATTGTCTTGCCACCCTTTTCTTCTCAGCTTCTTGATTTTTGAACTCTTGGCATGAGCAGTTTGAGTACAGATTAGTTTTTGCTTTGCTTGCTAGTATGTTTGGGGTGGGAAGTTGAAGGGGGAATAATTGAAAGTAAAAATAAAAGTTGTTTGTAACTCATTCATCTCTTATCCCCTTGCCTCCAAACCCTGACAGCACACAGCAATGCCCTTTCTTTAGCATGTGATAATTGTTATATTTTGATAGCATGTCCTTGAACTTTTTTGTGAGAAGGAAGCATTGTTTATTTCCCAGAGCCTTTTGCTTGGAATGTAATGGATTGCTACATCAGTTATCCTTTCCCCTTCTTGGGAGATGTAGAGGCAGAGGTGGGTTATAAGGTAGATTCTTAGCATCAGGTGGTGGTGCTTTAAATTCCCTTATATGACTTTTAAATTGCTTTATGGCCCTGAGACAACTTAGGTGGGGATTTAGGAGAATAGGTACTATGCTGGAATCCAGCAGGCCTGGAATTGGCCCAAGCTCTTTTACTGAAATAAGAAATGTACCTGCCTGCACAGCAGTGACCCTTGGCCATGACATGAAATATACCTGCGTGTCAGTACTGTTTGTGGATAACAGTAAGAAGGAAAGTTTGCACTTGGTTTCAGTGAGACCCCAGGAGGGCGCTGCGGTTAACACGGGTTATGTGACTAGGAGGATATGAGAAACCCCAGCCAGTATTCCATTTTGAGTTTCCTGGTTCTGAGGTGTTCCTTGCCCATGTCAGTGGTTCTGGATCTGGGAGAGAAAGCACAGGTCCCTACTGCCCTAACAAAGGGAGGACTGACCGTTGGTGCTGGCCCCCACCTCTTTGAATCCCTTGCTTGGAGAGAGAACTGATTTTTTCAAAGTTGAAGCTGAGTCTAACTCTGCTGGACATGTCCTTCCTTCACTATATCAACTCTAATAATCTCCCCAGAGATTCCCATTACGCCTATGGCATGAAACAGGTTTTTCTTATTGATGGGGATTGCCCTTGCTCCCCGGGAGCTGGTGAAACAGGCAGAATTTCAAGCCCCATCCTCACCCACTGAGACCCACCACCGACTCCTTAAGCTGAATGTGAATTTTAATGAGGCCCCCGGGTGATTTTGCAGTAAATTAAAGTTCGGAAATAGTCTAATAGTACCAGCTCATATCCTGGCTTCCCAGTCCTTTAAGATAGCGCTAGCCAATAGAGAATGTGTAATTTAAAATTTTCTAGTAGCCACATTGAACAAGTAAAGAAACAGGTGAAATCAATTTTAATATATTTAACACAGCATGTGCGAAATATTTCAATGTGTCATCGACATAATAATGACACGTTTTTCCTTTTTTGGTACTAAATTGTCAATCAGGTGTATATTTTACATTATAGCCCATCTCAGTTTGGATTAGCCACAGTTCAAGTGTTCAGGAGCTACAGCTGTGGAGAGATACATTTGGTCTTGATTTGCTGAGGATTTCATCAGATTCACTGTCAATGCTTAAATAGCCGCCTCAGTCATAATTTACATTAATATTAGGTGTAATCTTTGCCAAGTCCTTAGCCCAGTGCTTTTACATCAGGTCTCATATGAATCCTCACAGCATCGCTTTGAGGTAAAAACTGTTAAGATCCCCACTGAGTTTCAGAGAGGTTAGGTCTAAGCTGAAGCGTTTAGGAAGCAGTAATATCAGGATTTGAACCCAGGCAAGTCTGACTTCTGGGTTTGCAGCCTCCGCTGCAACTTCCTGCAGCTCTCATGACTACAGGGTTTTTTCTCGGTTTCAGTTTTTAGTTTTGTAAGCCATATTAAAAAGGCACCATTGGTATATGTATGAAATGCAATCTTCTTTCTTGAGGGGAACTTCAAAGAACTCGAGGAATGCCTCTTTCTTCTCTGGCTTTTCAGAGCTGGTGCAGAGTCCCTAAACAGAAGTTTCCTCATAGAGGGAATACCACGGACCAGGAGATTGCCTTTCCTGCTGCTCATTAGAATCACTTGGGGAGTTTTACATACTTGCTGCCCTGGGCATCGCCCACAGATATTCGAACTTAATTGATCTGGGCTGAGACTCTTGACATCTGCATTTTTAAAAAGTGGTCCCAGCGTGCAGCACTACCAGGAGCGCTTCTCCAACTTCATTGCCTTATGAATCACCTGGACTTCGAGTTGAAACACAGATTCTGACTCAGTGGTTCCGGGATGGGCCCGGAGAGCTTTTTCTTCTCATTTCCATCAAGCTCCCAGGTGATGCCAACAGTGTTGCTCTGTGGCTCCCACTCAGAGCAGCAAGCCACATCATAATCACCTGAGGGGTTTTTGCAAAACTACAAATTCCTGGCATCATGCCTGGAGTTTCTGATTCAGTAGGTCTGGGGTGGGGCCCAAGATCTTTACTTGAGAAGGCTCTTGCTTTCAATGTTTCACCATAAAGTATTGTGTTTACTCTAGGTTTTGTGTAGGGGCACTTCTAGTGTACATTTTTTTCGGTCATAAGTGGATGTTGAGTTTTATCAAGCCCCTTTTCTTCCTTTATGGAGATAGGTTTTTGGTTTGTGTTTTTGTAGAGAGGGCTTCTTACTGTGTTACCCAGGCTGGTCTCAAACTCCTGTCCTCAAGCAATTCTCCTGCCTCAGTCTCCCAAAGTGCTTAGGATTACAGGCGTGAGGGAGAACCTGTGTTTTCCCTCCTTGAACTTGTTAATGTGGTAGGCTATTTTAAGGGATTTTCTAGTATAACTTTGTAGCATTAACTAAGTTTGTATTGCTGGGATAAACTCAACAGGGTCATGTTCTTTCTTACTGCTGGGTTTGATTGCTAATACTTTCTTTAGGATTTTTACATCTTATATACATAAGATTTGGTATTAGTTTTCCTGTGCTGTCTTGGTCTAGTTTAGTATCATGCTTATGCTAGCCTTATAAAGTGAGTTGAGATATTCCCTTTTTCTGTTCTCTGGAAGTTTGTATAAGATTGGAGTTACTGGTTCCTTGAATGTTGCTAGAACTTGCACATGGAGCTGCCTGGGGCCTGGAAGATTATAAACTACCAGCAAATGTCTGCCAAATCTATAGCTGTGTCTGTCTTTTCATTCCTGCATCCTACTATTGTTTGTTTGTGCCCTCCTTTTTTCTTTATTAGTCTAACCAGAGGTTTGTCAGTTGTGGTTATGGCACCAACTTGATAATATAATTATGTTCATTTGTTTCCCTTTTAGGGCTTTTCCCCTGCTTTTTTGATTAATTTTTAACGAGTAAAAACTTTATATGATTTTGAAGTCACATTTATTTCAAGGTATATTCAGAAAAGTCTTGCTTTCACCCCATCTCTGACCAGGTATTCTGTTTCTTTCCCCCCCGTAGATGATCAATCTTATTAGTTTGTTCTTCTAAGTATCTTTTGCAAATTTGAGCAAGCACGTACATGTATTTTCCCCTTTTCTTGCACAAAAACATATTTCATACACTATTCAGCCTCTTGCCCTTTTCACTTAAAGAATATACCAGGAATCATTCTTCATTTTCTCCTCCTTTCTTTAGATTTATTCTGCTGTTTGGATGTTTCAAAACATAGTATTTTCATGATTATTTAGTTGTGATATTTTCTATTATGATTATTTCATTCACCTGCGAGCTGTTTAGAAGTATATTTTTACTTACAAATGTATTTTCTGGGTATTTTCAAAACTGATTTACAACTTAACTGCATTATGGTGAAAGAATATGATGTGAACACTCGTAGTTCTTTGAAATTTGTCAAGGATAGGCTTATGTGGTATTTTTGTGGCTGGCTTCTTTCACTTAGCATACTGCTTTTTATATTCATTTTTGTGTTGTTGCATGTATCAGCAGTTCCTGACTTTCTGTTGCTGAGTAGTATTCCATAGTATGGTTATAATGTAATTTATTCATTCAGTAGTTGATCATTTGAGTTGATTCAGTTTTTGGCCATTTTGAAAAAAAGCTGCCATGAACATTCACATACAAGTCTTTGTGTGGACTCATGCTTTTATTTGCTTCGTGTAAATACTTAGGTGTGGCATTGCTGGGCCATATGTTTAGTGTATGTTTAACTTTACAAGGAACTGTCAAACTGTTTTCCAAAGTGGCCATGCCATTGTGCCATTTTGCATTCCTACTGGCTTTAATTGTCTGCCTTTAAAATGTTAGCCATTTGACTGGGTGTATAATGGTATCTCATTGTATTTTTAACTTACAAATTCCTAGTGACTAGTAATAGTGAGCATGTCTTTATGTGCTTGTTGGCCATTAAGTTTATCTTCTTTGGTGAAGGATTTGCTGAAATCTTTTGCCCATTTCTTATTAAATTGGATTGTCTGTCTGAAGTTGTGAGGGTTCTTTTTATATTCTGGATACAAGTACTTCATCAGATATGTGATTTGCAAGCATGTTCTCTCAAACTGTGGTTTGTCTTTCATTTTCTTAACTGTGCCTGTGCAAGAGCAAGGAGTTTTGATTTTGATGAAGTCCTATTTACTTTTTCCCCTGTTATGGTTTGAGTTTTTGTGTTTTAAGAAATCTTTACTTAACCTAAGTTCACAAAAATTTTCCCCTGTGTTCCTTCCAGAACTTTTTTAGTCCTGCTCTTATGTTTAGATCTGTTTTGGCAGACAGATCTTTCCAACCCCTGGTGTTTATACCTGTGTGATCCCCTTCCCTTGAGTGTGAGCAGGACCTGTGACTTGCTTCTAGAATATAGACTAGAATATGGAAAAAGTGTAGGGATTCTACAGATATAATTAAGGTCACAACCAGTAGATTTTGAATTAATCAAAAGAGAAGTTATCCTGGGTAGGCCTGAATTAATCAGCACAAAACCCTTAAAAGAAGGTCTGGGTCCTCCCCGAGGTGAGATTCTCTTTGCTGACTTGTTGATGTGAGCAGCCACATTGAGGAAGGCCACATAGAAAGGAACTGCAGGTGGTCTCTAGGAACTAAAAGCTGCTTAGCAAAAAGCCAGGGCCTTCAACCATGCAGCCTAAAGGAAATGAGTTCTGCCAACACTCTGAATGAGCTTGGAAGCAGATTTTCCCCAGTTGAGCCTCCAGATGAGAATGCAGCCTGGCCATTACCTTGATTGCAACTTTGTGAGACCCTGAGCAGAGGACCCAGCTAAGCTGTGCCTGGACACCTGACCCACAGAAACTGTGAGATGATAAATGTGTGCTGTTTATGGCTGCTAAGTTTGTTATTCAGCAATATAAAACTAGTATGTCTATGTTCCATTTCAAGTTAATTTTGTATATTTTGTGAAGTAAGGGTAAAGATTCATTTATTTTTCCATATGGACATCAAACTGTTCCAGCATCATTTGTGGGAAAAGGCCCACACATTTTGGTAATTTTGTTGAAAATCAATTGACCATTGCTAGGACCTCAAAAAGAAGGGCCTAATTATAGTCTCTGTTCTGTTCCATTGATCTGTATGTCTATCCTTATACCAGTACTGCAGTGTCTTGATTACTGAGGCATTATAATAAGTCTGGGGATCAGGTAGTGGAAGTACTGCAACTTTTTTTTTTTTTTCTTTTCAAGATTGTTTTGAATATTCTTGGTCGCTTGCCTTTCCATACAAATTTTGGAATCATCTTGTCCAAGCCTGTTGGGATTTTGATAGGGATTTCATTGACTTTGTAGATCAATATTGACATCATGACAATTAGGAGTCTTTGATCCGTGAGCATGCGATATGTATCTATATATCTCTATCTATCTATCTATCTATCTATCTATCTATCTATCTGTATATTTTTGTTTTGAGATGGAGTTTCGCTTTTGTTGCCCAGGCTGGAGTGCAATGGTGTAATCTCAGCTCACTGCAACCTCCGCCTCCTGGGTTCAAGCGATTCTCCCGCCTCAACCTCCTGAGTAGCTGGGATTACAGGCACCCGCCACCACACCCAGCTAATTTTGTATTTTTAGTAGAGACGGGGTTTCTCCATGTTGGTCAGGCTGGTCTTGAACTCCTGACCTCAGGTAATCTGCCCGCCTCGTCCTCCCAAAGTGCTGGGATTACAGGCATGAGCCACCACGCCTGGCCCAAGCATGCAATATTTCTCCATGTATTTAGGTCTTTAATTTCTCTCAGCAATGTTTTGTAGCTTTCAGTGTGTGATTCTTGGACGTATTTTGTTCAGTGTTTCCCTAAGTATTTCATTTTTTTTGGTATTGCAAATGACATTTTTAAAATAAAGTTTTTTGAGACAGGGTCTTGTTCTGTTACCTAAGCTGGAGTGCAGTGGCATGATGGTGGCTCACTGTAGCCTCAACCTCCTGGGCTAAAGTGATCCTCCCTCCTCAGCCTCTCAAGTAGCTGAAGACTACAGGTGCATGCCCCCATGCCCAGCTAATTTTTTTTTTTTATGTTTTGTAGAGATAGGGTCTTGCTGTATTGCCCAGGCTGGTCTCAACTTCCTGGGCTCAAGTAGTCCTCCTGCCTCAGCCTCCCAAAGTGCTGAGATTTCAGGCATGAACTATAGCACTGGGCCAGTATTTTTATATTTCAGTGTTCATATGTTCATTGCTAACAATACAAATATAATTAATTTTTATATTGGCTTTGTGTTTTATGCAGCCTTACTAAATTTACTTATTCTAGTAGTTTTTTTGTAGTATTCTTAGGATTTTTTTTGCATACATGATTATGTTGTCTGTAAATACAGTTTTACTTCTTTTTTCCAATATGTTATGTGTTTTGAACTTGCTAGAAGCTCTAAAAGATGTTAAATACAAGTGATAAGAGTGACCGTCCTTGCCTTGTTCCCACTCTTATTGGTGAAAGAAGAAATGCTTTCTAAGTGTGATGTCAGCTGAAGGTTTTTCATAGGTGCCCTTGACAATTCCTGATTTCCTGAGGGTGTTTTTAAAAATCATGGATAGATGTTGAATTACGTTAATAGAAGCCACGTCTCAGATACAATCTTCAGGAAGATAGCACACCTCATGAATAGTCTTACTGACTATACATATCACCACATTTATACCCATTCTTAACCACCACTACCCAGCTTTTCCTCCTAGTGTCGATAACAGAATTTCCATCTGGATCTTGGGAATTCTTTGTGGAGCAGCATATACTGCTCCTTCAAAAGACATAGATCTTCTCTGCGAGATTCACATGTATCATTATTTTAGAACTGGAATTTCTTCATCCTCTCTTTCCTTGCCATTCTTTTAACACTGGTTTTGGTTCTTCTTCATCTTGCCTTTTTTATTTCTGCCTTTTTTTTTTTCAGGTTATTTCTGCCCCATCTGTGAAACCTTGTCTGCCAATAGTGCCAAGTTATAAAAATATGTACGTTCAGTCCTTTCACCTTCTTCTGTAACAAGGATACGTGGTTGTTTGTATTTGTGACTGGAAGAAGTAACTGCTCCAAGTATGAAGATAACTATTGTCCATACTCTCTAGGTCATGGCAAGTCTTTCTCCTTCTGATTCTCCCAGGATCCTAATTAAGCCATCTTTGGGGATTCCCTTTGCATACTCCTTCTCTACTATGGCAAACTGCCTGTTGGGCAAGCTGCTACTCCTACTGCTTATCTCTGCTAACCTTCAAGGTCAACCTGCTCTTGCAAGTTAGGACTAATTAAGATGTATCAAGCCCAACATTCTCAACAATCAAAAGACCCTAGGCAGCGTTCCAAAAGCCCCATGTAGAGGAAGGTCAGGAAGTTCCAAATCCAAATTATTCAATGTATTTTGGAACTCTTCTTTGGATTGACTTCAGAGACCAGGCACCTTTAAAAAAATATCCTCGCACCTTTAAAAAAAATATCCTCAAAGGCTCTAGGCCAAAATCATTTTGTATCACCTCTATTAATACATAGAATGGGCACCGGTGCTGTATGGAGCATTGGTTTTGGTTTAAAAATTAAGATATGGTTAAAGTTCATGAGATGGTACCTTATGTAGCTTTAAATTCCAAAGGCAGTTTCAAAAGAATAATTCAAAGAATACTTTGAACAGTGGCCACATTGCTGGAATTTGTGTACACCATCAAAGGGGACTACTTTGAAGAATAACTCAGCTATATATGATCTGACAGGCTTTTTAACAAATGCCTCATTACATGATAGTTGCACCTCATGGGGTGTTTTGTGCACTAGTAATAAAAACTTTCTCCTTTTAAAAGATAGTTTTAATAAAGACTAAGTGGATACAAATAAATAGTAGACAATCAAGGGTTGTGCTGTTTCAGTGACTCACAGACATGGATTTCAGGGGAAAAAGCCTATTTGTTGACTCATCTTTAAAGTGAAGTCTAGGGTTCTTCTTTGTGACCATCAGATTTTATCACGTGGATGAAATTCCGAAAAGATTTTTTTTATCCAGCTGTGCAAGCAGGAGGCATGATGTCCTCATTTTAATATGATCATCTATGAGAGAATGAGAATGACAGATATCTATCTGTTAGTGGATGAGAGGGCCGGTCAGATTGCCTAGATTTCAGTTCCACCTTTGACAGTTATTAGCAGACAAATTGTTTAACCTTCCTGTTCCTTGTGTTTGTCAGTTGTCATATGATGATAGTAATACCTAGTTGCCTTTTAAGGTTTTGGTGGGGATTAAATGACTTAATCTGTGATTAGAACAATGTCTGACAGGTAGTAGATGATCTGTAAATGAAAGCCGTGATCATTAGCATAAGCAGATACTCTGTTTTGCTTTAATTGTATCACCTCTGTTATTGTCTTTATTACTATTTAACCTTTTTTATACATATTAATTATCTTTATTGTTATCTAAACATTTGTTTGTCATCTTCCCAACTCAGTTTTTAGCTCCTTGAAGACATATCTCAAATTTTTTTGGTTGAGGGGAGGGGGAACTCTCCATTGTGGTCCAGAGTAGCTGCCCACTATATAGTTACTGATTGTGAACTCTTTGGAAACAAGATTTAAATAATGATATATGCTGAGTTAGGAGTATCTCAGAATGACTGGCTTGTTGTCATTTCATTATTTCTTCTAAAAAACCATATTATTATTTCAGTACTAGTTAATTTCATAGGTATTCATTGAATGCTTATGGATAGATTGACAAATGAAATTGTTCTGAATGTAACCATATGTTGACATGACCATTTTATAGATTGTTAATTTCTGTAGCCAACCTCCTGCCTATTATGGGTTGAATTGTGTCCCCTAAAAAGATATACTGAAGCCCTAGTCCCTATTTCCTCAGACTGGGGTCTTGTTTGTTACTGCAGTTGTAGTTAGTTAAGATGAGGTCATGCAGCACTGGAGTAGGGTGGACTCCTCATCCAGCATGACTGGGGTCCTTATGAAAGAGGAAAGCACCATGTGAAAACACAGACACACAGGGAGAAAGCCATGTGACAACAGGCAGAGAGATTGGAGTGGTGAAGCTGCAAGCCAAGGAATGCCAAGGATTGCAGCCACCACCAGAAGCTAGGGAGAGGCAAGGAAGCATTCTCCCCTAGAGGCTCCAGATGGCACATGGCCTAGCTGACACCTTGATTTTGGACTTTGGGCCTCCAGAACTGTGAGAGAATTTATTTCTGTTCTTTTAGGCCATCCAGTTTGTGGGACTTCTTTACAGCAGCCCCAGGACACCAATAGACTGCCCATCTGCTTGAATTAGAGTGTTGACAAGCTTGGGATTTCATTTCAAACGGTGGATTTGCCTATGTTTTCATCTATTATCCATCTTCTCCAGATACTTTGATTTAAATATATAAATATAAATACATATTTATATATTTAAATATAATTTATATAATTTATAATTTATATATTTAAATATATATTAAATTATATATATTTATATATAAATTATAAATTATGTAAATTATATATTATATAAATTATAAATATATATAAATTATATATATTATATAAATTATAAATATATATAAATTATATATAAATTATAAATATATAAAAATTATATAAATTATATATAAATTATAAATTTATATAATTTATATAAATTATATATAAATTATAAATATATATAAATTATATATATTATATATAATTATAAATATATATAAATTATATATATTATATATAATTATAAATATATATAAATTATATATATTATATATAATATAATATATATAAATTATATATATTATATTATATATAATTATAAATATATAAAAATTATATATATTATATATAATTATAAATATATATAAATTATATATATTATATATAAATTATAAATATATATAATTTATATATATTATATATAAATTATATATATTATACATAATTTATATATAATATATAATTTATATATAATATATATAATTTATATATAATATATAATTTATATATATTATATATAATTTATATATAATATATAATTTATATATATTATATATAATTTATATATAAATAATTTGTATATATTATTTATAAATATATAAATTATATATATTATATAAATTATATATTATATATAAATTAATATATATTAAATTAATATATATTTAATATATAAAATATATATAAAATATATATTAAATATATATATTAAATATACAAAATATATATAAATATATATCAAATATATAAAATATATATTAAATATATATTAAATATATATATATATTTGATATATATATATATAATATAAAATATATATTAAATTAAAATATATATATTAAATATATGTTAAATATATAAAAATATTTTAAAAATATATTAAATATATATATTAAATATATATTTCCCATACCTGATCTGGCAGCAAATATATTTTTATATATGGCAGCAAATATATATTTTCATATATATATATGAAAATCTGGCACAAAAATACGGTTCTTATATGCATGCTAGGAATGGGAGACGTTTCCAAAGATGCTTATAAAAGCACTGTTTATAATTGAAACCTGGAAACAGCTCAAATGATCACTGGGAGGAGAATGGAAAAACCAAGTGCAAAGCAGTGGACTGCTATGCAGCTGTGAAAATGAGTGGAACACAACTATATGCATCAACATTTATGACTCTCTCAACACTATGTGAGAAAAGCAAGTGGCAGAAGAATATATAATGATTCCATTTACATAAGACTTCAGAAACATGGAAAATCATATTATTTAGGGATGTATACATGTGGAAAATTTTAAAGATATGCAAGGGAATTATAAACCTAAAAATCAGCCCTAGGGAGGTAGGTTGGAGTACCTTTAATGACTGATGACTAACTTCTCCAAAGTCATGAAAGTTTATGAGGGTGATGCTACATTTGTTTCTTCACGGAATACTGAGTACCCAAACTGTGCTTTGTGCTGGTGCCAGAATGGAAAACATGGTCCTTGGCCTTAGGAAGTTCTAGAAATCTAAGAGACGGGACACAAAATATCAAGGCATAAGTACAGGGTAAGAAATGAAATACAATCGTCCCTTGGTATTTGCGGGAAACTGGTTCCAGGACTCCCGAGGATACCAAAATCCTTGGAGGCCCAAGTCCTTGATATAAAATGGCATAGTATTTGCATATAACCTTGCATATCCTCCTGTGTACTTTCAGTCCTCTATAGATTACTTATAATACCTAATACAATGGAAATGCTATGTAAATACAAATAAAAATTAGTATTTGAAGTATTTTTCTATTTGTATTATTTGTATTTGTATTATTTTTTGTCATACTGTTTTTTGTGTTTCTTCCCAAATATTTTTGATCCGCAGTTGGTTGAATCCCTAGATGTGGAACTCCTGGATGTGGAGGGCTGACTATATTAGAAATATGTATGGTGTACAGAGAAGTGGAGAGAGAGAGAGAGAGAGAGAGAAAGAGTGTGTGTGTGTGTATGTGTGTGTGGGGGGAGGTCAGGAAAAGCTTTCCATGTTTTGAAGTAGGTAAATGCCAACAAAGCATATGCCAACGAAGCCCCTGCTTCTGCCTTCAAATGAGAGTACCTAGAGGAATTGTTTCAAATGGCAGGTTATCTCCAACCTTTTCTCCTCTCTTCAGTTTTCTAGATACTGTGCACATCCACTCTAGAGTTCCTTTTTTCCTCCCTCCTCCACTACTGATTCTGCTCAGAAGAATCTTCATCAGTAATGCCCAATGCCTGGGCTTTTCTTTGGGGTCCTTTAGCCCAGACCTGAGAAGGTTCTTGGAAAGTAAGGAGATGTTTTGATCTGGCACCTTTGTTACTATCATAGTTATAACTATTTATACGTTTCTATTCTTCAACAATTACTGTTTTAACTTTTGCTAAATAAGTTACTGTTTACTTATAAATTTAAAATGTACTTTTTGTGAATAGTTCTCACAGGGGAAAATAGTTCAATAAAATGCAGTTTTTTTCATTGAGCAGATCAGCTGGGTTCATGAGTTTTGGAATTGGCAGATGCACGGGAACTTGATCTTGTTCCTATTTTAAAACTTTGTTTACTGGCAGGTATTTGACTGTTAAAAAATCCATTGGTGAGTTTAATGATCTGTTTAAATGTGTGCAGTATTGCTAGGTAGCCTTTGTACATTAAAAACAGATAACCTGATAGTAGTTGACTTTTCTAATAGTTTACTTACCATATCACTTTCAATTTATGAATAATTTCTAAAGTTACCCTGTTCCATGGCCACAGCTCATGCCACTAAAGCCAATCAGCTGTCTTGAAGATGTGCCATTTGTCGTGAGGGGACCAAGAAATAGGGTGAAGAGATCAGCCCAAATCCATCACTAGCCACTGGAAAAAATGATTCAAAATGCATTCTCCACTGAGTCTGAATTACATTATTTTTAGCCAAAGGTCTTTGCAACATTTAAAGAAATAGGGGTAGGTATATCATCATGTTTAAAATGAATTGTAAATATCAAAATTATACAGAGAGTGAGATTTTAAATGAAATACTATATAGCATCATATAATTTTCAAAGAGGAATCATCAAACCAAATACACTGTAGCCCTAAGATTTGAAGTGACCAAGACAAATCAAGAAGCTCTAATGCTTCTGTTACATGTGTCTATGTGGACAGTAAACCGCTTACTTGGGGGATCCTTTTTTGGAGTAAATATAGTTAGATTTGTAGCCTATTTTTAGATATCTGAGCCTGAATAGAAAGTAATGAGATGAGATCTGTATGTTAAGTATTTCACAGAAAGATTCCCTGGGCTAGGAGTCAAGTGTTTTCTTTTTTTAATGGAAGGAGGCATATTTGAAGGTAAACTACTGTAAGGCTGATTGGAGTCTTGGCAAGGTTAGATTGATCATCTTAGAAAACCTGTGTGCAGAATGGTTAGGCAATCAAGGATATGGTATATTTTGTGGACAACCAACCTAACATATTAGCACCAGTTTGGGGAATGACTTAAGAGTTCACTGGGCTGGGTGTGGTGGCTCATGCCTGTAATCCTAGCACCACAGGAGGAGGCCGATGTGGGCGGATCACTTGAGGTCAGGGGTTCAAGACCAGCCTGGCCAACGTGGCGAAATCCTGTCGCTACTAAAAATACAAAAATTATCTGGGCATGGTGGCGCACATCTGTAATCCCAGCTACTCAGGAGGCTGAGGCAGGAGAATCACTCAAACCCAGGAGGCAGAGGTTACGGTGAGCTGAGGTGGTACCACTGCACTCCAGCCTGAGCGACAGAGTGACACTCTGTCTCAAAAAAAAAAAAAAAAGCATAAAGCATCTCTGGTAGGAGGAAGGGAACTGGTATTTGAGCATCTTTGTTATGCCATCTGCTGTGCTATAATTTTACCTGTTCCTCATGACAGCACTGTGAGGGCTGGCGTCACACCCATTTTACAGACTGGAAACTGCAGTAATTAAGTGAGAGAATTGGGATCTGAGACACAAATTGGTCTGAATACAGAATCCCTTCCTTTTTTTCAACTGTATCACACTGTTTTGTAGGTGGGCGCATAGTGGCATTTTGACAAGCTCTCAATGGTGGGGTTAATAGCTTGTTTTTTAGTTTAAGAGAATATGATTATTATGTACTTCGGCTGAAGACGGTTCACATGGGAATTATTTTAACAGCTTAATGCAGGGCGTGACAGCCTGTTTTTGTAAATAAAATTTTATTGGAATATAGCCCATCATTTATTTACATATTGCTGCTTCAGTGCTACAACGCAGTACTGAGTAGTTGCAACAGAAATGTCTGGGTATCTGGCCCTTTACACGGAAAATTTGTCAGTCCCTTGTTCAAAGGAAAATGTATAAAAATGAACCAAACTTCTGCTTTTGCAGATCATAGTTTATTTTCATGTGAGTTGAGCACTTCTTCCCCCCAAATAAACAAATATATGTGTTAAATTGATGGTGTACCTGGTCTCAAAATGGCTGGAATATGAACATTTATCTTGGTTCACAGTGATTTGGTTGAGGACGTCTCAAGGTATGTTTCATTTTTTTGCATCCTAGGTGGCCTACAATCCAAGCTACTTTAATGCAAAAAATCAGAATAAATTTATAGTAAATCCTGTGTTTACTGGCACTCCAGGTACAGAACTCTGTGAATGGTTCTCATTGGGGGTGACGCTCCCCCTAGAGGCCAAATTGGAAATGGGGGCATGTTTTGGTTATGGTGTAATTCATTGAAAAATACATTATTTTATTATAAATCACTGTCCTTTTATTTCTCCTTTATATTGGAGTTAGTACAGTATATTGATTTTGTATCATGTTTAGATTGAGGATATCCATGGTTTTCATTTCAGCCTAGCAAAGGGGACTTTACAGAAATTTGTTTTATAAAAAGGGAGTTTCGGGTCTGATGGTATTGAGCACCACTGCCAAAGAGATTTGGCATCTTTTTGAAAACAGACTTCTAAGTAAGGACAACTACCTTAGAAAGACCTGGAATTCTGAACGGAGAGGCTGCTTGTTCTCTGACAAACTTTAGAAGTCAAGTTTTAAGTCTCAGTATGTTTCCATAAGCAGCATCTTTCCAGAGAAAGAGCATGATTGAACTTAACGTAAATGCCAACACAGAGTCATAAACCACATTAAAGGCTCATCAAAAGACAAAAGCTGCATACCTTTGTCACTGTTTTGTTTGTATACAGAAAAGTTCAGAAAAACCACTCAGGGCCATTGATCTCAACTCAGGTGACGATGGGAAATAGAGCTCTCCGTGGTGTTTACAGTTTGCTTGCAAAGGCCCTATGAGGCAGAGATCAAAATTATTTTCTAGTTCTGCTGCTTTTAGATTCTTAACATAAGCGTTAAAATGGCATGCATTTTTTAATGTTTTTAGTTAATGTGTGCTTCAGGTTTGTGTATTGTTGTTTTTCATATTCAACAGAAAAGGAAAAACAGTTCCTTAGTCTGGAAAAAGGGCGCGGTGAAAGAGGTTTTTGTATCTGCCTCCACAGATTCAACTGACCAATCCCAGCCCCCTGTACTGGGACGGCTGTACCTTAATTTGAAATGTTCATGGAAAAGTCTATAAGGGAAGATAGCATTACTCAAATTATTTTCAGTGCAAATCGTTTCAAAGGGGTACAAGTTAACCCTGCAGTTAACTACATAACAGTATATACACTTAAATTTGCTGCCCAGAACCACCCTGCCTGGACCATCCTGATCAGCCAAGGCCTTGTCGTACCATTTCAAACATGAGTTTGTATGAACTTGTGGCTTAAGTGAAATATTACACTGCCAACAACTGTTATGTTCCTTGGCCAATCCTTAATTGCCCAGTTCATTCACTCATTTAACAAATACCTGTTAAGTATCTTTTGGGTGCCAGGCACTGTTACAGGTGCTGTAAATAAATAAAACATAAAATTCTTGGGGCTTAGAGGCCCCAAAGGTTGGTTGGCTAGGTGAGTTGAGTTCTCTTAACTATGTTTCTTAGTCTCAAGCTGTTCTACTGAGATTGGGACCAGTCACGTGCAACCTGGTTTCCTTCCAGAGACCACTTAGAAGCACTTTTCTGTAGGTAGAAGGGACTCTGCAATGCAGGGAGACCTAGGCTAGAGTTGTCCCTGCCAGTAAGTCACTCCAGGACCTTGTCACACACCCTCTAGGCCCCCCGCATCTCCTCTGTAATAGGAGAGGGTTGGGCTTAAATCATCTCAAAGGTTATTTTGGGGGATCAAAAGTGATAGAAGTCTACCTCTGGTTAGAATGCTGTAGTTAACATATATATACGGAATCAACTTTTAATTTTTGCTTTAAAGCCAAGGTAGCCAAAAATCAACATTTTTTTGTTTGTTTTTTAAATAAAAAGGATAAAAAAACTTGATTGTTAGGGCTTTGGGATGAAATACTCTGTAACCAAAAGGGTAGCTGATTTTTGTAGACTTCACTATAGCTTCTAATTATCATCCAACTGCCTTTACACTAACATAGTCATTTTATACACGAAGATATGGATGAGCTTTCTTTGCTTGGTAAGTTAGAGACAGCCCAGGGCTTGTACACACCTGTCTAGTACATTTTCCAAAGTACTACACTGCTTTCCATTTTCCTATTAGAGTCATTATTGTCTTTTTTTTTTTTTTTTTAAGCAAAAAGCACTTTATAACTGAGTGGCTGCTAGCCATGCGCTATCCCTGTATTAGTTAACTTTTCTCCTAGTATTTCCAAGGTCAGGACTAATTTGTAGAATTGGCTAAGACATTGGCATTCACTAGCTATCCTTTTGTGCTCATAAAAATTAAAAATTTTAAAAATACTAGTAATTTGTTAACAGATACACTGTGTGGTTCCAAGCCCTGCATGAATGTATTAATTCATTTGTTTCACCTAATAATGTTGATGTAAAATGGGGGTAATAGCAACCAAAGCCCAGAGAAGTTAAATAACCTACTCAAGGTCAAATGGTGAGTTGCAGAGTTGGAATTTGAATGTAGTCAGCTGCAACATTTGTGCACACCAGCATGATGCTGTTCCAGCTTCTATAATCTTCAGGGATCAATCAAAACCATTCAACAAAGAGAGGCTCACTGATGAGATTTTAAAGTAAGCCTCATTGTGGAACTGGCACATGTTATCTGGACCTTTGGATTTCTCGGATGTATACTTGATCCAACTATTAACAGTAGTAGTAGTGTCTGGTGTTCCTCTAAAAATTAGAGCTTTAGACATAAAGACTGCATATTGTTCGGTTTCATTTATATGAAATTCCCAAAGTGGGCAAATTTATAGGGATAGCAAATTCGTGGTTGCTGGAGGATTGGGAGTGGTGGGTGACTGCTAATGGGTATGGGGTGGGGTTTCTCTTTGGGATGATAAAAGTGTTCTAAAATTGATTGTGGTGATGGGTGGCACAACTTTGGATATACTAAAAACCTTTAAATTGTACACTTGAAAAGGGTGAACTGTATGGTATGTGAGTTGTAGTAAAACAGTTAAATGAAGGGAAAATGAGGGATTTCGTCCTTTATATTCATTTTAAATTGAAATTTTTTCATGAAAATCAGAAATAGCAGGAAGACTCATCATTCTTTTATGGCCCATGAATAAACAGGGTGGTGACGTTGACTGAGTTGACTGTACAACCAGGATTTTAGATTTTTTCTACTGACTTGATAGTAAGAATTTAACTTTTTGTTTTAAAATGTTGACTTACATTAGTGAAGCATTTTAAATATTAAAGTATCTATACTAAAAGGTAGTTTTATATCTGTTACTGAAGAAAATCTGCCCCTAATATATAGTCTTGTTTTGTCAATAGAAAAATTTCAGAGCAGATACATCTGACTTGCTCCATAGTTCATCTCATCCATTCTGCTATCTCTGAGAATAATGGGTTATTTTGCTTGGACATGAACTTAAGGTTAGAAAGGTTTTTCAAAGCATATTTTACGATTTTGTCTGAATTTAATTCATTTTAGTGTTATTCATTAATCTTTTTAAAAAGTTACTTTTAATTTTGCATTGTGCTACCTGTAGGTAGTTTCAGCTCTTCTAAGTTGAGTATCTCTTTCTATAAAGACGTATTTTGCTCTAATTGTTAATTTTCAAGCATCAGTGGTAGTTGCCTAGTTCCAGTGTTCTGGGATTTGGTGAACTAGTATACATGTTTGCCCCATCATGACATTTCACAGTATTGTATATTTGCCGCATAATCATTCACCAGATAGTTGTGAGTTCCAGTGTGCGCCAGGATACAGCCACGAACCAGACAGACACAAGCCTTGGCCTTGTAGTGTTGAACTCTCACGGGGGAATCCTGACAGTCCTAACCTTGTAAGATGGCCCCTATCTGGCCATCTCCCCACCTCTTCATCCTGGTGGCTGTCTTTTTCTGTGACTTCGTCACCTTTCTTGACTATTTCTTAAGGACAGTAGCCAGTACTGTGAAGCTGTTAAATCCCACTAGATTTTGTGCCAAGGTGTGTTAACCCATTTATGCCTAGTGTTCCACTATTGGAACGCTAAGCTTGTGGGAGTTATTTACATCCTGCTGCTCAAGGTCATCACCAAGGTCTGATTTTTCACAAAAATAATTTGCAACCTCCGGCATAAATGGGTTAATGTTCTCCATTGCTGGATTTTGTTAGTGTGTCTGGTTGCTCTTAATACAGCCTGGCAAAAAGATATTTATAAATATCCACAGTCACCTTGTTGAATTGGATGTGGTTTACCTCCCGCTGACTTTATATGTATCTATCTGTGTCCTAAACTTTGATAAAATAACCAAAGCATTACTTAGTGTTCTGTTGTTGCTGTAATCTTCTTAAGTCTAAATAAATCCTTGCGTTAAAATGGTATTTGTGTATGTTCTGAATAGAATGCTTTCATTTATGCCTGAATTGTGATGAATATGCATTATTTAAATGAAGTATATACTTTCCCTAGAAAATACTGATTAAATCAAATCTTACCAATTTGATTTCAGTCAAATCCATGCCACTCTAAACTGCCATCATTTGGAGAAAACAAAATTCTTAATAGAGAAAATAGTGTGAGTTAAATTGTCCATTCTTTTTTCATTCTGCTCGGCTGCCTCTAAATTATCTTTAAAAAATAAGGAGTATGGAAATTTGAGGCCTGTTGCACAATTAATAAACATTAAGTTTTTTTAGATGGCAATTAGAGCACTACGAATTAAAATTCCTGGAATGTGTATGGCGTCTTCTGCTGAGCTCCCCCTTGTGCATTTAGCTCCCCTTGTCTGTTCTCCCCTAGTCCCCTGCACCTTTATTGGAGCTCTCACATACTGCCTGTGCTCTGGTTCATCGTTTGTATGTCTTATTACCACTGGGGCCTAGTATGGAAATAGAACCTGTAAAGTAGTACCGTTTGCTCTCAGTTGCCATATTTAAGTCTCAGATGTCACATATGTTTGAAATTGCATACAAATTCAGTTGATATTGAATGTTGTGTTTCTTGGTAGAGTTTCCAGGATGGCTTCTGCATCAACTTCTAAATATAATTCACACTCCTTGGAGAATGAGTCTATTAAGAGGGTAAGTTGAATTTTCAGATTTATCTGTCTCTTTCCTTGCATTTATTTTGATATTTGAATATTAGGTCATTTTGGGCTGGCCTATTGAATTATGAATTTTATTATTCATTCACATATAAATACATTTATACATGTGGTTTCTTTATTGTCTCACCTTGTTCTAGAAAAGCTTTTTTTTTTTTTTGGAGACAGAGTCTCGCTCCGTAGCCCAGGTTGGAGTGCAGTGGCAAGATCTCAGCTCACTGCAACCTCCGCCTCCCAGATTCAAGTGATTCTCCTGCCTCAGCCTCCCTAGTAGCTGGGATTACAGGCGTGTGCTACCACACCCGGCTAATTTTTGTATTTTTAGTAGAGACGGGGTTTCGCCATGTTGGCCAGGCTTGTCTTGAACTCCTGACCTCAGGTGATCCACTTGCCTCGGCCTCCCAAAGTGCTGGGATTTACAGGAGTGAGCTACCACGCCGGCCCAGAAAAGCTTTTAGATACAATACCTTATATGTGTTAAGTGAGTTTTACATTTGTAAATCCTTTCACATAACTTCATTTTTGAAAACCTCTGTCTCGTGAAATTACTGCTAGACCTCATGTTTAAGGTACTAGGCAATCCTCCACCTGGAAAGGTTGCTGAAGGACATACTGGAAGGCTAAGGCCTGCTGAGCAGGCTGCTACGCCTTCCTAATTATTGGCATTATTTTCTAATTATGATAAAATTGTTGCATAACCAAAACAAATACAACTTTAACAGAAAATGGTTCAAGGTATCCAGGGGGAGATTGTGTAATTAGAGGGAGATTTTGGAATGTGCATTCAAAGGAAGGGATTAATTTAAAATAAGCTTTATTCATGGCCCTTTAAGGCCCTAAGATTATCCACCAGAAAGGCTAATTTATACTCCCACCAGGTGGATAGAGATGCCTAAGCAATCAGAAGGGAGCAAAAGGTGATCTTTTCATTGGTATTTCTTGATTACTAATGAGGTTAACCTTTTTTAAAAAAGTGTGTTTATGGTCAGGTGAGGTGGCTCATGCTTGTAATCCTAGCACTTTAGGAGGCCAAGGTGGGAGGATCACTTGAGCTCAAGAGTTCGAGACTGGCCTAGGCAACATAGTGAAACCCTGTCTCTACCAAAGATACAAAAAATTAGCCGAGTGTGATGGCGTGCGCCCATAGTTCCAACTACTCAGGAGGCTGAGGTGGGAGATTGTTTGAGCCTGGGAGGCAGAGGTTGCAGTGAGCCGAGATCTCACCACTGCACTCCAGCCTGGGCGACAGAGTGAGATCCTGTCTCAAATAAGTAAATAAAAGTGTGTTTGTTATTAGTTTGCATTTCTCTTGTGAAGTGATTGTTCATGTCCTTTATTTGGCTTTTGGGGATTTTGAGGGGAGTTCTTATTGATTATGTGTTCCGTGTGTGTGTGTATATGTGTATGTGTGTGTATAATTTTTTTTTGAGACAGAGTCTAACTCTGTCCCTCAGGCTGGAGTGCAGTGGTGCAATCCTGGCTCACTGCAACCTCTGCCTCTTGGGTTCAAGTGATTCTCGTGCCTCAGCCTCCCGAGTAGCTGGGATTACAGGTGTGCACCATCACACCTGGCTAATTTTTGTATTTTTAGTAGAGTTGGGGTTTCACCATGTTGGCCATGCTGGTCTTGAACTCCTGGCCTCAAGCTATCCACCTGCCTTAGCCTCCCAAATTGCTGGGATTACAGGCATGGACCACCACACCTGGCTTGTTCCTTATATTTTGATAATCAGCTCTATAATATGTTACAAGTCTTCTTCCTGATTTATTGTTGGCCTTTTAATTGTATTTATGGTATTTTGATTTTGAAATACTGAAGTTTAAAGTTTTTATGTGATCACATATATCAATCTATATTTTCTGTTTTGGGTGCCTACAAGGACCATCCTCATCTCCAAGATTATATGTTTTTATTGTATTTAAGTATTTTTATGTTACCAGAATCAGTTCTAAACACAGGAGTAATTTCAAGAATGTAACTATAAATCCTTTGTGTAATGCTGCTCTGGTATAATGTATAGCCTATGTTAATCCCATGTTATCCTGTTTTAATCAGACATTCACTTCCCTTATTTTGTGGTTGACCTAGAACTGTGGTATTTAAAAGGTATACTGAGTATTGCATTTGCTCGTTATGCCTGTTTTTAGTTAGTGAGAGGGAGTGTTAAAGGGTGATAATTTCTTTCCTCTCTTACAATTTATATAAGGTGTGTGGTTTTGCTTCTCATTGAGGAAGGCATTCCTGGCTGAGAACAGTTTGTCTTGCCCAGCTGGTTAAAATGTTTAGCTTGCAAGTACTAGAAAATTTTTTAAATTGGCTAGGAATTTTCATTCTTGCCTCTGAATGAAAAAAAAAAACATTAAAGATTCAGCATAACACCCCTCTTTGACAGCTTATATCTCACCTGAATATACAATTCACATTTCTCTTGTTTCATAATAATTCTCTCCATTTGCATAGCCTCTGATAATTTACAGAAGTGTGCACAGTAGCTCACACCTGTAATCCCAGCACTTTGGAAGGTCAAGGCAGGCAGATCACTTGAGGCCAGGAGTTCAAGACCAGCCTGGCCAACATGGTGAAACCCCGTCTCTACTCAAAATGCAAAAATTAGCTGGGCGTGGTGGCACACACCTGTAGTCCCAGCTACTCAGGAGACCGAGGCATGAGAATCTCTTGAACCTGGGAGCTGGGAGGCAGACGTTGCAGTAAGCCAAGATTGCACCACTGTTGCCTGGCAACAGAGCAAGACTGTCTCAAAAAATAAAAGTGTGCTTGTATATATATTTTTTCACTTAATACTCACAAAACTGCTCTAACGGAAGCATGAGTAACTTCACTTATGAAATGATTGCAGTGTGATTTTGGACAACAAATAGAAAAAAATGAAATACTGCTGAAAAAAACTTTTTGCCCAAACAGATGTTAGTGATGTGCCTCAAATGTCATCAGACTAGCACCTGCAACACATCTTCGTATTAATCCACTAGGGCAGCTGAATAACCTGAAAGACAATGGGTAGCTATGGCAAATTAGGCTCTGCGAACTCGCCTGCAGGTTGTAGTGGTTAATATTACTGTGCCCACCTAGCAGAGCTGTGGAAGTGATTGAATGAGGCACATGCTTGGGAATACCTCTAAAGCCAGGAAGCCTAGAGAAATAGTAAAGTGATGTGAAGAATTTGTACAAATGGCTCCTAAGACTTTTGCCAGCTCAAAAGTTCTCTGACAGACCACTCTTACCTCTTATTAGGACAGGGATCTTAGTAAATGTGAGGAAGTAAAAAGAGAGGAAGGGTCTTAGTGAAATAGGAAACGCAATAGGTAATCAATGATTTTCGGGCATTGTAATAGGATTCTGGCTAATGGCTGTGCTGTTATTCAGTTAAGCCTCTGTGGAATTGAAGTTTTCCTTCCTACTCTTCCCAAAAGATGGCTGAATATGAAAAAAAGAAAGCTGCTACAGTGTATGTGTATCTATAGAACACACTTAATGTTTACTTTTTATCACTTTCCCGAAAGCTGTTAACTTTAAAGTGCTTGGAAATGTAGTTTAAAAATTAATATTATTGAAAAGCATGCTAGCATTATTTAATACTAGAAGTTGACACATCTAATTAATGTTGGTGCCAGATTGTAACTTTTTTGTTTGAATTTTTGTGCCAGTTTTCCCAAATGCTAAATCTCTAATGCTTTTTCTTTAAAAAACATATTTCTAGTGGCTTGTATTCCTAGTTGCTTAAAAACAGTGTGTAAATGTAACGTCATTACTTCTGATGCATCTGTTTTGTTTCTAGACGTCTCGAGATGGAGTCAATCGAGATCTCACTGAGGCTGTTCCTCGACTTCCAGGAGAAACACTAATCACTGGTAAGGACCTGCTGACATAAGATTTGCATAACTTGAGGAGAAGTCTGGCAGGATCAGGTGGCTTCAGTCCCGCTTACTCTTTAGCAGTCAGGCTTAGACAAATAGGCTACCTTTGTTTAGAAGCGTTAACACAGAACTCTCTGCATCCCTTTCTTGATTAAAGAGTTCTTTTGAGAGCTTCATGCTCACAAGGGTAGTGATATTCTTGTGTCTGTACCAAAGACTGAGAATGATTTAGGGGAAAAAAATGTGGATTATCTCTTGAAAGTCTCTCATTGGAGCCATAAGCTCTCATGGTTTAAGGTTTTAAGAGCAAAATGATTTCCAGTCAATGATGCATGCTTTAAAATGATAAACTTAAAGGCTTGAAGGCTTAATCATTCTCCTCTTTGAAATATAGGAGAACATATTGCTTTAAAATATCTTTCATTCGTCAGAAAATGGAAGTTAGTATTTAGGTAATATTTTGATGTTATTTTTCATGATAAACGTATACTAAAAGGAAGGGATCAACTTTGGAAGGGCTAGATCACTACGGCTTAAGAATATAGAAGCATCTGACAGCTTCTAAGCCAAGTGCTAATGTTCTGGGCAAATTTTATATGTGGATTAACACCCTCCTTTCAGACTTCAATGTATTTGAAGCAGATGTGATGACCATTGTTCCAGGGAACCTTTTGATTAATTCAGATCTGGGTTGTTTAGCTTAAATGGCTAAAACCTCGTGCTAATTAGATGGCGGGCCTAAGCGAGGTACCTTTGGGAATTAGCCATACACCATGAGAAATTCTCTTCTGAGTCCACAAACTTGCACACATTCTAGTCTTGAAATGGAGACCAGTGGGATGTGTTCATCCCAATTTCTGGATAAGAGCAAAGAAGATATTTTACTTTTGATCGTCTTCATATATGAAGTTTTGGTGGTAGGTATCAGCGCCTGAACCTTAACCCAGGTGGTAACTAATGGAACTAGCATAAAGTAGCTTTATTAAGTATTTTTTATTTAGAACTTGAAGAGAAAGGGATTTCAAAATCATTACGAGTCATTAACACATTCAAGGACATCCCTGAAAGATGAGAGGCATATTTCTATTATAATTAATTATTCTGATTTAGCTTCTCCTTATGTTTATTCTACCAAAGATGTACTATTCTTTCGGCCACCTGTTTTATATCACTTCAGTGTTTGAAATGAACCTAGCCAAACTCTATTCTAGACTATTAAAAAGAAAAAGGTTTGGTGCGGTGGCTCACACCTGTAATCCCAGCACTTTGAGAGGCCAAAGTAGGAGGATCACTTGAGGCCAGGAATTGGAGACCAGCCTGGGCAACACAGCAAAACTTCATCTTTACTAAAAATTAAAAAACGAGCTGGGTGCAGTGGCGCATACCCATAGTCCCAGCTACTCAGGAGGCTGAGGTGGGAGGATTGCTTGAGCCTGAGAGGTTGAGGCTGCAGTGAGCCATGATTGTGCCACTGAACTCCAGCTTGGGCAATAGAGCAAGACCCTATCTCAAAAACAAAAAAAGACAGAATAAACTGGAAAGATTTCTACTGCTGACATTTATTTATTAAAAACATGATTATGTTTCTGTGGTTAGAGATTGGTAGCCTCATCTCTCAGTCTAGTGGTTAGTCCGTGAGACTGTCCCAGGTGAGTTGCCGTCCTCTGGCTGAAGTAGCTCAAATAGTTACCTTTACAACCACCTTAGGGTAGCAGCAGCAGTATTCTCATTCACTTCTATTGTCACCTTGCCCCAGGTAGTGACAGCATTGTGGGAAAGCTCAGGGAAGCACTGTTAGTGCCTGGAGGTGGTGTGGCCCCACTAGTTCTCCCACTACCCCAACTCAACCCAGCACGGTAATGTAGAAACATTGCCAGTGCTTGCTTTCAGCCTTTTCAGTAATTTTTAAAATTGTAGTTATTCTTAGCTGAATAGTTTATATTAAATTAGTGCCATTTGTTGTGTATCTTGGTATCTATTTCCATTATTTTAGGGTACTTTTTTTATCTTAATAGACAAAGAAGTTATTTACATATGTCCTTTCAATGGCCCCATTAAGGGAAGAGTTTACATCACAAATTATCGTCTTTATTTAAGAAGTTTGGAAACGGTAAGTAGAATATAAGACCATAAAGATGACCCTAACTGTTAAAGATAATGCTAAATTGTTTCTCTTCTACTTTGCAAGATTGACTGTGGGTCAAATTAACATGGGGTATATTTGCTTCTCAACTCTTAATTTTTTGCTTATGCAAAACTCATTTAACACTAACACTTGTATATGTAAGGAACAGGGTCAATTAAAAAAAGTCTTATCCCTCATAATGGTGGGGGAGGGGTTAGTAATTGTAACCATTTGCTAGTTTGGAGAAGTTAGGTGTAGAACAGTGGTTCTTTGCCAGAAGCACATATGAAACCCACTTATGGAGCTTAACAACACAGTATCCATAAAAGTTAAAAATAAAAAAATACAGATGTCCTGGATAGACTGCATCAGAATATCCAGACCTGTGGTCCTGGCACAGTTATATTTTCTAAAATATCACAGAGGAAGATAGTGATGTGAATTTCTGGGTGAAGCCCAGCATTCTAGAACTTTTCCAGGTGTTCAATGATAAAGCACCAGGTAGCAGTGTAGAACTAGGATGACTATGGTATGGCTTACTGCCACTCTACCTTTTCAATCCCTGACCATGAAAGGTTTGTCACAGCATTTTGAGGAATGTTCCATCACTAGGACAATAACATGGAAAAGAGATGCCCCAGAAAGGGAAGAGAGAGTGAGTAGCTGCTGTGGCTGTCACTGAAGGACTTCCAGTGGATGTGGTGGGTTGTCATTGCCCAGGTCAGCCTGAAGGGGAGGTATATTTTGATAGGATGTGAATGGGGAAAGAGGTCCAGGGTTCACAGAGAGTAGCCCATCAGCAGCTTCTACACAGGTGACCTTGAGGCTGTCGGGGAAATGTAGCTTTTTTATTGCTTTTACCCCACCATTTTTTAGGACAGTTCTAATCTAGATTAGTTTGTATCTTTTAATCTTTTTTTCTTTTATGGTGTTCATTATTATGTCTGAATTCTGAAAAAATGCTGTTTATTATCCCCATTGCCTTAGCTGTGGGAGCCCACTTTTATAGCTGCCCCAACTTCTGGAATCTCCTCTGGCACAGTGCTTGTAGGGACATGTACATGGATCAGGCCACAGGGCATTTTATTTATGTGACTCTGTTCAAACTTTTAAGTAAGAGTGGAGATGAGTGAATGTTCTAGATTTCCAGAATGGGAAAGAAGATTCTGAAAATTAACAACAGCGAGCTGCATGTTCACCCTTGGCAACAATTGGCAAAAATTCTACAAATAATCATTTTAAACATGATTTTTAAGTCCTTAGAAAAGAAACCAACCATTGGGAGTGTTATTGACACATTGTCTTGATGGAACCAAGGCCATATGACAGACTCCGGTAAAGACACCTGGGCCAAATGGTGGCAGTACACTTAGGTGGAGTTACAGCCTATGGATTTCAGGCTTAATGCTAGGAAGGGTGGTCGCTAACATCTTGCTGTGTAGGGCCCTTCCTTTCCAGCATTTCTGATGCAATGCAGAGGAGCACATAGAAGACATGCATTTCCAATGTATGAAAAACCCCATACTAGCCAATGTGTGCTAGGTGATGGGATCAGGGTTTGAAATGATCTTAACTTGGTAGGATATTGGAGCAAAACTAATAATATAAAATTGATATAGATAACAATTACTCAGTTGTTATCAGTAAAGGATAGGAGGTCTGTCTTAACGGATCCAAGCTTATTTGAACCAGTAATTGGATATGACTGATTAAAAAGTTAATATTCCCCTAGGCTGAGTTAACAGAAGTATAACATAATTGCCAGACAAAATGTAACAATAGCCCCATCTGAAGTGTTGTATTCCAAGCCAGATGCCAAGTTTTAAGAGGGACATTAACAAACTGAAGAGAGTTCAGACACAGATAACCAGGTTAGTGAAGGGACTGCAGTTGGAGCAGTGATCAAAATAAATGCTGATCTTGTCTGAAGAAAAGATGACTAAAAAGGGACATGATGGACCCATCTTTGAATATTTGAAGTGCCTTTCTGTGGAGCAGGGATTCGATTTATTCTGTATAGCTCCCAAGGGTCAAATTAGGATAGATTGAAAGATTTTATGCTAATATATGTGAGAATTATCAAAAGTTGCAATTAAACATTATGGTCCCTTTTGCTGCTTGTACTCTTGGCTTTTTGACTCACCCTGTGTAGCCAGTTCCACCTTATGCTGTCACTGATGATGAACTGGGGAAGTTATTCAAACTGATGATATGACAAGGTTGTGTATGTAGTGTGACCTCAACTACGAAAAACAAAAATTATCTGTAGAAAAGAGGCTGGAAAGAAGTACACCAAAGGTTTCAGTATTTGGGCTATCTGAAGAAAGGGATTATGCATGTCTTGTCTTCTTCCTTTCACTTGTCAATATTTTTCAAAAACCCAGAATGAACATGTATTACTTTTACAATTGGAAGAATTCTCAGCAAGTTTTATTTTTGTTTGTATATGATGCCCTAGAGGATGGAGTTAGTGCTGAGTGGGTGAATAAAATGCCTGTCTGACACTGACTACTAACTTATTTCTTCTTCCACTAAGTTTTACATAAACATTTTGAGCAATTGGCCACAACATTTAGTCCAAGTATAAAAGCAAGCAGCTGACAGCAGAAAACATCATATAAAGAATGCCATTTAAATGGTTATACAGGAGTCTAAAAACATAGTCATCATAGTGTTTCTTCAATTAAAGTCCTAAGCAAGAACATTAACTGTGGATTCTGCTGCAAACTGAAAAAAATTTTGTTGCATGTTTGACAAAAAGCTGTCATCTCACTGGCGTTTTGAAGTGGACACCTGTTTGTTTCAGGTATGTAAACACTGCAGTAGGAGTGATGAGTCCAGATGTGTGTGGTCTGATTCTGGAGTCAGCTCTGCTATTTTGTAAGGAGTCAAGGGCAGATTCCCTGCCTCCTGTTGCCCAGAGAAGTAGAGAAACAGTGTCCATGTCCTGAGATTGCCACAGTGGCCTGCTTCTACCTAGCCCTCCTTGCCTGGTCTGCCCCTGCATTCTGGCCCACGCCCCGTCTCCAGCGTGTTCGTCCTTAGAGTGAGGCCGACCAGCTTATTTCTCAGTTCCAAAACTATCATCGGTTCCCTGTTGCCCACAGAGTGAAATCCATTCTCTTGGTATGGCCTAAAAGTCCTTCTGACTCCTCCAACCTTGACTCACATCACTTCTTCCCAAGTGCATTGTTCTCAAACTACGCAGAGCCTTTCCTTCTCCCATCATGCATGTGCCATTCTCACGGAACCTGGATGCCCTTTCTCCACCCCTTTCAGAAGCTGCTAGTCATCCTTCAGAACCTACCTCAAGAGCCACACCCTCTCTGGAGTCTTCCCCAGCTTCTCTTGAAGGAATCATTCCTTCTTTGTGTCCCTGCAGCCTTTTCTTCATGCCTCTGTGTTATTAACACATTGCTATGAAACCTTCCCTGGCCCTTTAGCTAAACTTTTAATATGTCTTTTCTGTGTTTAATTTTTCTCTTGAGTGCTTGTCACTGTGTCCTATGTTATATATTTCACTGATTCATCTTGTTTGTTGTCTCTCTAAGGACAAGGATGCTTGTCTGTCTATTCACTGATGTTCTTTCAGTTCTTGGGAAGGAGTCTGGCACATTGAAGATGCTAAGTCAGTGTGTGTTGAATGAATGGATTCTGTCATATTTATTTGCTGCTATGTCTGTGGTCTTATCAAATGCTGAGTCCATTTGGTCCTTCATGCCTAGCTAGTACAGTGTCCTGGTAGACAGTAATACACAGTAAAAGTGTATTGAGTGAACTTGGGAGGAAATGGGCTCCTAAGTTGTTAGTGCTGCTCAGAGGGCAAAGGCCTAGTCACTGTGGTTTGACCACAGTATGGCTCCTGCTACATTGTGGCATCTTGAATACTAACATTGCTTCTGGATTTGAGAAATCCCATAGCTACCTTTTGGCCTTGAGGGTACTAAGGAATTTGGCTTTGGGTTAATGTTGTGACTATAGTAGGGCCTACTGTAGGTAGGTGATACCCTGTAATCTGGTAGACTACCATGAGTAAGACTGCTTTCAGGATTCCTTCCAGGAGCACTTTGTGTTTAGGTGCTCTAGTGCATGAGAAAGATACCTTAACCCTCGTTCATTCAGGCATTCATGTCTTCATTCCAGAAACATTCACTGAGCACCATGGTGAATTTAATACTGTGCAAGGTGCATAATACTATACCCTGAGGCCTGCATAACCTCATAGGATATAGAGTTGAGTAATTGTGGTATAATATGACAAAGCCTACAGTGGTATGCATAGTGCTGTGAGAAGGAAGAAGACGTACAAGGGAAAAGACGATTATGCCAGTGTAGCAAGTCATAGAATGCTTTATAGAGGAGATGATACTTGAACCAACTCTTGAAGAATGGTAACAATTTTCTGGACAGGAAGGAAAAAGGAGCATATCAGGTAGAGAGTTACCGTGTCTATATGGTACTTTTCTGTATCGCATGTATAACAATATGGAAAAGCACCATTTGTTATGAAGATGGTTGAATGATCGGTTGGAGCTGGAACATTGGGGGTTGATGGAGGAGTGGGGAACAGAAGAGGATGAGGCTGGAAGAAGAGCCAGCAGCCTTAAGAGTCTCATAAGTCACAGTTAAGCAGTATGCAAGTTACACAGACAATGACATATCCAATGTGATTTCAGGAAGAGAACTCCAGCTGCAGTGTGTGTGTGATGGGTTAGGGGCGGGAGAGACTGAAGTCAGGAAGCCCAACTAGGAAGTTATTTTAGTTTCCTAGGTAAGTGATAAGGGCCTTAATACAGTCATAGTGGAGATAGAAAAGAGGGGACAGCCATGAGAGATTTGGAGGGCTTGAGTGGCCATTTGGAAGATGGAGTTGAACAAACTTTCACTTGAAAGATAGGAGCTGCTCCCATTCATCTGAATAGACATATTACAGGAGAAGGAATATGTTGTAGATAAGCCCAATGGGGAAATTAGTCTGAAGGCATGGACTTACAGCTCTACAACTACCACGTGGAAATGGCTCAGAAGCAGTTGGAAACCTGACTCTGAAGCTTCTGAAGTCATTAGCATATTGGTAGCACTAAAGACCACAGACATTCATGAGCTGGGAAGAGTATGTAACATAAAAAGATATGGGCTAAGGAGAGGACCCCGGGGGACATGGACACTTTTCCATGGTGCGGAGAGCGAGAAGAGCCAGTGGAGACAACCAAGTGGCAGCAGCCAAAGCAGTAGAAAATCTTTGGATAAAGGGCTGTGATGGAAGTCAGTAGGAGAGAGAATCTCAAGAAGGAAGGGAGCAGACCATGGTGTGAAATGTTGCAAGTTTCAGTAAGATAAAGAATGAAAAGAGGCCATGGAGTGTGTGGCCAGGAGGAGGCTCACAGGAGCCCCAGCGAGAACAGATTCCATGGAGATGTGAGTCCTTGGGTCTTTCTCGCAGTCCTCTTCCACCTTGGTCTTTCTGTAAAGATTCTGCAGCTTCCAGGCCTCAGCAAGCTGCTCTGCATTTATTCTTCTCCCCGTGGCTTTAAGCTACCCCCTTGGCTTTAGTCACTTCCATGCACATGAAATTGTATAGTAACAAAGCTCCTTAGAGTTTACCCAGCCTTTTTCCATTGACTCTTTCATCTGAGCATGACAACAGCTGACAGATAGGCAAAGCAGACGCTACCCTAGCCATGTTTTTTCCCCTAGTGCTACCTCTCTTTTGAGCCCCAGTTTCTCTTTCCTTACTGCCTGCTGGAGATCCCTTGAGTTTTCACCTGGCATCCCAGACTCATGGTCAAGCTGAAATTGTTCAACTCAATTGTCTCCCTCCCCCGAGTTCCTTCTTTTGGTGTTCTTGTTTCTCTTAATGGTGCCATTTTCTTCTCATCACCCTGGAGTCTCCTCTGTCTACCCATCCCCACTTCTCTGTAGACTTCATCACATTTGCCTCATCCTTTCTAGTCACGTTGCCCTACCCTCATCCTCGGTGTCTGTCTCCTAGGCCCTGGCAGTCTCCTTCAGCTAGGCCTCCCTGACTTCTGCATCTCTCCCTTCTATTCTATCTGCTCCCTAAGACATACCTGCAATCTTCTCATTCCCTTACTCAGAAACTCTCCTTTCCTACCTTATCGCACATTCCCTAGCCAGGTGTTCACGGTCCTCACCACTCTGCTGCCATCTTATCTTCCCAGCATTGCTCTTTCTCCCCTCCCTTGTGTATACACCCCGTGCTTTGGCTCCCATAAGCAACTTGGTCTTCCTAAACAAGCCCTCTGCCTCCTCACCTGTGGACTTCTCGTGCAGCCATTTTGTCCCCCTAGAGCATACATTCATCCCCACCCCATCTCTGCCATTTGCCCCCGACTCCTCTTAAAAATCGTTCCGAAGTATTTGCTATAGAAAGCTTATGAAAAATAACATAAATGTCTGTGGGTCCACCACCCAGCTGAAGGAATTCCATCCTTTCCTCCCTCTTCACAGCAGAGGTAATCACCATCCAAAAGTTGGTATTTCTCACTCGTGGTCATTTCACACATCCCTTTTTAAAATAGAATGGAATATAGGAAATGTGGAGGAAGCTAAAGGAATGGGGGCTTTTAAGGCTTCCAGTGGAGCAGATCCTAACCCTTGGTCAGTATAATTTGGCTCTAGGTTCAGGACTGCTGGCAGGGTGAGAAACATGTTGGATATAGAGTTTTCATTTTCTGAAGACAAGTCAGAAACAGCACATTCTTCCTGGATTAAATTCAAGGACAAATTTGTTGTTTGGCTTTTCTCTAAAAGATAGTGACACAGTGATTCAATTCTTCAGGCAGTGTATTACCCAAAGATTCTTGAATCCTTTTCAATTTGATGGCTCTTTTGTTGATTCTCTATAAAGATGGAGCATACAGTGTTAACTTTTAGTTGGTAAAAGTGCTTCTGTGAAGAACTATATAATGTGGCCTACTTTGTTTTTCTGATGAGTTGCCAGTGCAAAGGTAATATTTGGAGAATCAAGACGAGTAGGCAGTTTACATGTCTGTCAAACTCTGTCTCAAATACCTGGTTATGAAATGGCTTTCAGATGGGTGCTGGGTGTTGTGCCATCTAAGAGCTGGGTGTGGAACAAGTGCAGCAGTACTCGGGTTTCCTCATCTCTATTGGTGGCTGTCATTGGATCTGTAAGCCTTGGATACTACCAGGAAGGGAGGCAGAGTTTACCTTTCAGTGTGAGCATTTCAAAGCCAGACCTATATTCTTTTTCAGAGGGAAGGCCAGTCCACTTAATTACAAGCACAGCCAAAAAGGATTCCTGTAGTATTTTTTCCTTGAAGAAAAAAAAAAAAAAGCATTGGAAACTTTTCAAGACTGTCCTTTTCAGGTCCTTCTCTCTAGTGGATTTGGCACCTCTTTTCATTTTATGGTAGGTGAAATAATGCTAAATAGACTATAATAAAACACCCTAGTCTGTCCATAAATCGGAACATCAGTGGGAGCATAGGATCTATGCTATAGGTATTATTTTAAACTTCCAGTCTTAAATCATCTTCTTATATTGCTGCTGCAAAATGAATGCCTTCTTCACATTAAAAAACAAAACAAAACAAAACAAAACAAAAACCTAATTCCTGCCAGTACCCTTGGTTCCTTTGTCCCTTGTCCCCATGCTAATCCCCAAACTTTAGGGTCTGTAAGCTACTAAGCTCTGATGTTGAAAGTCACATAACAGGTTTAATTAATTAGTTCCACTACAAGTTCAGGCTTTCAGAAAGGGTCTCATCGCTGCTTTGGCAATTCCTTCGGTCTCAGATTGACTTCTCACTACACCTTCCACCACTACAGTGACAAACCTTTCATGCTCTTTGGCTAACCTCATCTCTTGTTCTGTTGAAAAGTCCCCTTGTCACCACCTAAGGAGGTCTACCTTCACCCATTTTTTCCTCCTTCCCTCGCATCTGAGAGGAAGGAATCAGACATCTTATTTTCCAAAGTGAATCCCATTCTTTACACCTTTCTCCTCTGGAGTCTTAGTTCCCCATTGGTTATTCTGTGTCTTACATTTTTGGTTTTCATCATTTTTGATTCTCCTTCCCCCCGCTCTGTGAATCTGCTCAACTTCCTTCCCTTCCTTCCTTCCCTCCCTTCCCTCTCTTCCCTTTCTTCCCTTCCTTCCCTCCCTTCCCTCTCTTCCCTTCCTTCCCTCCCTTCCCTGGGTTCCCTCCCTTCCCTGGGTTCCCTCCCTTCCCTCGGTTCCCTCCCTTCCCTTCCCTCCCCTCCCCCTCCCCTCCCCCTCCCCTCCCCTCCCAAAATGGACAGAGCTGTCCATTTTGAGACAGCTCTGTTGCCCAGGTTGGAGTGCAGTGGCGTGATCTCGGCTCACCGCAACCTCCACCTCTTGGGTTCCTTGGGTTCAAGAGATTCTCCCGCCTCAGCTTCCCGAGTAGCTGGGATTACAGACATGTACCACCACAGCCAGTTAATTTTTGTATTTTTAGTAGAGACATTGTTTCATTATGTTGGCCAGGCTGGTCTCGGACTCCTGACCTCAAGTAATCTGCCCACCTCCGCCTCCCAAAGTGCTGGGATTACAGGCGCGAGCCACTGCACCCAGCCTTGCCCAAGTATCTTTATTTGAAAACACCTTCTTGTATTCCTGCTACCACTGATACTATCATCCTCTTTCTTCCCCTTATTGCACAAACTTCTTTAAAAATTAGTCCACACATGCTGCTTCCACTTCCGTACTATTGACTCCTTACTTCTTGTGGTCTGGCTTCTGTTCCCTATTGAAACTACTTTACTGCTCAATTCCAGTGGCCTTGGTTGAGTTCTTGACTTTTAAATTTCTATGCAGGGATTGATTCTGTTGACTGCTCCTTCCTTTATCCTTTTCCCTATACATTCCTGGCTCTCCTCTCATTTCTGCCTCTTGCCTTCTATGCGGCTCATTTTTTCTTTCCTACCTCCTAAATATTATTTTCCCCAGAGTTCTGTCCTCACCCTCTTTTTTCTCCATTGTCAGTTGCTTTCCAATTCTCTAGCTCCAGTTCCAATCTTTCATTCTGTATTCATTGAGTATCTGAGAGTCCAGTATGTGTTAAGCACTATGCCAGGTGCTAGGATATGATGGTGAGCACCGCAAACAGTTTCTCCCTCACGAAGCTTATAGTTCTCATGGGATTGATAAACATTCTTCTGATAGTCACGCCAATATATAATAACAAGCTGTGATCAGTGTTGCGTGGGAGTAGTACAGGGGCACAACAGTTTGAGGAGCCTGGGAAATTGTCCTGAGAAAATGCTTGACCTGGGGTCTGAAGAATACATATAAGTTCCCTAGATGTGAGTCAGGGGCTGGGGAGGTGAGAAGAAGCTGAGAGAACAGCATATGAGAGGACCTGAGACCAAAGGAAGCATGAAAAATGACAGTATGGCTGAGTTGGGGGAGAATGGCAAGAGATGAGGTGAGAGAGGTAGATGGTGGCCAGATGTCCTCGGCCTTGCCCACCCTGTTCAGGATTTGGGGTTTTTATTTTTTCATTTATTCATTGGATTGATTGATTTGAGACAGGGTCTCGCTGTTGCCCAGGCTGGAGTGCAGTGGTGCAATCATAGCTCACTGCAGCCATGACCTCCTGAGCTCAAGCAGTCCTCCCACCTCAACTTCCTGAGTAGCTAGGACTATAGCTGCACACTACCATGGCCAGCTAATTTTTGTATTTTTTGTAGAGATAGGGTCTTGCTGTGTTGCCCAGGCTGGTCTCAAACTCCTTGGCTCAAGCGATCCGCCTGCCTCCGCCTCCCAAAGTGCTGGGATTGCAGGCATAAGCCACCATGCCCAGCCCTTTAATTTATTTTTTAATTGACAAAAATTGTATATATCGTGTGCAACGTGTTTTGAAATACATACACATTGTAGAATGAGTCAATCAAGCTACTTAACATAAGCATGGCCTCACATACATATTTTGTGTGGTCAGAACATTTAGAATTTACTCTCAGCAATTTTCTAGTACACAATAGTTGTTAGTTGTAGTCACTTTGTTGTACAGTAGATCTCTGGAACTTACTCCTCCTATTAACTGAAATTTTGTCTCCTTTGACCAACATCTCCCCATTGCCTTCCCCAGGATGATGATGATGATGATGATGATGATTATTATTATTATTTTTGAGATGAAGTCTCGCTCTTGTCCCCCGGCTAGAGGGCAATGGTGTGATCTCGGCTCACTGCAACCTCCGCCTCCCGTGTTCAAGCAATTCTCTTGCCTCAGCCTCCCGAGTAGCTGGGATTACAGGCACCTGCCACCACGCCCAGCTGATTTTTGTATTTTTAGTAGAGACGGGGTTTCACCATGTTGGCCAGGCTGGTCTTGAACTGACCTCAGGTGATCCACCAACCTCGGCCTCCCAAAGTGCTGGTATTACAGGCGTGAGCCACCATGCCTGGTCAGGATTTGGGTTTTTAGAGTTCAGCAATGAGAAGCTTTTGAAGCTTTTCACACCACTTTCAAAGTGGTGTGAGCCAAGGAATGATAACATCAGATGTGCTCTTCTAAAAGATCACCCTGGCTACTCTAGGGGGAATGATCGTAGATTTTGAGACCACTGCAACCACGGCAGTGGCCCAGAGAAGTTGCTGGTAGAATTGGAGTGGTTAGCAGAGTTGAGACTGATTTAAGAGGTAGACATAGGAGACTGGCTTAAGGATAGCAGAGAAGGGGATGCCAGGGGTGACTTCTAGGTTTCTAGCTTTCGTAACCAGCCACTGAGATAGGGAACTTTGGAGAATAATGTAGTTTGGAGAGAGAACTGCATTTAGTTCTGGACATTTTTAGTTCGAGGTACCCTTGAGATCTTGTCAGTTCTGTATATCCAGCCATCTCCTGGGTATCTGTACTTGGTTCATTTATCATAATCTCAAACCAAGAGTTTCTAAAATCGGCCGTGTTCATCTTTCTCTAAAACCCCCTCCTGTGTTCTTCACATCTTTTGGTGGTACCACCACTATTTATCCCAGAGATCTGGGCCCAAAGCTGATTCATCTTTGAGTCTTCCCCAGTGGCTAGTCTCTTTTGCTTTCTACCTCGGTCCTTCTCTACTTCTAGATCCTCATAGCCTCTCACTTGTACTGAAGTATCAGCTTTCATGGTTTTGAGGAGTGGTTGTAGCCCACTTCTTGCTAGTCCAGAATGCTCAGTGCTGCCAGATGAATCTTCATAAAGCACCAGTTAATCATGGCATTCCTGTTCTCCAGAAGCATCCTTTAGATCTCAGTCTCCCTGATCCTAGCCGTGTAGTACTCCCCAGGAAATTCCCATCACCGTTGCTGAAACCTGGCCTATATTTTTTTAAAATAAACTCTCCATGCTTTTCCCACATGTGCAGCTGATGTGACTCTTACTTGCTTCTCAAATGCCAATCTCCAGTTGCTCTTGATCCATCCTTTAAGGATCATTTTTAATGCAGTCATTGCCACAGAACCTTCATGCTATCTAATCATCAGATATGGTTTGCCCTCCTTTGACCTCCCCTTTCACTTTGTGTGGACTTTGCCTATGGCTCTTGGCACTAGCAACCTGGCATTGTAGTTACTTGAGTCCATGTGTCTTATCTCCCAGATAGAGCTAGGCCCTGAACTCCATGTGGGCAACTCTGCTTCTTAACTTCATGAACCCTAGGGCCCAGTAGAGTTTCTGTTACTTAGTGTATGAGACAGACAGACAGACAGAGACAGAGAGAGAGAGAGAGAAAGAAAGAATGCATTATTTTAGGTTATTTAACTCCCCTATTTTCATGTCAATTACTTTAGGTAGTTAGAAGTACAAGGCATAGACTTTTGAGTTAGAATGGGCCTTTGAAAATCCTTAAATATTTAATGATATTTAGATACTGATGACTCAGGTATCCAGAAAGTTCAGCTAATTTGCCTATTCCTGGATCTTGCAGTTTGGCCTGCTGGGTTATCTGATCTTGAATGTGTCATTCAGGGAGAATGTAGCAAGTAACCTTATTAGACGGTGGGTGCCTTTGGTCAGAAGCTGGCTGGTTCTCCTCAGCGACCTGTTTTCTTTTTTTCTGTGTAGGGCCAGGGCTCTTTGAGCTATACAGTTTCCTCTGTACAGAGACAAAGAGTAGCAAGGTGTTAGCTCACTTTTAATTCTTCCACTTTTTTCAAACATCCTTGCTTCCATGTTGATGCTAGAGTATCAGACTTATTTAGTGTCTATTCTGTGTATTTTATGTATAAATTTGACATTTAAGAATACAGTTCACAGACACTCAAATGTCAATATGGTATATCTAAGCATAATAACAGACTGATACTGTGTTTTAAATAACTGCACTGTATCGATAAGTAAATACATGAAAATATGCTGCTTATATACGTACACTGTTACTGAGTAGTATTTTTCTCTTTGGGCATTTAGGTTTCAGTCATGTCATGAGGTGTCTTACCCCGTGACATTCCTCCTTATAGGTACAAACAGTAAGATCTGTTAGATGCTTGCTAGAGCATACTGATCCACTATATTTGAAGAGCACAATTACATCTTCCAAATACTAAGATATTCTTTGCCATAATAATAATAACTTCCATTGTTTTCTAGCTACTGGCATCAGGCACGACGCCAGGTACTTTAAACTCATTTTCTGTAATCATCTCTACTTTCAGATAAATGTGACTGAGTGATAGTAACTCACCACTGTTATCAGCTAGTAAATGTCAGGATTCAGATTGAGCCAGTTTTGTCCGCCTTAAGAGCTTGTACTATTTTCTCTACATTATGATAATTATACTCGTACACTTTTTTGCTTTTTTATTTTGAAATAATTATGAGCTCATAGAACTTGCAAAAATAGAAGAGGTCCTTTGTACCTATTACTGAGTTCCCCACAATAACTATATCCCTTTATCAAAACCAGGAAGTGGATTGGCACAACTAGACTGACCATACTTGAATTTTAGCAGTATTTTTCCCGCACTCACTTTTTGTGTGCTTTTGTGCACAGTTCTGTAGCATTTGATCCCAGGTAACCACCATCAATAATCAAGACATGGAACTGTTCTGTCACCACAAAAGAACTCGCTCGTGCTGCCCGTTTAGAGTCGCGCTATCCCTCCCCTCAACCTCTGCAACCACTTCTCTGGGTTCCCTCTCTACAATTTTGTCATTTCAAGCACATTATATAAAAGGAATCATATAATACCTTACCTTTTAAGATTGGCATTTCTCAGCCAAGTGTGGTGGCCCACGCCTGTAATCCCAGCACTCTGGGAGGCTGAGGCAGGTGGATGGCTTGAGCCTCAGAAGTTCGAGACCAGCCTGGGCCACATGGTGAAACCCCATCTCTACAAAAGTACAAAAATTAGCCAGGTGCGATGGCATGTACCTGTAGTCCCAGCTACTTGGGAGGCTGAGGTGAGAGGGCTACCTGAGCCCAGGGAGGTTGAGGCTGTGTTGAGATCACACCACTGCACTTCAGCCTGGGTGATGGAGTGAGGTCCTGTCTCAAAAAAAAAAAAAAAGATTGGCGATTTTCATTCCACGTGATGCCCTTAAGATTCTTCCAGGTTCCATGTATCCATAGTTCATTCATTTTTCTTGCTGAGTGGTATTCCATGGTATGGATGCTCGCAGCCTTACACTTTTTGAATTTCTAGATAACCCATGAGCTGCATTTATATTTTATGAATAACTGCTTATTTTCTGTATTGTATTTTAATATAAAAGGCCAGGAGCAGTGGCTCACACATGTAATCCCAATACTTTGAGAGGCCAAGGCAGGAGGATTGCTTGAGCCCAGGAGTTTGAGACCAGCCTGGACAACATAGTGAGACCCCCCCACCATCTCTACAAAAAATACAAAATAATTAGTTGGGCGTGGTGGCATGCATCTGTGGTCTCAGCTACTCCCAGCTACTCAGGAGGCTGATGTGGGAGGATCACTCGAGCCCAGGAGTTTGCGACCAGCCTGGACAACATAGTAAGACTCTGTCTCTACAAAAAACTTTTAAAAAATTTGGCTGGGCATGGTGGCTCATGCTTATAATCCTAGAACTTTGGGAGGCCGAGGCAGGTGTATTACCTGAGGTCAGGGGTTTGAGACCAGCCTGGCCAACATGGCAAAACCCCGTCTCTACTAAAAATACAAAAATTAGCCAGGCATGGTGGCACATGCCTGTAATCCCAGCTACTTGGGAGGCTGAGGCAGGAGAATTGCTTGAACCCAGGAGGTGGAGGTTGCAGTGAGCTGAGATCGTGCCACTGCACTCCAGCCTGGGTGACAGAGTGAGACTCATCTAAAAAAAAAAAAAAATTAAGTGTGGCTGGTGGTGTGTGCCTGTGGTCTCAGCTACTTGGAAGGCTGAGGTGGGAGGATCCCTTGAGCCTGGGACGTCAAGGCTGCAGTGAGCCACTGTACTCCAGCCTGAGCAACAGAGCAAGAACTTATCTCTTAAAAAAAAAAAAAAAGGGGGGAAAGAAAAGAAAAACTTTGTAGCCCCAAAAGGTTTTTAAAGAACAAAAAACCAAATAACCCTTAAAAATTTTTTTTCTTTATTTTTCAAACTTATCTATCACAATATGAAAGAAAAGTTTGGATTAAAAATGGTGTAGCCCTTCATGTCTTTGTCCCTGTAAATAGATATTTCATGTTATTGTAGTCACCGTGTGTGTTGTATGCTGCTGTTTCCCACTTAAACTTACTTTTCCATGTACCATAATTATTTTAAAAACTGTATACTTGTTCCAGCGAGTTGAGTATAATTTTTTCTACCCTGTTATCTACCTCTAGCTCCATTGAACATCTTCCTTCTGTTAAGTGATAGCCATAAGTTCTTAGTAGCGAAATTATTGGATCAAAGAGTAGGACAATTTTTATGGCACTTTTAATGTGTGTTTTCAGGCATTGCCTCGAGTCTCAACCCTGCCCTATACTTACTAAACAAGTTATTGAAGCTTTGAAAAACTTAGGAAATGGGGATACTTCACCTATATCCTGGAACGGTTGTGAGGATAAAATGAGATGATGCGTGCAAAGCCCCTAATGTAGTACCTGGCACAGAAGAGAGGTATTTCCTACATGGCAGCTGCTGTGATGATCTCCTGGTGATGATTGTGCTATTACTTGACTAACATGATTCCATCATGCCAGCAGTCTTCTAGACCACTTGCACCCAGCGTTGGATAGCAAATGATGGAGAAGCCTTGCTGTGCATTAAGGCCCTTCTGCTTTGGGAAATGCACGCATGCCAGAGACAAGCACCATTTCCAGATGCTTGGTCTCTAGTGGGGGAATACATATGTGTAAATTCGTGGTAACAAGGCAGAGTGAAGCAAGTGGTTAACAGCAGTCGGAATCAAGTGCTATGGAACTTCTGAGGAAAAAGTGATGAATTCTGCCTGATCTAATTGGGAAGCAAGGCCTCATTAGAGGTGATGCTTGCTGAGCCAAGGCGAAAGTCATGGGGACAATTTTGGTAGCTGGGAAAGACAGATCATTCTAGGCAAAGGGAACACCCTGAGCAAAGCAGGTGGCTTGATCGTAGATGAAGCATCTGAAGAATGAAGAAGTTTACTTAGTTGGAGTGCAGAATATCGTGGGAGAGAATCCCACAGAAACAGGCTGGAAGTGATATCACGGACGTCCTGGAAATGTGTACCTAGGAGTTTAGTCTTTACTCCAGAGGCAGTGCACAATGGCAAATGTTTGGGGATGCATTTTGATTGCATAATTGACTGTTTTAATGCTTGCTCTGTCATGTGTGATCTGTATCATATTTTTGTTCATAAAGTGCTAAAAGGGCCAAGGTAAAATCACTCTGAAAGCATATGGTTGTTTTTATATGTTTTTTGATGTTTTAATTATACTGACAGAAATACTGACTACTGTATTTTTGTCCATTACAGGATTCTTCTCTAATACTTGATGTTCCTCTGGGTGTGATCTCGAGAATTGAAAAAATGGGAGGCGCGACAAGTAGAGGAGAAAATTCCTATGGTCTAGATATTACTTGTAAAGTAAGAGATTCGATACTTTCTTATGCAAAGAACAAGGCACGTTAGTGTTGAATGATAGTAGACAATTAATGTGGATTTGAAAAAAAAAAATCAAAATCTCATGTTCATCTAAGGCCCTGGAAATGGTTCTTCCCTTAAGAACAAGCTTTTCAAAAGTGCCTGGGAAATAGTGCCCACGTGAGGGACCCACTGCAATCACCAAATACAAGGACTCGAGGAACTGGTCAGTTTGTTAGCTTGACTGAGTGGGAAGAGAACTTTATAGATAAAATTTCTTAAACCACTTTAGTTTTTGCTCCAGCTTGCTCCTGGCGCCCCTTCATGTCATATGTTAACATGAAGGAAGGAGGAATAGAAGAGATTTTGCCCTCTGTTAACGGGATGTGTCCTTACCTCTAATAACCTTCGTAACTTTTGCTTAGGTCATTTTCAGAGGTACACTTTGCTGTGATAGTAACCATGTATTGAACATTTGTGTCCATCCAAACACATGCTAGGTGCTTTGCATTTGATCCTCAAGTGCAACCCTCTGAGATGGCGTGATGGGAGCCCGAGGCTCCAAAGAGTTGGGTAACTTTGCTAAGATAATTTCTGAAGGCTGGGACCCAAAAGGTGGGGATGTGTTCAAGCGTCTCGTGTGACTATGAACCACCAGTCCAGTGCAGGGCTTTGCAGACTTTTTCTGTGAAGGGCTCAGTAGCAAATATTTTAGGCTTTGTGGGCCACATCAGATTTCTGTTGTGTATTCTTCTCTGTGTGTTGTTTTTTCAACCCTTTTGAAGTGTTAAAAAAAAAAAAAAACAGTCTTAATTTGAAGACCTGGGCTGAAGTTTGCTGGCCCCTGGCCAATCCAAGTCGTTCATTGTATTGATAGAGAAGTGAGGCCTTTGCTGTGTGAGATTACTTGCCTTGTGTTGCCTAGGGAGCCAGCGGAAGAGCCAGAACCAAAAACTAAGTCTCCTTTTTCTAGTCTCATACACTGCGATTTCTCAAAACCAACATTGTGTGCTTATATTTGGATTATGCTGCAATATGGTGTTTTTCTTTCCGTTTATAAAAGATCAAGACTCGTTTTTTCTATCAGAAACTAAAGGATAATGCCATTATTAAATCTTAACTGAAATTCACCACTACCATCCACCTCAGCTTTTTTTTGGTGGTGTTTTAATTCGAGCTACCTTAATGCTTTATCTATTATCCCAGCTACTGTCTACCCTTTGGGGCCTAGAAACATGGGAATTTACTTTGAAGGAAGACTTTTGTATTTTGCATAAAAGGATTTATGGGAGTAGAGTGTTTAATATTAGAGTGCTCAAGGGAAAATGGGGTTGCTATATTGACAGTTTTGAGGTGACTTTCATTCTTACAGGGTTTAAAAAAACCTATTTTCTGCCTTATAATAGGAAAAACTTGTACTTAAATATCAATCCCCCCAAAATTAATGAGACAAAGCACATTTTCACCCTTGACTATTTACGAACAAAAGGCGTAGGAACAACTCACCAAGCATAATTCTGAAATGTTACATATGTATATTTTTTGGAGTTAGCATGAGCCCAAAGGTGATGGCTTAGAACAATGTTGTAGCACAACCTTTTAACTAAATTGTCTCCCCAGAAACACTGACGTCACAGAGTCATATTCCATTTTCTCAGTAACAAACCTGACATTGATATAAAGGAAATCTGCTTCGGTGAGATAAAAGACTCACTGTCCTGTCTCTCATAGGTCAACTTTCGCCTGCAGTCAATAACCATGATACAACCGCATTTCTCTCTTGAAACAAGTAGTTACAACTCCTATAAATTTGGCTATGCCAGCAATGCACATAGAGATTTCTGCTTGCCAGTAGCAACTTTCCCATGGTAGATACAAGTCCCAGAGGATGTTGTCCAGCAGCAGGAGAAAGGTAGTTCTGAATATGCAAATTCTTACCCTGCAGGCCCCATACCAACCCCTGGTGCCTGTGTGGAGTCTTTCAAACAAAAAAAAGTGAAGTAAAACCATACCACCACAAAGCCTTCTCTTTCCTTCCCCACCTCACTCCCATGTACTCGCCTTAAAGACATAGTGTGGCATTTTGAAGTCAGCAGTCATGTGTGTTGTTTCTTTAGAAATGATGCCTCAATAAATCAACTCTTCAGAGTCGTTGCAGCAGGGATATGTATTCTTCAACTCTTACTGTAGTGAGGCTTGGAACATCACCATATGACCCGGCTGTTAAAAAGGCTGAGGGTCTGACTAGGAGACTCTTAGCCCATGTGGATCTTTCCCTGATGAGTCAAACTCTGAGGAGACCAGGTGGAACTTACCAGTTAGTCTGTGCTCCTATTTCTGTTACAGATTTGGTGATCTGCCGCCTGTGAGTCATTTGCCTTTTCTACTTCAGTTTTGTTGGCAAGAAATAATATTCTGTCTTTAATTGCATCTTAATCAGATGGCAAAAAGAAGTTACTTGAATCACTTGTGCTTTGGCACATTAAAAGTAGCTGTTTGAATCACTGATAGATCAGAATAAATATTCATGTAGAGATGGTCTAATTTCTGGCCAAGCAGTGAAGAGAACGATGTTACAGAGTTACCATCTGACTTGCGGCTGTTAGGAAGAAAGTTCCTCACAGGGCCTGAGCCCTGAGAATGCTCAGCTCTCCAGTATTGCACTTGTGGCTGGTCGTAAACCCTTGTAATGCATATCATCCCATTGAAATGATTATTCCCCTTATTTAACTGTTCATTTCATCACAAACCAATAACCAATAGCCCAATTTTCTTGGGAGGTGATATGAATGGGTTGTTGGACTTTATTCTGTGACATGCTTTTTAAAAAAGCATGGAATCGTGGAGCTGGCAAGGCCTAGTAGATGTCATCTGTATACAGAGTGCTCAATCTCAAGTTCTTTATTAGTGGTCTCAGACTTTAGTTCTTCATACTTCATTTGCTGCTATTTGTGTTTGAGATGTCTTGTGAAGGCCATAGCCTGTGCTGGTCCTTCAGACTGAAGACTTGGGAAGCGTTAAGAGTGCTCTTGAGATAAGGAAGGAAAAAGCACCTTGAAAAAAAATGAAGACTGTGATATCCAAGAGGGCAACAACTAGGTCTGTACCGCTCCTGAAGTGGCTCCATGGTCCAGCACAGCACTCCTTTATCTGAAATGAAAGTTTAAAGTGCACTGCAGAGCATAGGGTTCCAATGCAGAGCCATCACTCAGTCACAGCACTGTAATTGACTTTTTTTTTTAAGATACAACCTTAAAAAACTCCAGTCTTGAAAATAAGATAGAATGTTACATCTGTATATATAATACAAATTGACATTTAAAGGAGCTTATTTGGTTTGGATTTGGTTTAAGACAAAGTTTTCCTGCTTATTGAACAGATATGTATTGGAAGCTACCTTTAAAATCTGGTTTTGACTGTTTATTTTTAGTTCCCAAAAGTGTAGTTACTACTAATATGGGCTACTTTAATGTGGCTTATATGGAACTCTGTGAAGGTAAAATTGTAGAATAAAAATATATGACTTGCATGAGGGCTTAAAATGTCAGTCATTTAGGAAGAGAGCTTCTGTATTTTAATGACATGTTTGACAATGTTGAGATTATATTTGATAGCAGGTACTCTTTAGAAAAGTTGTTTGAATAAAATAGTTTTATAATTAAAAAAAATATCAGGGCCGGATGTGGTGGCTTGACACCTGTAATCCTGGCACTTTGGGAGGCCGAGGCAGGCAGATCACCTGAGGTCAGGAGTTCGAGACCAGCCTGGCCAACATGGAGAAACCCCATCTCTACTAAAAATACAAAAAATTAGCTGGGCGTGGTGGTGCGTTCTGTAGTCCCAGCCACTCAGGAGGCTGAGGCACGAGAATCCCTTGAACCCAGGAGGTGGAGGTTGCAGTGAGCCGAGATCATGCCACTACACTCCAGCCTGGGCCACAGAGTGAGACTATGTCTCAAAAACTAAATTAAATAAAATAAATTTTAAAAAATTTAAAAATACCTCAGAACCCAGTGAAAGTAGATGGATCATCGTAGATGTTGTGCAAGGCAAGGTTTGATTTTTTTTTCCTTTTTATAAAATGAATTTTAGCTCTGTCTTCTCCTTAGTGCTAGTTGCTTTATCTTGTCTTCACATTCATGGCTATGACGGAAATATTTTCAGGTGTTCTTAAGCCAGATATACCAAATTACCATATAAAACAAAGCAATTTTGTAATAATTTAGATTAATTGCCCTTTTAGGTAAGTGAATCTTCTCCCTTAATTGAATGGAAGATTTCTTGCTAATTAACATGACTTTCTTTGAAGACTGAACTGTCATACTTCTCCTTTGCCCCCAGGACATGAGAAACCTGAGGTTCGCTTTGAAACAGGAAGGCCACAGCAGAAGAGATATGTTTGAGATCCTCACGAGATACGCGTTTCCCCTGGCTCACAGTCTGGTAAATTCCAGTGCTCTCCTCAGCGTGGGAAGGTTCTCAGTGCCTCCTCTGTGAAAACTGCCTGCAAACTGGGATCCTCTTTCTTTTAATGTCTGTGTTGTGTTTCCCAGTGTGATGTGTCTGCAGAGGTGTTTATTAAATAATTTCATCATTTCCAGAGGGAACAGGTCTCTCCCCTGTCAGTCAACTTTGGAGCTAATGAGCAATGAGTGTCAGGCTTTTGTGGCTCCAATTGTAAATGGGAACAAACTCTCTGAGCCTAAATGCCATTTGAACAAATACAGATGTGTGGTGTAGGTACTGCACCAATAGCTGAATAGGGGCAGTTTTATTTTTGAAAAGAATAACCTTTCAAATGTCATTTGATAGCATTTATTATGTAATTGTCAGGACCAATTTATTATGCATTTAATTAGTTGTAATCTATGACTTAGTCCAAAGGTGATTCAGTATATGTACCTAAAACTTTTCCTTCCTCTTCACCAAACTACTGGAGTAACCTTACTCTTACTGCATGACTGAAATAAGGCTTTCTATGAGTTTTGCTTGTAGAACAATCTTTCTTTATATCCTGCCTCGGCCTTGCCTCCTTTTTTACTGCCGTGCCTTGCTTGAATCTTCTAACCCCAGTCCTCCTCCTCAGTTTGACTTGAACTTAGATGCAAATACCTGCTAAGGGGAGAGTGAAAAAATAATTATTTACAACATATACTGTATAAATGCCTTTATCTTAAGTATAGGATGATCATATTGCAGACTAAACCGAAGGTGATGGAAGGGACCCTTAAGTAGAAGAGGCATGTGTTGAACGCAGATGAAAATGTAATGCTTGGGAACAAATGTGCTGATCTCATAATTGAATCTATTTTCAGCCTTTTCTAAGTTTCTGATTAAATATGTGATTTTTAAAAATATGTCTATATTAGAGTTTTTAATTCTATTAGGATAAAAAGAGAGTCTGATGGGAACACATCTTCTTAATTATTATGAAAGTGAGAATGTGAGTCTAATTGATGAAAGTTCAATTAGGAAATGTGTTCTGTCTTGATTTATGCATATCTGGCCCTAAATTATCAGAAATTGACAGAATGGCAGGTTTGAAGGAGCTGAAGCCCCAGTCTGTCTCCTGCAAGATCTTGCTTCATCAGACATCCCCTTTCTCTGGTATCTTCTGTTTCTTCTAGGGTATACTCCCCTAAAAAAGTCAAGTGCTGGACCAGCTTTCCCCTTATACTACTGTCCCATCTTTCACTTCATTGCCAAACTTCTGGAAAGAATATTCTAGCCTATCCTCGTCTCCAGTGCATTCATTCCTCCAACCCATTCCAGTATGGAGCTCATTACTGGCCAAATCTAGTGGCTCATTTCCATCTCATTCTGTTTGATCTCTTCCCCAGCATTCAACAATTTTGACCATCGTCTTCTTGAAAGTCTTGGTTTCTGTATTCCTGCACCATCTTGATTGTTCCTTTCCAGTCTCCACTACCTCTGTCTTTTCCTTAAATGTAAATATGTCTTCACTCTCATCCCTCTTCTCTTCTCATCTTATTAACTTTGCCTTGATGGTTTCGTTTAGTTTAAAGTCGTCACTGCTATGTAGATGACTTCTAAATCTAACCCTGATATTGTCCTTGAGTGAGTCCAATGAGTCTAACCCTCAAATTCCTTCCTCTGGGAGTCTGAGAATCATGAGCTCATCTGGCGCAGTGGCTCACGCCTGTAATCCCAGCACTTTGGGAGGCCGAGGAGGATGGATCACTTGAGGTCAGGAGTTCGAGACCATCCTGGCCAACATGGTGAAACCCTGTCCTACTAAAAATATAAAAATATTAGCTGGGTGTAGTGCTGGGCACCTGTAATCCCAGCTACTCAGGAGTCTGAGGCAGGACAATCGCTTGAACCCGGGAGGCAGAGGTTGCAGTGAGCTGAGATCGTGCCATTGTACTCCAGCCTGGGTGACAAAAGCAAAGCTCCATCTCAAAAAAAAAAAAAAAAAAAAAAAGTAGAATCACAAACTTCTTGTTGCCCTGACCTCTTTGCAGTTCATGAAACCTACCTTTCATCCTATATGTCCTGCAAGTTTGAGGATCCCCAGTTGTTTAGGTTTGATAACTTGAAGTCAGCTTTTCAGTTCCCCCCCTGCTATTCCTCCCATAGGCACATCAATTCTGAATCCTGTAAGTTCTACTTAGTAGCAACACCCAGCTATTTCCTCTCTTTTCTACTTATGCTTCCTACCTTAATCCATGCTTCCAAACTGGCTTCCTTTCTTTCAGTTTCTTCCCCTTCCAGCTAATCCTACACAATGCTGCCAGTTGTTGTTTGTTTTGTTTTTAAATATGATCATGTTACTGTATCATCCTCTACCCCCCAAAAAACAAACCCCCAGTTACTTTTCATAGCTTGTGCCCTACACTGCAGCTGCACAGGGCTGCCCTATGCTCTTCTAGCACACACAGTACTTTCTTGGTTCAGATTTTGCTGTCCCCTTTACCTGCAGTCCCCTCGTCTCTTGCTTACCCATCTTCCACACACTTAGCCTTCAACATCTTAATCTGTCCTGTGTCCTTTTCCAGGCCATATGTGTGTGCCCCCAGTGAGAGTTCATCTTACCGCTCAATTGTTAGTCTTTGCAAGTTCCTCTATCAGAGCACTTATCTCAGTGTGCCTTATGGAATAATTTTGTCATAACTACCTCCTACCTCCCCCTACCACTGCCTGATAAATTATGAGCTTATCAAGGCAGGGATCAGCCTTTATTTCTCTCTCTACTGTCAGCACAGTGACATCTGCATGGGAGTTTTGTAATGATGGCTTTCTTCTTGAACTCGGGTTAGTAGAAAGGAAGGAAAAATCACTATATGGAAACAAATGAGATGGATGTTTCTGAGTATTACAAATCTAACACCAAAACCTAGAAATCTCTGTTGCTGTTATTGGAGTCATCCACAGAGGGCTTGATTTCTCAAGTCTGTGGTACTTGGCCATATTTTTCATACCTGTGCTGAGAATCCCTGCTTCTTGTTTTAGGAAGTCAATAAAGTAAGAAACTGCCAAAAAAAAAAAAAAAAAAGTCAACTGAATTGCTCATATGAAGTTTTGGAAGGTGACATTATCTTAGGTTTTAATCACTGAAAGTCATCCTTAAAAAAAGTTTGCCAGTCACCAATACAATGCAAGATACAGATTGAAACAGATCAGCCCTTGACCCTGCTTTTGGAATAGCAGTCCCTGATATTCAAGTCCACATGTGCAACTGTTTCATCAGTCAAGTTCATTTCATGTCTTGTGTTGGGTGGTGTCAGGATGCAGTGGGGGCAGTCAAGGATTTAGTAGTGTGTAGGATGAGTGATACCTAGTCCCATTGAGGGATGTGACAGTCAAACAGTAGTGATGTGACAAATATGTTTAGCCCCAACATAAGATAGTATACATTCATTTGTGCAAGAGAAACGCAAAGGAAATCCACGGGGGACTCACAGGAAGAAGAGACCACATCTAACCAAAATTGGAAAGGCCTACATGGAATTGATAGTTGTTAGTATAGGGCCTTGAAGAATGGATTTAATTTCCAGTGAAGGACTTCTGAGGTCTGGGGCTTGAGTGATGAGGGTGGGGCACTGTCCACAGAGTAGGGAAGTCAGAAAAAGATTTTATTTGCAGAAACAGGTGGAAGAAAGGGGAAGGGGGAGGAACAATGAGTTCTGTTTTGGACACATAGCATTTCATGTATTTTGACAGAATTGACAGCAAGCCACTGAAGGCCTGCCCCTCAGTAAAGAGTCTAGAGATATAGATTTGGAATAGTGGTTCTTAAGTCATTTGAAGTTATGGGCTCCTTTGAGAATACGATGTAAATTATAGTTTCTTTTCCCCTCAAACATGCAGTCATGTACAAAACCTTACCTAAAATTTTAGAGGACTTCTGGCCCCTCTGAAGCCCCTTTGTAGGGCCCTGGTAAAGTAATCCTGGTATGTAATAGAGAAGTCCTGAACCAGAATCTTGGGAGAGGCCATCTTTTAGGGAGTGAAGATAGGAAAGGAGCCAGAAAACGGAATGGTTACAGAGGCGAGGGAAGAGCCTGGAAAGGATTAACAGGATGTCATGGGTGTCAGTGCTGGGAGAGCTGGGGAGATGGATCACAAGCTCCCTAGGGACCTGACCCTAACTGACCTGCTTAAAGTCGGGACCTCCTTTTATTATCTTTGCAACTCTAGTGCCTAGTCCAGTGCCTGGCATACGTTTTTGTTTTTTGGGGTTTTTTTTCTTTTTGAGCCTTTATAAATCTCAGAAAATGATCTCGGGGTGACGGGGACAAACACCAGTTTGCAGGTGTTTAAAGGAAGCATAGTTGGTTTAAAAAAGAGTGGCAGGCATGTTGAGGGAAGAAAGTTTTTACCTTAGAATTTGAAAAAGGAAAATGAATATATTTGTGGAAAGAAATCTTGCCTCTTTTCAAGGCAAGAGAGAGAAGGGATCTTTTCTTGAGCAGGATCCTGAAGAAGGCAGAGGGGGATGGGATCCAGCCCAGTTTGTGGGGCAGTTTGGGAAAGGAGAAGGGACCATTATTTCTGTGAGACAGGAGGGGAAGAAAAGTTTCCAAACTGTCACAGTGGGGAATGTGGGAGTGTGCCAAAAAGGGCTTTCCTAGGAGGTAACATAAGCCTGATTGCCTTGAACAATACAAAGGGCCCCTGCTTGAAAAAGATCACTTTGTTAATATTATTGGAACTGTTCAGCCAGCTGCAGATTATCTTAGTGATTTTTATTGGCATTTGAAGTCAGAAGTGAACTTGCTGTTGCATCTATGAAATGGTGTCTGGAGGCCAAGCAAGCTGGGTCCTGACTCCGGCCAGGTCATGAATACACCATGAGTGGGCTTTTTCATTTCAGACCACCCCTTTGGCTCTCTCTGGCCTCCTGTCCCATTAGTATTTTCACCACTCAGTGTTTTCAAGTCACGACTTAACACTTTGAATTGAACTTGAGCTGTTCAGCAACAGAGTTCACCCCAAACCATTAACTTCATTGTTTCTGTGTTATGTCAATCTGGTAAGATGCGCACTTTTTTTAGTAACATTTCTATTTTGGCCAAAAATAGAAATTTATTCATTTATTTTCTTTTTAAAAATCTATTTGCTTTGCTTTTCAAACACTAGAAATTGTACTGAATTCTCATAAATTGCATGAAGCTCAATACTAGTTCTAGGTAAATGATATATTTTAATAAATGTCAGTGTTTCTGATAGTATGGCGATTTTTTTAAGGCAGAAATTAAAATCATGTATAACTGAACAGAGCCTGATAGTGCTACAGAAAGATAAAGAGTTTGATTGTTGGGGTGATAAGTTCAATGGCAAAGTTGTTCTTTTGTTGATTTTCTTTATTGTTTGCTCATTTTTTACTCAGATGGGATAATCAGAGATAATACACATATTAGATGAGAGTTTTTTAAACTGTCAATCCTAACCTATTAATGAGTCATAAAATCAATTCACTAGGTTGCAGCCAGCATTTTAAAATAGAATAGAATAGAATAAGAGCATAACATAATATGGATAAGTGTGGCTACGTGAAACATTTCTCTCCGGTGTATGTGTGTATTGGGTCATGGTGTTGAAGTGCATTGCTTACCGTTAATCGTGGTCCAAAAAGTTTGAAAAACACCATTTTAGGTAATGGTAGAATATGTAGAATAAACTGCACTTTAAGTTATTGTAGGCGTGAATATAGTCACTTAAATCTGCCTTTATAGCAGTAGGCGCACATGGATTTTCTTGAATTTTAAGTGAAGGTTTAGAGTTTATGAATAAACTTGTGGGATATAGACTCACACAAAGGAAGGCTAGGGCTAGAAGAAATGAAGCCTGAGACCTGGGTGCCAGGCTCATAGCAGCCACTGATGGGGAGACCCTGTGAGGGGACACGTTTGCAGAGCCTTTCTGGTGTGTGGTAACAAGCATGTGCCATTGGAGTCCAGTGGTCTATGTCTGAATCCAGCTCAGTCACTTACCTGCTTGGTGACCTTGGAAGTCACATAATGTTTATGTGCTTCTGTGTTCTCATCTGTAATGGAGATAATAACAGTCTCTACCCCGTTGGGGTTTTGTGAGGATTAAATGTAAAGTGCTTACGACGCTGCCTGGCACGCAGTAAGTACCCAATAAATGTCAGTTCTGTTCTTAGTGTGCCGTTTTCCCAGCAGGTGTAGAGAATAAGGATGACTACCCAGCACACTTTTGCCCAAGACTATTAATAAAGTAATCGTGATAACATGTGGGGCACTTTAAGCTCTTTCAAAGAAAGATGCTATATATAGATTAGTATTCTTATTAACAAACCATTGGTTGTACCTTGAGAAAAGACTCTTTGAAAGTCAGAGCATAATATCCAGAAAGCATGTGACCTAGAAGGGTGAGATACGGGGGGCAGTGATATGTATGAAAAGAATTCTTTAGAAATGGTTTTCCATGTTTTTCTTTCCATCTTTTGACCCTGCTCAGGCTTACTGCTTTTAGGGAAACATGGCTCATTCAGGTTTTTGTTTTTGCACTTGCCGCTTTCCTTTCACATTCTGCATGAAGCTCTTTCGCATCAAAATATTTCTGTTATTCTGTGAACTGATTAGCAGTCATATAGTTGCGAAATTTTTGTTTTCGTGTGTGTGGTGGGAGATATTTGACCTTCTTATGTCAGTCAGAAAAGACACAGGTGAGGTAACTTGCTCTTGGTAACTCTAATTTCAGGAGAGAAGCAGCTGGGTTGCACAGCCTTTGCTGTGGAGACCAGCAGCCTTCTGAGGACTGCTGGTGTAGTACATTAGATTGCATGCAAAGGATGGAAGCAAGGTCTTCCAGACAGCAGCACCTTTGTGAGCAGGGCTCATCAGCATTTGCAGGTGTTTGTTACAGCCGCCTTTGGTTTTCATAGTCTTTGCTGCTTATTTCTTTTTGCCTAGCTTTGGTGAACCACATCAAGCCCTGCCGTGTGGCTTAAACACTACCATATCTACCCCATGTCCTCTCTTGCTCTACTCCAGTTGTGCTTACTTGTAAAAAGATTTTCATAAAAGTTAGTAGAGTGCGTTATGGAGGTATATATCTTTTATGATCATTTGAATGACAGGTATAAATGATCCTATGAATGGAGAATTAACATAGGATTTTTTTGTTATTGTTGTTTTTGTTTTTTGAGACGGAGTCTTGCTCTGTCACCCAGGCTGGAGTGCAGTGGCATGATCTCGGCTCACTGCAACCTTCGCCTCCCCAGTTGAAGCGCTTCTCCTGCCTCAGCCTCCTGAGTAGCTGGGACTACAGGTGCTCACCACCACGCCCGACTAATTTTTGTATTTTTAGTAGAGACGGGGTTTCACCATGTTAAGATGGTCTCAATCTCTTGACCTTGTGATCCGCCCGCCTCAGCCTCCCAAAGTGCTGGGATTACAGGTGTGAGCCACTGCGTCCAGCCAACATAGGATGTTTTATTTTGTGCCTCAGAAATGTGGAAATTTTTATAAATTGCTTTGCAATTTTAAACGAGGCTTAAATTTAGTGGACCCTTACTTTCTGGGCTGATTATGGAATTAATAGATAAAAAGAAACAACTCATTTTCAGAGGGACACTGAAATGAAGTACACACACACATGCTTTTAGCCTAGATGTGGCCTAATGACTAAAAGTTATGTCTTAGTTATCTGTTTCCTTTTTGGGCAGGACTGTTTTTTCTTGAATCAACAGTAAACTTGGCAAATTGACACACTAGTTATGCTTTTAAGTCTCCTTCCTTCCTGCCTCCTCTAAGACTTGGTCCTCTATTCTCGTTGATCTCTCTGTCTCCACCACCTTCTCCCTCTCAGCCTTGAAATGTGCTTGGTTCTTCTCCCTATTGCCTGTCCTCTGGAACTGACATTTCACCTGGTCTCCTGTAGCATTGTTGTCTATGGTCAGAAGCGTAGAATTCCCCGCTCGCATCCATTCACTCCATAACTCATTGCAATCAGTCGTCTAGCCCGCTCACTGGAGTGGAATGATTCTTCTGAAAATGACCGAAGACCCTACAAGTTAGAAAACTTGGTAGTCTGTTAGACCATATGCCTTTCAACTGCACCATCGTTTGACTGTCAACTATCCCACCCCTTCCTTGCAAAGTGGTGCTTTTAAAATATTGAGTAGATACAAGAGGATATTTATAAAATATGTATAAAATCTAAAGAATGCTGATTGATGGAACTTTCCTTTGTCTCTCCTGAGATGTAAGCTGGGTAATTTCTTCAGTTTTATCTTCTACTTCGGCTGTGCCTGATCTGAGTTTTTGTTTGCTAAAATTTCCATTGTTATGTTTTTTTAATTATAAAAGTTCTATTTGATTGTTTTTCAGATCTGTTTGGCCATTATTTATAATCTCTTCTTCTGTGCTCAGATTTCTCATCCTCTTTTTGACTTCCGAAAGCACATTAAATGTAATTTATAATATGCATCTGATGATTACAATACCCGAAGTCTTTGTGGACTTTTCTACCACAGGTGTGTGTGTTTGCTGGCTCATGGCACTTTGTTTCTGATGTGGGTGTGTCTTGTGATTATTGCCTGCAAATTCCTCTTCCTTGGAAGTTTATCTGTGGGAATACTCTGAGCATATGACTGAAGGCAATTTTACCAAGAGAGGATTTGTGTTTCTTTCTGCCAGGCATCTTGAAGCATGACTGGTTTGGGACGCTTATGAATTAAATTCTCAGGTTGGATGTTTTTGGGACCATCCAAGTTTTGTGAGTTTCGTCCACATACTACTTAAGGGCTGACTTGTGACTACAAATTTCTAGTGGGGGATGGTGGCAGGGATTTGTTTCCTCCCTTGCTTAGCACCAATAATCTAGACAGGAAGGTTCTCTTGAAGTCCCCAGGTGGTCCTTTCCCATGCATCCTTCCCCTGAGTGTAGCACTTGGGAGGTTTCCTCATTTTGGTTTGGCCAGGTCTTCAGGCCCTATCTCCTGTGCCCCAAGAGGCCATGAAAACCAGTTCTGGAAGTGGCCTGAAAGTGAAAGCCAGTGTGTTCCTCTTGCTGTCTGCATTCCTGTTTGCAGTTAGTTTTTGGCTTCTGAGTAAAAAAGTCTCTGTTATATCCAGCATTTTTAGGTGTTTTCAGCAGAAGTCCCATTATGGTATAAAGACCATCACATTTGCAGACACCTCTCCCTCTTTTTTTTGAAACCTAACTTTCCCCATAGCTTCTGAGATCTAAGTCCTCTGCCTCTCACTTCTTTTCTGGCTCCTCTGCATCCTTCTACCATCTAGACATGGGTTTTCTACAAAAGTCTGTCCTTGCTCTGAATTATGCCCTGGGCAAACTCATGTCCACGAACAGTGCCTTTCTAAGCATGGCTTCCAAATATAAAGCATGGCTTTATATTTCCCTGTAGCTGTTATAGAACTTCAAGCAACACCAAAAGATCTGTTTAAAATGACTCTCATATGCCCCAGAAACCCACTCCTCTGTGTTCCCAGTTACTCTTAATGATATCATTGTCCTCTTGTTCATTCAAATTTGAACATTCGAAATCAAGGCCATCAGAGGTTTTCATTTCTTCCTTTTCTTGTTTTCTTTTTTTTTTTTTGAGACAGGGTCTTGCTCTGTCACCCAGGGTGGAGTGCAGTGGTGTGATCACAGCTCACCGCAGCCCGCAGGTGCATGACTCTACACCTGGCTAATTTATTTTTCTTTTCTTTTAGATGGTGTCTCACTGTGTTGCCCAGGCTGACCTCAAACTCTTGACTTCAAGAAATCCTACTGCCTCTGCCCCCTAAAGTGCTGGGATTACAGGCATGAGCCACCATACCTGGCCCCTGTTTCGTAGCATGTACTAAATCCAGGGGATTCTGCCTCCCCAGCCTGACTTAATTCATATCTTCATCTCCTCTCTTCTAAACTGTTGGAACATTGTTAGGAGGTCTTTCTACCTCCATTCTGTCTCCTATCCCTTGCCCGCAAACTTCAACCAGTTCCTCCCTCTCTGTCAGTGTGAAGGCAGACCTCTGTCTCTTTCACAGTGTGGCCCACCTCTCTCCGTTGTTTGTTATCCGTCTTCACTCAGTGGAGTTGAGTGTAGACTGAGATGTTCGCCAGTGGCCATATATTCTCTGAGTTTGGCTGCCATTTGTGCCTTTTTGTTGTCGTCTTGTCCAGAGTTGTCTTATCCTTCCAGGGTAGTTCAGATACCAACAACGTCCCTCCAAGCCCCATCTGTCAAGAAGTTATCTGGGCATTCTCTGGGCCTCATAGTACTTTCTCTCTCCCACCTGTGGCACTTGCTGCTATCCTCTCTATATGCCCTCCTCATCTCTCTCCTTTGGATGACTTCCAACTCCTTAAAAACAGAGGCTGTGTCTTCCTTGCCTTTTTCTCCACTTCATACCTTGTTCATAGTAGAGCCTCAGTAAATGTTTATCGAGTGAATATACTAATGTAAACAGAGCGAATTAATCGGAATCAGTAGCAACCAAGACATCAATGAGAATATTCTGCTTTTTAGAAATAGCATTTATTCAATAAATATTTACTTTTTAATTTAAGTTGTAAATAGGTAATATATGTTCATGATTGACAATTCAGGAACTGTAAAAGGGTATACAGGAAAAAATCTCCCTCCCGGCACACTTCAGCTACCTCATTGCCCTCCTCATAGACAACCCAGGTTTCAGTTTATTGTGTCTCCACCCAGTGATAGTTTAGGCCTATACACTTAACTGATTCACATGCCTTCCCCCTTAACCCTAATGGTAGAGAGCTATATACACTGTCATGTACCTATTTCCATCCACCAATAGACATTGCCCAGTGAATGTGCTTCTCCACCCTATGATCTTCATTCCATGTACTACCTTAATTCCTCATTGCCATATATGGTAACGTAACACAGGTTTGAGGGATTAGGACATGGACATCTTTGGGAAGACATTCTTCTTCTTATTTTTTTAAACAGAGTCTTGCTCTGTTGCCCAGGCTGGAGTGCAGTGGCACAATCTCAGCTCACTGCAACCTCCGCCTCCCGGGTTCAAGCGATTTTCGTGCCTCAGCCTCCCAAGTAGCTGAGATTATAGCGTGGGCCACCACACCCGGCTAATTTTTATATTTTTAGTAGAGATGGGGTTTCGCCATGTTGGCCAGGCTGATCTTGAACCCCTGACCTCAGAGGTGATCTGCCCTCCTCAGCCTCCCAACATGCTGGGATTACAGGCATGAGGCCCAGCCCTGGCTGGGAGGTCTTTATTCTGCTTACCATAGCAACCCAGTATGTTTTCTGATCTTTTAATCTTTTTCAATCTAATAGGTGAAAATGTAGCTTCCAGTTTTATTTTGCATTTATCTTGTATGAGTAAAATTGAATATCTTTAGGTTTGAGCTATTTGTATTTGCATTTCTCCATTCTCTGTATCTTCTACCTATTTTTTGTTTGGATGTTTGGTCTTTTTCTTGTTAGTTGTACGTACTTTTTGTGTAATAGCTATAGTGATGTTTAATATGAGTGACTAATATTTTTCCTGTATGTTTTTTGACTTTATGATGGATTTTGCTATGGAGACTTGTTTTCTATTTATTTGGTAGCATTTGAGAGTCTGTGTTGAGGGGCTCTAAAACCACCCCCACGTGTGGTGATTCGATAACAGGACTCACTGGACTCATATTGTACTCACAGGTATGGCTTATTACAGCACAAGGATACAAAACAAAACCAGCAAAGAGAAAAGGCACATAGGTTGAAATTCGGGGGAAACCAGGCACAGGCTTCCAGAGTTCTTGTCCAGTGGAATCAAACAGGATGCACTTAATTCCTCCAGCAATGAGTTGTGCAGCACATATGAGATGTTGCCCACCTGGGAAGTTCATTGGAGACTTTGTGTCCACAGTGTTTATTGGGGCTGGCCATGTAAGCACCCACTGCCTAGCACAAGCAAAATTCCAGGCTTCCAGAAGAAAAGCAGGAGTTCAGTGTAAACCACATTGTTTATACAAACAGTTTGGGCACAGTGAACCAATCTTACCAGTGAGGGAATGGTGAGAACTCTGCTGAAATCCAGATTACCAAGTGTCTGGCAAGGGCCAACCATGTATGCAGGCCTTTCTAAGGAGGGCAGCCTCAGGCCTGCCATGTTAATTCTTCTGCACACTTTTCTTTTATAGCTTCTGAGCTTTCTATCCCAATTAGGAAGATCTTCCCTACTCAGACTTCTAAGGAATTATCTCAGCCAGGCGTGGTGAGTCACGCCTTGCAATCCCAGCACTTTGGGAAGTCGAGGCAGGCAGATCACCTGAGGTCAGGGATTCGAGACCAGCCTGGCCAACATGGTGAAACCCTGTCTCTACTAAAAATACAAAAATTAGCTGGGTGTGGTGGCACATGCCTATAATTCCAGCTACTCACGAGGCTGAGGCACGAGAATTGCTTGAACCTGGGAGGCAGAATTTGTAGTGAGCCGAGATTGCTCCACTGCACTCCAGCCGGGGCGACAGAATGAGTGAGACTCCATCTCCAAAAAAAAAAAAAAAAAAAAAAAAACAAATAAAATAAATTATCTCATATTCCTCTAGTAATTTGGTTTCTTCCTTAAGATTTAAGTATTTCATCTATTTGGAATTTATTTGGAGTTAAAGTATAAGATATGAATCCAACTCTTTCTTCCCCTCTTGTTGCAATATCATTTGTTGACTAGTTTGCTGATTTGAAGTACTGTCCTTATCTCACACTAAATTCCTCTGCATGTTTGATTTTATTTCTAAGAGGTTCTCGTTGCATTAATTATTCTATTCATGCACCAGGTGTGCTCTTTTAACTATTGAAGCTGTATAAGATGTTGCACTGTATGGTAGAACGAGCCTCCCCTTGTTCCTCTTCTTTTTCTTTTCCTTTCTATTGTTGCTTAAGCAATTACAGAATGCTACATTATGGCTGTGCTCAGGGATCTAGAGCTGATACCCACTTCCTGTTCCCAAGGAGTGCTGTTTTCCTGGGTAATGCAAACAAACAGATGCATATGATACAGTGGTGCACAGGATGTCACAGGAGCACAAAGGAGGGCTTCCTAGAGGATTCAGATTCTGCAAGATGAGTAGGAGCATTTGTCAGGCAGAAATTGACATGTCATACTGAAGGAACAGTCTGTGGGCATGCAAAGAGGCCGCACAGATGCAGGCTGAACTCACATGCAGTTTGGTGTCCGGGAGCACAGCGTGCATGTGGGGGTACCAACAGGAGATAGTGCTGGGGGCAGAGGAGGCTGGGTCAAAGATTGCAGAGCCTAACATTCCCCACTCAGAATGTCTGCTTTTTATCTGAAGGTGAAGGGAGCCATTTAATGGTTTTAAGCAGGAACGTGGCATGATTAAATTTCCATTTCAAAAAGATTGCTGGGCTGCAGTGTGTGCAGAGTAGGTGGAGGGGACGGGAGTGGAGGAGAGAGGAAGACCATTTCTGGGGATTTTTGCTAGTCACCCCAGTCCTTGATGATGAGGGCTTGAAGTGGGGCAATGGACAGGGACTCCAGATGATGCTTTTGAGAAAGATTCAGATGGTAAAATCAGTAGAATTTGGTGGTTGACTGAATGTAGTTATGAGGGAGGATGGGATGATAGGGAAGAATCCACCCTGGATAACCAGACCGATGGTGGGGCCAGTGGTTGAGATGGGGAACATAGGAGGGGAGTGAGGAAGAGGTGGCAAGTTCCATTTTGGTTATGTTGAGTTGAGAGTGTCTGTGAGACAGCCAGGCAGAGATACCTAGGAGACAGATGACCACATAGATCCAGAGCTCTGGCCTGGGGAGAGCTTTATTTGGTACTCCTGGATCACATCCACATCACATCACTAGCATTTTCATAGATGTGGCCAAAATTGCCAGGAGAGAGAACTACAGTGAGAAGAGGGACAATGTATGAACCCTCAGAAATCTCAGCCTTAAATGATTATGATAGTGGACAAGTTGTAAAGAATATTCTTTTTTCCAAAATAGTTTCAAATGACATTTCAAATGTACATTTGTGGTCCTTTCGTGAACAAATAAATAGGTACGTTTATATATGAAGACAATGATGACACAGGAATATCAAGCCATTTCCCCCAGAGGTACTGATTTAGTCAGTAGTAGAAATAGGATTAGGAGAACTGTTTATGCAAACAGAAGTATAATTGGTAATCTATGTGCTAGCTGCTTTTGACCTGTTATCTTTTGTCAGGTTTTTGGAATAACTGCGTCAAAACTGATATAAATGAACTTACTGTGTCAAGTCGTGTGAAATATACAGAAAGCATTATCTAGCATTAGGGCATTAGAATTATAAACTTTACCACATATCAGTACGTCCTATGGTTCTTTAAAATTTTAGGCTTTCCCCTCCAATTTTAATGAAAGCATTTTTTTCTTACATGATCAAGTCTTGTTTCTAAAGTTTAAAAGATGAAAATGAGGTAATTTTACATTACTGTACCCTTAAATGGTAGATGGAAGCTTTTTAAAAAGATGAGTGTCTTTAATTTCAGAAATCAAATTCAAAAAAAAAAAAAGCTAGCTTCAATTCCTGTTCAAACGTTGCAAAATTTAATCCAGAAAGAAGCAGTTGGGCCAGATGCCGTGGCTCACGCCTGTAAGCCAAGCACTTTGAAAGGCCAAGGTGGGTAGATTGCCTGAGCTCAGGAGTTCAAGGCCAGCCTGGGCAACATGGTGAAACCCTGTGTCTACTAAAATACAAAAAAAAATTAGCTGGGCGTGGTGATGTGTGCCTGTAGTCCCAGCTACTCTGGAGGCTGAGGCACGAGAATTGCTTGAACCCAGGAGGCGGAGGTTGCAGTGAGCCAAGATGGCACCACTGCACTCCAGCGTGGGCGATAGAGCCAGGACTCTGTCTCAAAAACAAAAAGAAGCAGTTAGTAAGTGGTTCCCTGAAGTTTTAAGTTTAGGTATTTGGAGACATAGGTCATTAAGAGTCATCTTCCTGAAAAATCACATTCATCAGTTGTGCCATTGGGTGCTGTTAACATCATTTGAAAACACTTTTAAATGTTCATAGTTTATCAATTTATTCCCCTGATTATGAGCTGGAGAGAGCCTATGACAGTGACAGACAGCTGTCCGTCCTCAAAGGAAACTCAAGAATTAACATTTATAGATTCTGTTTAAATAAACAAAAAATCCAATCTAGATGTTTTAAGGAAATCAGTGCATCTTTATATAGGTGCCATTTAAAAATAATGGCTAATTAAGTGAAAGCTAAAATCTGTTGTCATTTCAGAGACTTTACCCCCACAAGTTACAATGATAAATGTAGCTAAATTAAAATGACAAGTTATATTCCCTATGTCAGAGCTGTTTTTATCCCTGGTGTGAAATCAGAGAGTTTCATCTCAAGTTTGTCCTTTAACATTTTTCAAATGTTACATTGTGCTATTTTTAATCCGGAAACAATGCACATGATTGCTTTAAAAAAAAAAAGTCTCCATGTACAGTATCTCTTGACTAGTACGGATCTAGTGAATTGTGAATTGATGAAATGCCCAAATACTAATATAGAGCAAAATTAAGGAAGACATGACTTGCTCACTTGAGGAAGGTGAGGGTGGCCATTTGAGAGTATCTTCTGTCAGTTTCCTGATTTTGATATTGTGCTAAAAGTTATACAAGATGTTAACACCTGGAGAGGCTGGCTGAAGATTTACTTCTTGTGAATCTATAATTATTTCAAAATAATCTAAAACAAACTAAAGTAGCTCCCCAACAGCTTGACCACACAGAATCCTTAGGCTACATTCCTGAGAGTTCTGGTACATCCCACATGGCCCTTCTAGGACCAAGGAGGTAGAAAGTCACCCCCTAGAGATTCTGATTCAGTAGGGGTGAGGCAGGGCACAGGGCATGGTTTAGCCTCTGGAAAAAGCAGCCCACTTCACCCCCAATTCTGAGGCAGAGCCGTAGATAAGGACCACACCCTAGAAGAAAGCCACGTAGGACTTGCTGAAGCATCTACTGAAAGGTGATGCTCAGCAAAACATCTTCTCTGTCCTAAGACTTTGCTCAATTGGGACTGAATCGTTCTTGAATTTTCCATAGTCGATGAAATCAGTACTTGGACGTGTTCATTGAGTAAGCTTTATCATTACCCATTTAGCAAACAAGACGCGCTTGATGGTTATAGTGGAAAATACTTGAGAGCCAGCTCTCTCCATGTGATTTAGAGTTCCCAAATTAAGGGTCAAAATTGACCCAAGGTTATATTTAAGAATAATAGTTGAAAGTGTCAACACATTAATAAAGTGTTAAAGAATACATTGTCTGGAAGAGAAAGTAAATGACAGCTAAAAACCTCAAGACGTATAACCTATTCACTTCAGGTTTTAACAATTTTGAAATAGGAGCTTTAATTAGGCTTGTAACAAGTTACCACTTGTAGGGGATTTTATGCTTTTTGATAATGAGGTACAGATGAATGTGTTTTGTTATTGCTTTATTTTTGTTTTTGTAATAATCCAACTTTATGTTACTCTGAGAGCCTATATTCTCTTAATCTTTAAGAAAAAAAGAAAATATATCTGAAAAGTAGGTCCTCGTACTTTCAAGTTCAGAAAATGGTGGTATTGGCTCTTTCAGACTGCTCACTTCAATTGAGCCAAGTAGCTTATGGAAAACTTAGTTTTTAAATAAAAACACCACATAAACACTACCTAGTAATGCTTTTTGAAAAATGTTTTTCTGTGTTTGTAAGCTAATTTATTTGAATGGTGAAAATATTGGTTTAAGCACCCAGTCTTTTCTACCCTAAGCTCCAATTTAATATTAGATGTGTTGCTATGTGCTTCACGAGGAGAAATATTTGGCTGTTGTGCGATTCATAATTCTTCCTGAAATATCTGGGGTCCAAGCCTGGCTCTTAGCATCAAGAGTAAACTGGGAGTTGTTTTTGTCACCAATTCTAATAGACATGTTTCGGGTTAAAGGATACCAGTTAGTTGACTCATTCTGGATATTAGTCAGAATGTGAAGTATCATCATAGAAGTGATCTCATCAGAGAGTCCATCTGATGTGTGGTTACCATGGGGACATTGTCTCAGTCTCATACTAATGACAAAAAAAAATTGATGTTGCTTCTGTTCAGGTTCTTTTATAAAACATATTAAGGAAGTTAGGTAGATAATTTTTGTTTAGGCCATATAGCTTTGATTTTCTGATAACAATTTTATAAACTTAGAAATTTTCATGTAAGATACAGGAATACTGGAAGCAAAAAAAAGAAGGTGCTTTAACCTTAGGGATTGAAAAAATAGTAATTTAGGTTGAAAATGCTGCTTGAAAGTTAATGCTGATAGCATTACTACACATGATGATTTTTTCTGGAAGGAAAGCTTTATCTGGGCCTTCAATTTAGGAATTTTTCTCTTTGGTTTTTAAAAGCTGCCATATTCACTTGAGCTTCATGGGAAAGATGCAAATAACTAAAACAAATGAACAAAAACCATGTTGAGGTCAGGAACTTATTTCAAGAAAGCAAGTTCTAGGTTTTCTTTTAAAGTGACAGTAGAGCCTTAGGCCTCAAACCATCTACAACCATGTTAACAGTACATCACTCAAATCATTCAACATTCCTGAATGTTTACCTGTGCCAAGTACTGACCAGCGCAGTATCAGATGTTCACAGTAATGATATATTGCCAAGAGAATGCTTAGGCATGTCCCATATATTCTGTTTATGGATAAAGGAGTGCACCAAACATTTTAGTGCTATTTTCGCCCAAAGTCCCTCTGTCTTTAATTTAAACTTAACAGAAATCACTTATTTTTCCCAGTGGTACTGAATAATTATGCATTGCTGTGGATTCAGTGTCAGGTTAAAGCCTCAGTGCATCGCTTAGCTAGGTCAGCATCATTACCAGTGTGTGCTTATCATGCCAGCCATCCAGAATAAACAGCACTTGGGCCTAGCGCTGCCAGAGTTGAGACCTGCAGAGTGTGCTGCATGCCTGGGAAAGTTTGAGAAGACATTGTGGAGAGCATGTTCTTGGGCAGTTTTCACCTTAAACCTCTTGCCATTCACATGCAGAAAACTGTTGCTGCTGAAAGATGCTTTTCCAGAAATACACTGTGTTGTAGGGGAGGGAACACTGGTGTTCAAAGTGATTAGTCTGATGACAGAGGAAAATGGTTGGGGAGGGAGCTACATAGAGGAAAAGTGCCCAGACGCAGCGCCTCCAGAGAAGATGGTTGTACAGGGGCTGTGTGGGCCTTCATGTCTTCATTCGGTCAGCGAGCCTGTGTTCTGCCTCCCTCTGACCAGGCGCCATTGTAGTTACTGGGGATAAAGGATGGGAATGAAGCAAGTGTGTACTTTCATGGAGCCCATGTCCTAGGGGAGGGGATAGTACATATGTACAGTGAACAAGTACATATGTAATATGTCAAATGGTCATAAGTGATAGGGAAAATCAGATGGGAATAGGGAGTGCTGTTGTGAGGGTAACATGTTTTTTTGTAGGGTGTCGGAGAAGGTCTTACTGATTAAGATTATTGGATCAGAGATGTGAGAGAAGACAAGAAGCCATGAGGTAAACGAATTCCAGGCAGATGGAATAGTAGCCGCAAAGGCCCTGAGAGTGGCATGTGCTTGGTGCCTTTAGGGAGTGGCACAGGAGGCAGGTGTGACTTACGTGGAGCGAGTGAGTCTGAGAGCAGAGATGTGGCGGGGGAGATGGCCAGATGGCAGACAGCTGCATAAGCCATTGGAAGGACTTCCACCTTTACTCCTCGCAAAGTGGAAAGCTACGGGAGGATTTGGGGCAAGGAAAGGACTTGATCTGACCTATGACACTGTCACTCTGACTTGAGAAGTACAAAGATGAAAGCAGGGGAGCAGTTAGGTTTTTATAATCAACCAAGTAAGAGATGATGGTGGCTTGGACCTGGGTGGTAGCCACGTGGTGACAAAGATGAATCCAAGGTTTTCAGCTCAATCAGCTGGAAGTCATGTACTGAAATGGGGAGACTGTGGGAAGAGCAGGACTGGGTAGGGGGAGCCAAGAGTGTTTGGCTTTGGTTGTGTTAACTTGAGAGTTCTTCAGATGCCTCTTAGGCAGTCTGGTGGGGTGGTAGAGTGGACACTTGGATAGCCAAGTCTGGAATTCAGAGGGGATGCTGGAGAATGATAGGTCCTTACTAGTCACTAGAGTATGGATGGTATTTGAAGCTATCAAATGTATCAACAGCACGTTGAGGGTGAGTATATATAGAGAAGAGGTGAGAGGTCTGAGTCCTGCCATTTCACAGAAACCAGGGCATTGATTCAGAATTCACAGAGAACAGTTAGCTCAGAGTTTTCTTAATATCCTATCTTTTTAAAAAATAAACATGTCATTGTTCCCTTTTGAGACAGTTGCACCGTTTAACAATAATTCCTGAATTTTATTTTTCTTCCTTTCCTTCTTTCTTTTTAGTGGCTTGTACCTGATCAATTGCTAATACTGTTTAAAATTGATAGGCACTTTTTGGTCTGGTAATCTGATTTTTTTGTGGAACATCATTAAAAGAACAATTGAGAGATTTATAGCCATAGAAAATTGAGGCTTCTATTACTCAAGATAGAAGTTAGCGTAAGTCTGATCTGAGTTTTCCACTGTTTTTTTTTGTTGTTGTTGTTATAAGCCTTGGTGTGGGTTGTAATTTCATGGTCGGCAAATCTGGTGAAATTTATTTTGCGAGAAATCAAAAGATGTACTATAATAGTAGACTGTTCCTTCACGCTGAACTTTATTTATTTTTTGCCTTTTCTAGCCATTATTTGCATTTTTAAATGAAGAAAAGTTTAACGTGGATGGATGGACAGTTTACAATCCAGTGGAAGAATACAGGAGGCAGGTAAGATGTTAGATGCTATTGTCTGGTATGTGATGAACCTGAAACATGCATTATGACAGTATGTCATCAGCCATGCTTTCTGAAAATCAGCGACATCCTTGCTAAATATCTTTTCAATGGTGGTGATATTATCCACATTTTGTACAATATATCTCATTCTATCTATTACTGTATAACTTATAAGCTCATTCCATTGCCATATGCAAGCTGCATCGAAGACTGGGTCACTAAATCCTATTTCCTTCCCTATATGAAGAGCATCAATTCTGTGTTGTTTATGAAATGAATTAAATACTTAGGATTTAGAAAAGTCAAACATTTTAGAAGTTACACTTTAGGACTTGATATTGCTATGTATATGCATGTTTGGGAGCTTAACTATTACCTGCAGTTAGATTTAAATTATATTCATTTCAGTTTGCAGATTCAAATGAATTAGAACTGTTTTCCTGTAGTGATGTCTTTTTCAAGGAAGCTTTGATAAGTGTACATTATAATTGTCTTTACTGTTCTCTTATATGAATGTCACCTACATGCATGTTTATTTGCTATAATAAAGGCAAGAGGCTTGGTCTCATATTGCTGTTCAGGAACAAAAGTCTCTTGCAGTATTTTTGTTAAGGGAATTCTGTGCATAATATGTAACAAGAGCCACAGTTTGACCTCTGGTATAACCAAATCTGTAGGCAGCTAGGAGTTGTGTGATGGGATTATTCACAATTCTTGTTCTACAAAGCTCTTAAGATAATTGAAAAGTTTTGTTGAATGAGATTTGAGAATCAGATCAAACCCATTTGCTTTATATGAAAAGGTAGTGAATATAAAGTAAAATCGTAGAACCCTAGACTTGAGAAGAACCATCTAGTCACCACCTTCACCATGAAAAACCTGGATTGGTTTCCTTTTTTAGTCTTAATCAACGGTTTGCATATTCATGAACAGATTTGACGCTCTGGAATTTGGGTGCAGGAGTTTAGCTTTAGAACATATGTGACATAGTATATCCTGTTGCTTCCATAAGTCACGTTTAGACTGTTGAGTTTTCTAAGGCTTTGCACTACTCCCATTTTAATGGCCTCAGTTCTGGACTAGCTACTGAGGCGGAAGAAGGACCATGAAAACATTTTGCATGTTTTGGAGACCTCTGTAAATGATGTATTAAAATATTTTTACCTTCTTTTTGAAGTATTACTGATAACATTAAGACTTTTTTTTAGTTCAAAGCTTCTAGCTTGAAACAAAACAGTTCCTGTTTTTAAGATTGCATGCATATATGAACTGTTGAAGGTATTTTGTTCTAGACTGCCATTATATTCAATCTTTTTTTCTTATAACTTTCTGATGGGACTTATAACTGTCTAATTGGACTCAGCATCAGACTCAACATCTGTTTGGTCCGTGGTCTCTAGGGCCAGACCTAAAGAAAAGGTACAATGTCTGTCCCCAAAGCAAACACCCACATAGCTCACTTTTGTGTGTGTATCTGTGCATTTGTGAGAATGGGGAGAGAATATTCCACCACCTCTGGATCTTTTCCATACTAAATACAATTTTGTGGGGGAGATGATAGGATGGGAGGTGTCTTCTGTGTCTCCCTGTCACATTAGCAGTCTGCTTAAAATGCAAATGACTGTATTTCTCACACAAACTATAGGGCAATCATCGATTCCGAACAACTTGATTGAAAAAAAACTCATCGGAGGTGGCGAAATGAGCCTCCCCAGAGGGATCTTCCTTTACTTCCCCTCATGATTTTCTTCATGAGCTCAGCCTCTTTCCACTTTGGAGCAGACTGAAGCATTCACTCTATTTTGAGCAGGGAGAGGAAGTTGCCTGATCTCTTTTCTACCCTCAGTTAGAGCCAGATTAAGATGAAGCAGGGTATTTTTTTAGGGGATGGGAGGGGTGCATGGGCGGGGGATGAACTTGGGTTTATCTGTGTGGTACAGGTAGTAAAGAATATGTGGACACAAAATAAAGGAAGACGAATTCCTTTGAATTCAAGAGAATCTGTATTTACAAAGTATAGTTTAGAACTGTAAAAACCACCAGTGTTTTGTCTTGTGTTCTTACGTTGTCTGGATTATTGATTTGGCACCCTTATTATAAATAGGTAGACCGTCATCACCCTGTGGTCAAAGAGGCATGTGCACATATTGCTAGAAGGAAGAAAAGAGGCCCAAGGCCAAATCCAGAGATGAGGTCAAGCAATACTGACTTGAATTTCTTTTTTTCCTCACAGGGCTTGCCCAATCACCATTGGAGAATAACTTTTATTAATAAGTGCTATGAGCTCTGTGACACTTACCCTGCTCTTTTGGTGGTTCCGTATCGTGCCTCAGATGATGACCTCCGGAGAGTTGCAACTTTTAGGTCCCGAAATCGAATTCCAGTGAGTACTGCAATTAACGTTTCTCTTGAAGAGCACCTTTTAGTCCATAAGAATGGTAGTCATATAACTTAGAGAAACGGTCCTTTTGGAATTCTATCCCAAAAAATACTTACTAAGTGCTTTGTGAGTACAAAGTACCATACCAGACTGGAGAAGAAGTGTGCCGTCACCTGCCTTCTAGGAGCTTGCAACTAAGGATCAAGAATGAACGCAAGTAAAGAGCTCTCTACGAGAGAGGGGCTGCAAGTAATGGGAACCAAGTGCTGTGTGGAAGGAAGCAAGGAAAGACAGGCTCTTTGTGGCTTTTGTCTTTGTGGCACAGTACATGATACTATATGATAGGCTCTTGATAAATGTCAGATAAATCATGCTGGAAAGAACACACTGTCTTGTTATAAAATGTGTCAGCACAGACTTTGACATACACTCACCACGAGCTCACCCCCATCACCTTTGCAGGCTGCCCCAATACCATTGTCTAACTGGAGTCAAGTATAGATTATTCCAGACACTATCCATACGGTATCACTGCACCTAGTTCACAAAGCTCTCTTTTGGTCCTTAAATATTAATGGACATGTGATACTATCTAACATTGACAAAAATTGACTAAAAATTTAGGTATTCTCCCCTGCTAATTTTCAGGGTCTGTCATAAGTACCTTGGGGTTTTTTTTTTCCCCTAATAAGTAAATGTTTAAAAACAAAGGTTGAAGAAATTAAGACTTAATGTCACCTTGCCTTTTTCAAGTCTAGACATTTTTTTTCCTTAAAAGGATATTTGTGCAAAACTTTTGTATTGTCAGCCTAATATGAATTGTAATTTTTTTTAATTCACTTGTTATACACTTCTAGCCATAAAACCGCAGAAGTGATGCTGTGTTCTCAGTGCACCACCTTAGGAGACATGCTGTTGATTTGTCCCGTTATTAGTGATGTTAACTGTGATTATTCTGCTAAGGCAGTGTCTGTCATGTTTTTCCACTATAGCACTACTATTTTACCCATTAAAATTAATAAATGCTTTATGTAATGATTTTTTTAATTCACTTGCTTCTCCAGTTAGTAGTGTCTGTTCATATCTTCGCGATATAAATTGTACTTGAAAGTATGTTCTTTAGCTCATGTTGTTAGAACATGATGCTAATGAAGCTAGGGTTACAAGTTCAGTCTTCCTGTGCTCTGTTTGGACATGCTCTTCTGTACCATAGCCACAGACTACACCCCTACCCTGGCTGGCTGTCTGTCTTGCTAATGCATGCCTTGCTCACAAGGACAACTGGGCTAGGGTAGCCTGGCTCAGTTTTGTTCATGTATTCATTCAGTTCATATTTATTGAGCATCTACCGTGTCATTTGTGTATGTGGGTGAATTCTATGGGATTTGAAACAGAGAAAATTGAACAACTGTGCCCTTTCTACCATGCTTGGTTGCCATCTTGATCCAGTAGTCCCCATTATTCTGAATGAATGAGTGTCTACTGTAGAGCAGATAGAATTTCTTAACTTTTTATTTAGTCATGTTATTGATCCTTCTTACTTTATCATGGCCACCAATTTGTATTTATTTTTTCTAAAATGGCTTTTATAGGGAAGACTAAGTTCCCCATCACCTCTACATATTTATAGATTTACTATTAGGTACTATTAAGCGTGGTAATATGTTCTTTGCAGTATGCTTTCTAACCACCCGGCTGTTGGCTAAGTCTCAGAGCTTTGCTTCCACCCAGAAAACATATGTGCCTTTAATGTGAAATCATTAATATCTGATAGTTGGTTCTTTTTATAAAACCTCATGTAAAAATACAAAAGGAAGTGACATGAAAGAGATCTTATTTTGCATGTAAATAAGATATAAACTATAATAAAATATTGCTGGGTAGAGAAATAATCAATGTGCATTAAATGTTTCCATTAATGGATATGTATTCTCTTATTCTCAAACAGATTTCTCTTAATTTTATGAGTCTTTAATGTATGAGTAATGCACGTTCATTTTAAGCATTATAAAAAATACTGATAAGCAAAAAGGAGTCTGCCACCTAGTGAGAACCAGTGTTAACACTGTTGGTATATATCCTTTCAGACTTCCTTCTAAGCATATATCTACACACACACACACATATGTATATATATTTGAAAAAAGTGAAATTATTCTATAATTTGTGTCTCAGTCTATAGAAATTATTCTATAATTTGTGTCTTTATCTAGCAATATCTTGTAAACAACTTCCCATGTTGCTAAATATGATCCGCTCATATGCCAGTGTGTAGATGTACCATGATTTAATCAGTTTTCCATTGTGAGACATTCAGCTTCTGCTTAATCTTTTGCTATTGTAAGTAATGCTGTAATAAACATCTTTCAGTGGTTAGATATTTGTGTACTTAATTATCTATGGCTTCTAGATATGAATTTTAATAAGAATAATACAGTGCCATATACTGTAAAAGCACTCATGGTAGTTGACACTGTGAAATGAACATTATTTGTACCTGTTTAGCTCTGTAATAAGCATCCTTTTCAAAAAGTAGTAAGAATCCCCCCTCCTGCAAAGAAATTAAGAGGAGAAACAACTCAGAGGAGTAGCATTTCCTAACATGGCACCACAAAGAGAATAGGGGTCGGGAGGCCATTGCCTATGGCCCGACTGAAATTTACAACTTGATGAGGGTCTTTCTCAATAATAAATAATTTTTATTTTTAATAATTTCTCAAATTATTAAAATAATAAAAAATATTAAAAAATATTTTAATAATTTCTCAAATAATAAATCTTTTAAATGTGTAGCAAATTGCTCCTTTAAAGTGGTCTCATGTCTCTTGTCTCTCTTGATACCAGGGCCATAGAGGGAAAGGAAGGCAGATCTCATATGTGCTGTGCATTATAGATTGGAAGGTGGAGGTTTAGGTCCCACTGGTACCTTCTCCAAGGCTCCCAGTTCTGAGCCTTTGGACTCTTATTAGGCAGGGGCTACAATGGTGTTTTTAATTGATCTCTAGCATGGTGCAAGGACCATATTTGTTCTGAGAATGAATAAATATTACTGTATAATCTTTTCTCAATAACCTGTTGTCATTATAAACACTCATTTTTATAAACATCAATGTTTGTCATTTGCCATCATGGGGTAGGTAACTTCAGAGACATCAGGGAATTTGGTGTTATGTTGAGTGAGCCCACATGATTAAGCTTCTTTCGTTCTTTGTATCTGCATTTTGTAGTTTTTGCTAACTGACTTTCCTGGCTGCTGGGCCTGCCTCTATAAGCTAACACGAGCCAGTGTTTATTGCAGACTTTCTGGGCATTCTTCTTCAGGCCACCGAGCAACCCTATGAGATTATATTATTCTCCCCATTTTATGGAAGAGGAAAGGGAAGCCAGAGAAGCTGCGAGTGAAATGCCTGAGGTTAGAACCACGGCAGAGATGGCACTAGACCCCAAAGTCCACATTGTCGCCCACTGTGCTGCAGTTCTCCAGCTTCCCATTTTTAATAGCTTTATTGAGATCTACTTCACATACCAAACAATTTCCCATCTCAAGTGTACAATTCTGTCGTTTTTGGTATATTACATTATTAGCTACCTTTTACGTGTATTACTTTTCACATGCTATGAGCTTGGCAACCAGGGAGCAAATGTGCTAGACTTGTGTATAAAGTTAGAGAAGATAGGTTCTGAATCAGGGCTTGATGAGGTCTCCTAGGCATTGGATGTCCACACTGCACTGTGGAGACGAGCAGATCTATGCTCTTTGGGCTGTCCTGAGATCAGTTTTGCTCTGCTCAGGTTTTCTTCCTTCCTGTGTTAGATTCTAGAATTGAGACTGTTGGGAAAATGATCTGTAGACAGAGTTGGTATTATGAGAAACATATTGTACCAGAGACAATTTCCTTTACCTCTCACTTTTTGCCAAAGCTGCTTCTATATGATAACAAATCCAGTGCAAGCTACATAATTAAAATAGGATCAAGCTTTCAATTTCCTTTAAGTGATATAACTATTTTTAGGTAAGCAATTAATTTATATTGGATGTGGTGCTAATTAAGAAAAGACTGGTAATTGTACTTGTTTCTGAGTTATATTATTAAATGCATGTCTCTGGGCACACACACGCAGTGAGATTGCAAGTGAACAAGTATTCTATTTTAGCACAATCAGATTCACTTCTTGATAACCGTCAGTGCTTTACTGTTTTACAGTTTTAATTGTTTGCTTGGAGATTTGCTTTCTTGATAGCTTAAACTTTCTGACTTAACCATAGGTGCTGTCATGGATTCATCCAGAAAATAAGACGGTCATTGTGCGTTGCAGTCAGCCTCTTGTCGGTATGAGTGGGAAACGAAATAAAGATGATGAGAAATATCTCGATGTTATCAGGGAGACTAATAAACAAATTTCTAAACTCACCATTTATGATGCAAGACCCAGCGTAAATGCAGTGGCCAACAAGGTGAGTGGACTTAATGATGTGCTGGACACTTAGCTTACATATGGAGTGCAGTGTTTTCTGTGAATGTTTTTGCCATGATATAGAAACACGTGGGTTTAAATTAATAGTTAAGAAAACCAGTTCTCTTAGACAGAAAGTAGTTTTAATCACAAAACTTAAACAAAATTGAATATATCAAAATCAAATGCAAATAAACTTTAGGTAAATAGGCATGTCTAGACTGTAATGAAATTGGGTTTTGGCCAGGACCTTGGCAGGAAAAAGTTAGATTCTCTTTAAAGCCCTTTCAGCTGTGGATGATCACTCATTGTGTACACTATTGGGGCATCTGTAAGAAGCTATGGGAAGCTGTAATTATTAAAATACTAAATTTGCATGCTTACTCAAACACTCCCTCCCCCATACCCGTATATACTCACATATGTGTATTCTCATTTACATAAGATAATTCAAGAAATGAGTAGGTCCACGTATGTGAGTTTTCCAGGCACAAACATATACACAAAGTTGACCGTTTTCAAAGAAGTCTGTCTCAATTGACTTTTTGCTGTAAGCAGAATATGCTGAATGCACTTAAAATTGATTAGGGTCATCATGAACATCAGTGACTGCATAGTGTTGCCTTCAGAAGCTGCTGCAAGGTGTATGGCTGTTTGCTTGCTCTACTAAATGGCCCCAGATTGATGTGCATTTTACGTTCTATTTCTCCTTTTTGTTGTTTTTCTTTTCCTTCTCCTCCCATCATTGCTGTCACTTTCAAATGCTCACGAGGGGCCTGCCCCAAATTGCTCACTCCCATTCCAGCTTTCAGATTTATTGTTTCTCCTCTGCTGTAAGCTTAAATTTCATCATATTTAATACATTGCTTATCCTGAGGTTATTTGTCTAGCATCTTCAATTATTCAGAACATAAGACAAGAACCAGAAAGCAAAACAAGTTCTTGAGCAGCTCAGATAGGTGCAGCAGCTTCCTAATAGAATCTGTGATATCTGTCTGGACTAGGATGTGTCAGACTGCATGCATGCAGAGCTCAACTCTTCATTATTTGTGCACAGATCTTCTGTCCTACACATTTAATCCTGGGCCACCTCCCCATCCCCATGCATGCTTTTAAACCAGCTATTTGTTACTACGGTTGTTTTTTGGTCCAGAGATGATTTTGAAATTATATGTGAAGCAGTCAGTAAGTTAAATTGACAAGTAAATTAGGAATCGTAAGTGAAACACTCAGGAAATTAAATCTAACTCTAAATATCTTCTTGGATTGTCCTTAATTTTATATATCTGTGTACCTATTATCTTTCATATATATTTCAGGGTGAATATATATATATATATATATATATATAGCAATATTTTCATGTACATATTTAGCCTGAAATAGATATGATATAGCATTACAATGAAGTATTTACAAAGAATATTTTAGAATATTAAAATGCATGAAATGGATACACTAATTAAAGCTCATTCCAGCAACAGAATTCCTGAAGGCCTTTTTAACACTCAGGAAACAAGCTTCTATTTCTAGTCCTCTTAGGAGTCGAGGGAAGGAAAATATCAGGGAAAAAGCCTAAGCTTTACAGATCTCTGTCATTCTTTTAAAAAGCTCACTTGTTTCTCCCTTCCTCTGCTGTGTCTCTCCGCTAGTCGCTAATATCCATAGCAACAGGCCCGTAGACCTTTACATCATCGTCCTAGGTAATCTACATTGTTCTTTTTTGTTGAAGAAAGGAAAACCAAAAAGAATACTTCAAAAGTAACCAGAGATGTAGAATTTGAACTTTCAGGAACTCAGTGTGTGCTTGACTAATTGATTGTTGCCCTTTCTGACCTTCTGTTCTCCTTGGACCTAATTGTTCCTCCCTTACGGATATTTAGAAATTTACATCCCCAGATGCAACAAGCAACGGCACATCATTTTAAATTAAACAAAATCCAAGGATTGGTAAGATCTAGCAGCAAGCCGCTTCTATTTTTGTGGCGGTACATCGTGATGAATTAATGTGGAACTGTGCTAATGTCTGTTTTTACCAGAAACATTAGCGATGAGTAATAAAGTATATTTTTCCTTTTATTTTTTCACTTATTTTCAGTTATTTATGAAGAGAACTCTAGTTTCAAGAATCTCTTTGAAAATCACCATAACTATTTAAAAACCACATGTGTAGAGAAGCAGGAAGAGGAGAAAGTGGCCCACTTAAATAATAAATTGCTTATTTATTAGCTAATAACTTTTTTAAAACAACACTGTGAATGTTTACTGTCTACTTACCAGTGATACTATTTAGAGCACGCTCTAAAGAAATATTTCTGCCTAACTATATTTTCTTGCCTAGAGTCTTTAGAGACCAAGATCTCTGGCTTTTAACATAGGTCTCCAAGTTTGAAACCTAAATGGATGGTAGCCTTACTTCTGCAGGAAACCTTTTTCTGTGACTACCTCCAGGAAAAAACAAAAACAAAAAACAAAAAAAAACCTAAGTTTCTTTGGCCCTTCTATCCATGGCTACAAGCTTATATTCCTTCCATTGTTGTTAATAAAGAGAAAATAGGCATATTGTAGCTATGGCACATTTGTCTGGTGACTTCTCCTTTCCTCTTCAGCCCCAGGCAGATGTTTCCCTGTTCTGTTCCTACAGGCACTCTGGAGTTAGTATAATATTGTTTTCTTTGCAAGTCTCAGAACTGTTTAACTTTTTCTTAAAGGGCCAAAGGCCACGTGTTCTATGCCATTTCAAAACGTTTAAGCAGAATGCAGCCAGATTCCTAAATGAAACCATAGCATCTCTTTTTGTCAGTGTGGAAAATGGGCACTCTTCACCATGCTGTGAAGATGAACCAAAGCCTGCCCTGGCAAGTTAATACTTGTAGTTGCTGCAGTAGGCGGTAGCCATCTTGTCTCCTCTTGAAATCTTCTATTCTTTCAGAGCTCACTATGTGCAGTGCTCTCTCATTGGTGTTTGCATAGCAGAGAAATAGTCATGGTTTAGTAGAAAAAGTTCGAGCTTTGAAGCCAGACTTAGACTTAAATTCCACTTATTACCTATGTGACTTAGGGGATAGTTAACTAGCGTCTCTGAGTTTCTGTTTTCTCATTGGCAAAATGGGGACAGTAATACCTATCTTGCAGCACTGCTGAAGAGAGAAAATTATGTAAAGCAAGAGTCACAGTACCTGGGATGTCATAGGAGTTCATTAAACAGTGGCTGGCATTAGCTATTATAATAGAGTGTGGTTCCTTTAATAGTATGAGACCTAGGTAATATTATCCCCTATTTTACAGGAGAGGATGTTGAGGCTCAGAAATGTTAAGTGCCTTGTCCCAGATCACATGGCAAGGAGAAGCTGAAGCTGAGCTATCTCAGCCTGGGTCTGTCTCCAAAGCCTGTTGTTTTCCTCTAATGCATCACGTCCTACGTGAGTGCTGTTACAGTGCCAGAGGTGCCTGCTGCTGCCTCAGTCTGGCTGCCTCCCGCCTTCCCCCTGAAGAGTACTATTAGAGATACAAAACTAATGGAGAACGAGGACCTTTCACAACCTGCTTTTGCCTTTCCAGATCCGGAAGAAGAGCTATTAATTATAGAGCATTTTGAGGATGATTTTTTTCCTTAGGAATACAGATTCCCCAGGAAATTGCCAGCCTTCTGTCTTTTTTTCAACTCAAAGTATGACTAATGTTTTTGAGACTTGTTGTTGGCTAGGAAGTCAAGTCACATCAATTATTCATTTAAATTGGAGGGTTTGGGGTTATTTGGAGGACAAATAACTAGAAATATTTGTGTAAGTTTCTGATGAAATAGAAAACTCAACTGATTGTTTGTATTTCATGTTGTTTCTTAGGCAACAGGAGGAGGATATGAAAGTGATGATGCATATCATAACGCCGAACTTTTCTTCTTAGACATTCATAATATTCATGTTATGCGGGAATCTTTAAAAAAAGTGAAGGACATTGTTTATCCTAATGTAGAAGAATCTCATTGGTTGTCCAGTTTGGAGTCTACTCATTGGTTAGAACATATCAAGGCAAGTATATTTTGTGAAAATATTTGTGTATATAAAAAAGAATGTAATTGTTTAGTGGAATGGACATATTTTTAAATTCCTTAAAAAAATGGACATTGAGAGATAAACTTTGTAGTAGAGGACCACATTTAACAGTTTTATGTTGCTTTATAATTTGCTTACCTAAATTAAAGATTTCACATCATCACTCCAGAATATATTTAGAGTTTGCAAAGACATCTCTTTCCATCTTTCAGTATTAAGTCGTTCAGTCTTTCATGCAGGTTTATTTAGGAATAGCCAATTTATTATCTAACCATTACTGGATATGACCTCTTTGGACCTAGATAAGAGGTGGTTAGTTTTGTTTTTTTTGTTGTTTTTTGTTTTTTTTTGTTTTTTGAAACTAATCTCAAATGACTTATTTTAAAGAATTGGTTTTGTGTTTTATTATGTTCAATCCTTTATCCTGATAAAGGCAGCAATAATCCTCCACTTTTTAAAAAGTACTTGAAGTGATCTGAGGGAACTAACACTTTTAGAAACCATTTAGTTCTGTACACAAACAAAAAGTCAGCTTTAATGTATAGGTGAATTATTAAGATATATTCTCTAGTCAAATTTTGTTTTCCAACTTACCCTTCATCTGCAAGTGGTGGCATGCTCTTCTCAGCTAGCGAGGCTCACCCTCTTGGTGTCATCCTACATTTCTTTAGCTCCTGCACTGAGCTAATCATCAAGTACCACAGGCCCTTCCTTGGAAACATGTCTGTCACTCTCATAGTCCCCTCACCCCCACACTGGCAGCATTCAAACTAGGCCATTACTACCCCTATCTTTGCACTCTTAAAATGGTTCTGTTTTCTCTTCCTTCCCTCTCGTATCTATTCTATAAGCAGCTGACAGAACATTTTCCTAAAATATCCTGCTATTCCAAAACCTCTGGGGGCTCCCAACAGCCTAACCTGACAGCCACACCCCTGTTCATCTGGCTTCTGCAGGTTTGTAGATTAACCTGCAACTACAGAAATCCTTACTCTTCCTAATTCCATCTCACTTATGCCTGTTTCTGGGCCTTTGTCTAGGTTGTCCTCTTTCTCTAGAATGGATTCCCCCATCCTTCCACTTTCTTCAAGGACCAGATCAAATCCCACCGAATCTCAAAGGGAATGTTCCTTCCACTGACTTTGCTATACATTATGTCTCTTTTTACACATACCTATCATCTCTTCAATCATATGTGAACCTCCTTAAAGTCTTATACCATTTTCCCATTCACAAGGTCTAACATAAAAACCAAAATAAAACTTTTTATTTTACAATAGTTTTCAATTTACAGAAAAATTGTAAAAGTGCTATAGAAAGTTCCCATATACCCAACCGAGTTTTTCTTCTTATTGACGTCTTACACTGCTCATAACTATGGCATGTCACATTGTACAGTATACTAGTCACAACTAATGAGCCAATATTTATACATTATTAACTTATTATTAATAAAGTTCATACTTTATTTGGATTTCCTTAGCTTTTACCTAATGTCCTTTTTCTGTTTAAGGATCCCATCCAGGTATCACATTATATTTAGTTGTCACAATTAGGTTGTTTTTTTTTTTTTTTTTTTTAACAATTCATTGGTGAGGATGACAAATTCATAAAAAAATGAAAGGCAAAATAAAAATAAGATTTGATTGGGACCTTGGTCAAGAGAAACACCATGCATTTGGGGTAGTGATGGGCCGTCCACCTGGTGGTGTCTAGCAGGCAGGCTTTCTGCAAAGTAGAACCCAAAATAGAGACTTAACACAGAGATGTTGGTTTGGCAGTCAGCTATTGGGCAACAAACGCAAGCAAAGCCCTTTAATGTAGATTCTGAGAGAGGATGTGTGGGGAAAAGATCAGAGGACTTTGAGTGGAGCTTTGGGCCTGTTTGTATTCAGGGCAGGAGGTGAGAAGTGGAGCTCAGTGAAGGAGGCATACCAGAGAAATGGACATCAAAGGAGGATATTGGAAGGTAAAGAAAGGGTCTTAAGAAGAAAGGGTCAGTGGTACTTGAAGGAGGTTTATTAGCGAGGTCCTTTATGACCTTGGGGGTGTCTAGTGATGTGGTGGGTGTGAGTGAGAAAATAGAGGTAATGAATATCAACTGTTCTTTTAATAAGAGAGAGAGTTAAGGAAGGGGGAAGTGTTGAGGATCATATGACTATGAGAAGGGCTTTTCAAGTCATGGGAAGCTTCAGCCTGTTTTGTAGACAAAGAGAAAAGATTTACTTCAGGAATTTTTTTAAGGGAAATAATCACACAGGTCTGAAAATATGAATATACTAGAATGCTTATGATAGTGGAAAAACAGAGCCAGCATGGTGGCTCATGCCTGTAGTCCCAGTGCTTTGGGAGGTCAAAGTGGGAGGATCGCTTGAGCCCAGGAGTTTGAGACCACCCTGGGCAACGTAGTGAGACCCTGCTTCTTACAAAAAACTCAGACAAACAAACAAAAAGACAAAAAATAGTTGTAGTTGTGCACAACTGTAGTCCCAGCTACTCAGGAGGCAGAGGCAGGAAGATTGTTTGAGCCCAGGAATTTTCAGGCTGCAGTGACCTATTAATATGATTGTACCACTGCATTCCAGCCTGGGTGACAGAACAAGGCCCCATCTCTTTAAAAAAAAAGTGGAAAAGCATTGGAAAGAACCTAAATGTACAAGAAAAGTTATATATATATACATATATATATACATATATATACATATATATACGTGTGTGTGTGTATATATATATACACACACACACACACACACACACACACACACACACATACATACAGAATTTAGAAAGGTATCCACCAATATGTGAATAATTATTATTTCTGAGTAATAGGGCTATGTTTTCTCCATTTTTTTCCAGGGAATATATATTTTCTAAATAAGAAGAAAAGCTTTTTTTTAAAAGAGAGAGCACAGGTACAGGAGTTATTGGCAAGGTGGCTCAGCTGCTACTCTGAGCTAGATAGAAGGAAGAGAGACTGGGTGAGAGTAGGTCTTGTTCAATGGCTCAGATGTCTGAGGAAGTTAGGAGGTAAGGCCATCTGCAAAAGATGAAGTATGGAAGTTAGCACTTAAGGAATGTGGGAAATGTTTTAAGAGACCTCTCTAAGGTTTTATAGTTTTGTCTATAGCAAAGGGGATATGAAAGAAATGAAAGAAACTGTCATTGTTCTGTACAGAAGCCAAAGGAGTTACCAGGAGACTGGGGAGTCTAGGTGGACACTTGTAATGATATCTGACTCAGGGCTTCTCAGGCATCAGTCACATCATAGCAATTCAGACAGTGAAGCAGAGTTGTGGATAGCCTTGAGTTGGACCTTGAATACTGGTTGGAACGAGGGGAAATCCATTCCCCGCCTCTTCCAGCTTCTTGTAGGCATATCATTCCATCCTCTGCCTCTGTGGTCACATTGCCTTCCCCTCTTCTGTCTGTATGAAATCTCCCTCTGCCTCTCTCTTATCAGGATTTGTGTGATGTAATTTAGGGCCCACCTGGATAATCCGGAATAATCTGTCTTCTCAAAATCACTAAGTTGATCACATCTGCAAAGTCCCTATTACCATGTGAGGTAGTATACACAGGTTCCAGGGATTAGGACGTGGACATCTTTGGTGACCATTATTCAGCCTTCTATACTATCTTATAGCCCTGGGTCTGCTGACAGGTGGCATGGCCATCACTAACCTGTAATCTGGTGAAATGGTGTCACCATTCAATGTATGAAAGCGGGGCAAGCCTTTTGCAATGAGAAAATCACCATCCTTAGCATGCCTCTCAAATCATCATTCCAGTTCACTGACAGCCCCAGCAGGGTGGAAGAAGGACTCTGTAGTGTCTGGAGCTTGTATTTCCTCTTTGTCCTTTTCAATACAATACTCTTCCCCTATAGTCCTGCTTCTTTTAAAGTATCATATTGTTTTGGCCTTCTTGGATGGCAGCTAGCCCTCATTGAGCCTATGCTCAATGTGAGCACTTTATGGGGAGCATCTTTTAGTCCAAGACAAGCTAGTGGGGACATGGCTCATTTCTTCACAGTAGAGAGAGAGAAACCATGGTTACTCAATTGGCCCAAAGCACGAGATATCAAAAGTGGAATGAGGTTTCAGGCCCAGGTCTTCTGCCATAGAGCCAGTGCTCTTAACTACCGTGATGTATACTGCTTGATGGCTGTCATTTCTTTCATCAGTCACAAGTCCATCAGATTATTTAAGTGTTTTTAAAACTCTGGTATAGTTTTATTAGATAATTATAGCTGTTTCTGTCAGAAGTGATCGTGGGAATTAATACTTAATTGGAACACAGCTAACATTTTTGAAAATAATTGGCTGAGATTGAGTCCTTTTTATATTATAAGTGAGGGAAGTATCTCGAGTGAGAGTTGCCCTCTGTAAAAATGCATTAGAACCCCAACTTCATTAAATTGGACTCAAGTGATCTAGTATATTACCATTGCTTCTCAACAGCCCTTTCTTCAGAAGTACTTCAAATGAAAATTGTAAACAGGATTTCAAGGAGAATACTTAAAATGCTTGAAGAAATAAACGGCTCTAGTCATTTTAGGAGTAATGGATTTTGTACAACTAATTGATGTACATCCTTAGGTCCCTTAACCTTTCCTTCTTGGCACTACTTTATCCACTTATCTTTAGTTACATTGTATATGTAAAACTAATGAAGTTACATTTCTTTATTTTTATTTTTGTAGATTCAAGGGGTAAATGTACAGGTATGTCACATAGATATTGCATAGTAAGGTTTGGGCTTCTAGTTTACCCATCACCCGAATAGTGAGCATGGTATCCAGTAGGTAATTTTTCAACCCTAATACATCAGATCTTTCACTTGGTCTGCCTTTTCTGTGAATTAGTTAAAATAAGCGAATTTCCATTTCCTTGAATTGGGTAAAATGACTATAATACATGTCTGTTGCATGGCTGTTAGAATTTGGAAGCTCCGTGGAAGAAATCTTTTAAAAACCAACCCAAAATTACATAATATATACAAATTGTTGATACGCATGTGAAAAGATGGAACTCTCATACATTGTTTCTGGGAATGTGAAATGGTACAACCACTTTTGAAAATAGTTTGGCAGTTTCTTTAAAAAATTAAACATATGGCCAGGCACAGTGGCTCACACGTGTAATCCCAGCACTTTGGGAGGCCGAGGCGGGAGGATCACGAGGTCAGGAGATCGAGACCATCCTGGCTAACACGATGAAACCCCATCTCTACTAAAAAATACAAAAATTAGCTGGGCGTGGTGGCGGGTGCCTGTAGTCCCAGCTACTCGGGAGGCTGAGGCAGGAGAATGGTGTGAACCCAGGAGGCGGAGCTTGTAGTGAGCTGAGATCCCGCCACTGCACTCCAGCCTGGGCGAAAGAGCGAGACTCTGTCTCAAAAAAAAAAAAAAAAAAATTAAACATATATTCACCATTTGATCCAACCGTTTCACTCCAAGATATTTTACCCGAGAGAAATAAAAACACTGTGTCCCTTCAAAAAATGTGTATGCAAAAGTTCATGCCAGCACTATTCATAGTAACCAAATGCTAGAAACAACCAAATGTCTATCAGTTGATGAATGGATAAATAACGTGGTCTATCTATATACAATGGAAGGTTATGTGACCATGAGAAGGAATGAAGTACTGATTCGTGCTACAACACAAATGAACCTTGAAAACATGATGCTAAGTGAAAGAAGCCAATCACAAAAGGCCACCTATTGCATTATCCTATTTATGTAAAATTTCTAGTAAAGGCAAACTATAGAGACAGGAAGCAAATCAGTAGTTGCCTGGGGCTCAAGGTGGGAGAAAGATTGACCTTAGATGGCACAAGTAAACTTTTTGGGTGATGCAGGTGTTCTACAACTACATTATGGTGATAATTGCACAACTGTATAAATTTGCTAAATCTTATTGCACTCACACTCAGGATGGGTATATTCCATTGTTTATAAAGTATGTTTCTGTAAATGCATGAATCATCAAAAAATGACATCATAGCAATAACTTGTTATATACATAAATTTATTGATACTTCTAAGTCTCAAATTTTTACTAGAATACTTTCACTTTAAGTACCCTACTGATTATGAGCCAGATAAGAGTTGATATATTGCCAATTTAAAGGTCAAAAGGTGGATTTCACTGTATCAGACTTTTACAGTCTAGACGCGACCTGTTGGGTCAGTGATTTTTTTTTTAATCTGATCACAGTTATGGATTGAATTTTTGTCCTGCAAAAATTTATATGTTGAAGTCCTGACCCCCTGTACCTCAGAGCGTGACCCTATTTGAAAAGAAGGTCTTTGCAGACATGTTTAGTTGAAATGAAACTGTACTGGAGTAGTGTGGGCTCTTACTTTGTTATGACTAGTGCCCTTATAAAAAGAAATTTGGACACAGACACACACACACAGTGAGACTGCCATGTGAAGATTGGCTGCCCCAAGCCAAGGAACGACCAGAGGCTAGAAGAGTGACCTGGAAAAGATCTTTAGTGGTGAGCATGGCACTGCCAGCACTGTGATCTCAAACTTCTAGCCTCCAGAACTGTGAGACAATATATTTTTGTTGTTTAAGCCTCATAGTTTCTGGTACTTTATGACAGCCCTAGCACACTATCGCAATCACATCCATGAAAATAAGTTTGAGATGCAGTTTGGCTTTTGGTTTGTTTCAGTTTGTTTTTTAACACCTGGGCACATTCAAATGCAGTGTCTGCAGCAAAAGTAACTATCATCAGAGTGAACAGGCAACCTACAGAATGGGAGAAAATTTTTGCAATCTACCCATCTGACAAAGGGCTATATCCAGAATCTACAAAGAACTCAAACAAATTTACAAGAAAAAAACAACCCCATCAACATGTGGGCGAAGGATATGAAGAGACACTTCTCAAAAGAAGACATTTACGCAGCCAGCAGACACATGAAAAACTGCTCATCATCACTGGCCATCAGAGAAATGCAAATCAAAACCACAATGAGATACCATCTCACACCAGTTAGAATGGCGATCATTAAAAAGTCAGGAAACAACAGGTGCTGGAGAGGATGTGGAGAAATAAGAACACTTTTACACTGTTGGTGGGACTGTAAACTAGTTCAACCATTGTGGAAGACAGTGTGGCGATTCCTCAGGGATCTAGAACTAGAAATACCATTTGACCCAGCCATCCCATTACTGGGTATATACCCAAAGGATTATAAATCATGCTGCTATAAAGACACATGCACACGTATGTTTATTGCGGCACTATTCACAATAGCAAAGACTTGAAACCAACCCAAATGTCCATCAATGATAGACTGGATTAAGGAAATGTGGCACATATACACCATGGAATACTATGCAGCCATAAAACAGGATGAGTTCATGTCCTTTGTAGGGACATGGATGAAGCTGGAAACCATCATTCTCAGCAAACTGTCGCAAGGACAAAAAACCCAAACACCGCATGTTCTCACTCATAGGTGGGAATTGAACAATGAGAACATTTGGACACAGGAAGGGGAACATCACACACCAGGGCCTGTTGTGGGGTGGGGGGAGGGATAGCATTAGGAGATATACCTAATGCTAAATGACGAGTTAATGGGTGCAGCACACCAACATGGCACATGTATACATATGTAACAAACCTGCACGTTGTGTACATGCACCCTAGAACTTAAAGTATAATTTAAAAAAAAAAGAAGAAAAGAAAACAAATGCAGCGTCTGTAGAGGACGATCAACAGATCCTGCAGCTCTTAGTGTTTCCTTTTGATAAATCTTTGTTCTGGACGTTAATATTTTAAAGCATGGCTTTTTCTAAGTTTAAAAACTATCAAATGTAAGCAGTATCTTATAACTCCCTACTGACTCACGTATTTTTCTTTGTCAGCTCGTTTTGACAGGAGCCATTCAAGTAGCAGACAAAGTTTCTTCAGGGAAGAGTTCAGTGCTTGTGCATTGCAGTGACGGATGGGACAGGACTGCTCAGCTGACATCCTTGGCCATGCTGATGTTGGATAGCTTCTATAGGAGCATTGAAGGGTTCGAAATACTGGTACAAAAAGAATGGATAAGTTTTGGACATAAATTTGCATCTGTGAGTAAACAAAGCTAATTTCTAAAAATAGATCACTACCATTCAGGATTTTAAAACTAGTTGTTAAATTACATATTCAGTATTACAATGAAAATCTGAGGAGTGTAATAAAAACTTTACGCGTTTGAAAATGCATGATGCCTTGGGTAGTGAAAGTCTTTTTAAGAGATATGTTTATCCATCTGCACTGTTTGCAGTTTCACTTGAAAGCAATACAAAGAATCTTCATAGAAATGTTTACATTGAAATTTCATAAGAGAAGGAAGACAGACAATTCTTTCTCAAATAATATAGCTATTAGAGTCAAATATATTTTATAGACTTTTAGTTGAGGCTTTTTATTTCTGATATGCATTTTAAAAATCATCGAGAGATGAATAAGTTCAAAAGAGCTATTGTATAACATGATGACTGTAGTTAATATATTTTTGAACAATGTTAAAAGAATGGATGTAAAGTTTTCTTACCACAAAAATGGTAACTATGAGGTAATGTGTATGCTACACATTAAACAGACAGTCAATATATATAAATTTCTCTCTCAATTAAAAATAAATAAAAATTTTTTAAAATAACCCCCCCAAGAAAATTTTTTTAATGAAATCATCAAAAGAACATACTAAAATTCATATTCCTAGGTCTTATTTCCAGATGCCCTCTGAATATACATTTTGACCCAGCTCCCCAGTGATTCTCATGAAGGGGATCTGTAGGCTACCCTTTCAGAAACACTGCTATGTATCCTTTTAGCCTTCACCCAGGTTTCATAGTGTGAATAACATTTTCAAGTAGAAAGAATCATTGTGTTTTTTTGCTTGTTTGTTTGTTTGTTTGTTTGTTTTTGAGATGGAGTTTCGCCCTTATTGCCCAAGCTGGAGCGCAATGGCGTGATCTCGGCTCACTACAACCTCCACCTCTTGGGTTCAAGCGATTCTTCTGCCTCAGCCTCCCAAGTAGCTGGGATTACAGGCATGCACCACCATGCCCAGCTAATTTTTTGTATTTTTAGTAGAAATGGCGTTTCACCATGTTAGCCAGGCTGGTCTCAAACTCTTGACCTCGTGATCCGCCCACCTCAGCCTCCCAAAATGCTGGGATTACAGGCATGAGCCACCACACCCAGCCATAGAAAGAATCATTGTTTAGTAAATGAATACATTGTGAGATTTTTTGGTTTTGTCTTGTTTTTAAGAGAGAAAGAACATTTAATTCTAATCATCATACCTTTTGGACATGATTTTAAGTCTTGAAACTTTAGGATTGTTTTCTTCGCGACTGAAAGAACTAGGTTGAGTGTATTGCTAACATACTATGTAGGATAATCATGCCCATTCTATCCATAGCTGTTCAGGACTTGTACAAAATTCTGATTATATGAAATAATTGTAATAATCACCTAGGATGATGATTCTTTGGCAATTTTTATTGGTATTTTACAGACATTTATATACTTAATTTCCATTATTTTGAAACCTTACATTGCCTATATTGCCATGGAAGTATATATTATTTCCTCTCTGAGAAACTTGGCATTTAGAAGGCACATTGCTGAATTGTATTGTCACATTTTGTGTTATATGCTTTCTCAGTTTTGTACCCATTAATTAAAACAAATTATCTTCATCAATTTATTCAGCGAATAGGTCATGGTGATAAAAACCACACCGATGCTGACCGTTCTCCTATTTTTCTCCAGTTTATTGATTGTGTGTGGCAAATGTCAAAACAGGTAAGGAATATGAGGGATGAAAATACATTCAACTCATTGTTTAAATTAAACATTTTAATATAATGATTGGGATTTGACCCCAAAATAATACAGGGTAGAGCTAGAGATGAAGCAAGACTGGGCATGTGTGAATACTTGCAGAAGCCAGGTACATGAGCGTTCACCTTTTTATTCCTGCTACTATTGATATATCTGGGATTTTCCCTAATAAAGTTTTAAAAATTAAGTATTTAACTCTGATGTCTCTACTAGTGGAATTGACAATACCAAGTCGTCGTTTATATACATTTTACACTGACCCTTATATATAGCTGTGTCTGCTATCTCATAATAGCTTAAATAACTAAACTACACTGTACCTGCAGGAGAACCCAGAAAATCAGCCTGTTTATCTCATTTTCCTCTTTATTGCTTTATTTAACACTTAAAGTGCTCAGACCTATATAAACTGCTAAAAAAAGAACAACTGTAGTGTGTGTGCAGATTACAGCCTCTGCTGTCCTTCCTAGAGCCCTACAATGTGGCAGCATTTGTTTACTTCTACAGTGTATCTTTCTAATTTTATAAAGTTTCAGTCCCAGTTTTTCATGCTTTGTTTGCTTGTTTTTGTTTAGTTCCCTACAGCTTTTGAATTCAATGAACAATTTTTGATTATAATTTTGGATCATCTGTATAGTTGCCGATTTGGTACTTTCTTATTCAACTGTGAATCTGCTCGAGAAAGACAGGTGAGTTAAAATGCTATTTTTTTTGATACATTAGGCTTGCCAAAATGTATGTAGTCTACCATGAAATATAAAAAATATGATAGCTTGTAAGACACTGTCTTTGACCTCAAAGAGTAGGAATTACATTAAAGGTATGCATTTTGTGTTATATAAAGGAATACCTGAGGCTGGGTAACTTACAAAGAAAAGAGGTTTAATTAGCTCACAGTTCTGCAGGCTGTACAAGGAGCATAGTGCCGGCATCTGCTTAGTTTCTGGTGAGAGCCTCAGGCTGCTTCCACTCATGGCAGAAGGTGAAGGGGAGCCAGTGTGTAGAGATCATATGGTGGAAGAGGAAGCAAGAGAGAGGGGAGAGGGTGCCAGGCTCTTTGTAACAACTCAGCTGTCTTGGTAACTAATATAGAGTGACAACAAACACCTAAGAGAGAGCATTAATCTGTTCATGAGGGACCTGTCCTCATGACCCAAACACCTCCCACTAGGTCCCACCTCCAAAATTGGGGATCAGATTTCTTTTTCTTTATTTTTTTGTTTGTTTGTTGTTGTTGTTGTTGTTTGAGACAGGGTTTCACTGTCGCCCAGGCTGGAGTACAGTGGCACAATCTTGGCTCACTGCAACCTCTGCCTTCCTGGCTTAAGCAAGATTCTCCCACCTCAGCCTCCTGAGTAGGTGGGACCACAGGTGCACACCACCACAGCTAGCTAATTTTTGTAGTTTTAGTAGTGATGGGGTTTTGCCATGTTACCTGGGCTGGTCTCGAACTCCTGAGCTCAAGTGATCCACCCGCCTCACCCTCCCAAAGTGCTGGGATTGCAGGTGTGAACCACTGCGCCCAGCCTGGCGATCAGATTTCAACATGAGGTTTGGAGAGAACAAATATTCAAACTATGACAGAGGTTCCCCCAAAAGTAAAAATATAGCTACCATACGATCCAGCACTCCCACTATTGGGTACATATCTAAAGGAAATGAAATCATCATGTCAAAGAGGTTATCTGCAATCTCATGTATATTGCAGCAGTATTCACAGTAGCCAAGATATGGACTCAACCTGTGTCCATCAACAGATGAATAAAGAAAACGTAGTACCTATATACAGTAGACTACTACTCAGCCATAAAAAATGAAATCCTACCATTTGCAACAACATAAGTAAATCTGGAGGACATTATGCTAAGCGAAATAAACCAGGCACAGAAAGACAAATACCACATGATTTCCCTTATGTGTGGAATCTAAGAAAACTTGAACCTATAGTAACAGAGAGTAGAAGGGTAGTTACCAGGGGCTGGGGAAGGGGTAAGGGAAAGAGGAACATAGTGGTCAAAAGATACAAACCTTCAGTTATAAGTACTAAAGACCTAATGTGCAGTATGGTAATTATAGTTAATAATAATGTATATTTGAAATTTGCTAAAATAATAGATCTCAAGTGTTCTCACTGCAAAAAAAATTGGTAACTATATGAGGTGACAGATGTTAATTAGCTTGATTGAGGTGATTATTTCATAATGTATACATATATCAAAATATCACATCGTATACCTTAAATATATACAGTTTTTATTTGTCAGTTGTAAATAATACTGGGGGAAAAACACAATTGTTTCTGGGAAAAGAGGTGAGAGAGAGCACTTTTTTTCATAACCTTGTCAAACTATTTGACTTTTTAAACTATGTGCATATATAAAAATAAAAAGAGTAACATGCAAATAAATACAATGTGGTATATAGATTTTGGCATCAAAAAGGTACAACTGAGGTTTTAGGTGGATTCAGAGAAAGGCAAAATTATGCTGTCGTTATTCATGAAATGAAATACATATGTTTAAGACATTTCTTTTATTTTTCTTTTGAGATGGAGTTTCGCTCTTGTCACCCAGGCTGGAGTGCTGTGGCGCGATCACGGCTCACTGCAACCTCTGCCCCCCAGGTTCAAGCAATTCTCCTGCCTCAGCCTCCCAAGTAGCTGGGACTACAGGCGCCTGCCACCACTCCCAGCTAATTTTTGTATTTTTGGTAGAGACGGGGCTTCACCATGTTGGCCAGGCTGGTCTCAAACTCCTGACCTCAGGTGATCCGCCTGCCTCAGCCTCCCAAAGTGCTGCAATTACAGGCGTGAGCCACCACACCCGGCCACGAAATTTCTTTAGTCACTTATTTTGGGATGTTCTTTTTGGTTTCCAGTTTTAGCTTATTGCTCTTTTCTTATTAAAGTCATTACTAGGAAAAGTTTCAGATTCTACCTTTGGTAATTTTAATTCTTGTATTTTTATTTCCCTAGCTTTGATGTTTTTTTTTTTTCTTCCTCTCTCTAGTTTATGGTCAAAATTTTGTAAACGCCTGCAATAAAAAGCAATGAAAATGTGAATATCTTTATGAGATGGCAACACTAGGCTGAAAAGCTTAGACTTCGTGTAGTCAGTTATCCAGATGTTTTCAAAGATATGGATGTTGACATGATGTAGATTAAACATCTGGATGGTTGATTAAAATAACTGTGTCCAGATGCCTACTGTCAAGTAGACACAGATTAAGATTTCATAGTTCCAACAAATGGAAAAGTTTTAAAAGTCATTGGGATCTTAGGATAATTTTTCTTTTCACTGAATTAAAAAGAGTATACCACCCATCTGTTCATAAATGTTTTACCTAGCTGGGAATACTCTTCTTTGGTCAGTGAATTGCATTTAATGGTACAGTATCCTGCGCCCCTGTCTTCAGGCAGAAATAGTGGCTCTCAAGCTAGGCCATTACCTATGCAAATATCGATAAGTGGCTGCCAAGCACTCACTGGCCCATGAGGCTTTTTGAGCTATTATGAGGATAATGTAAATGTGTGATTCAATTTGATGCTGAACTGTATTGCTACAGGCTGCAAAATGGTTTGTGGATTTATGTGTGTTTTTACTTAGGCTCTCCACTTTCTCTCTCTGTCTCTCTGTAGAAGGTTACAGAAAGGACTGTTTCTTTATGGTCACTGATAAACAGTAATAAAGAAAAATTCAAAAACCCCTTCTATACTAAAGAAATCAATCGAGTTTTATATCCAGTTGCCAGTATGCGTCACTTGGAACTCTGGGTGAATTACTACATTAGATGGAACCCCAGGATCAAGCAACAAGTAAGTGAAGTAGCACTGTTAAAAGATAGCAATGTCAACTGCTTGCCTTAGATAATGTTATTTGGTATGGATTTTTTTTAACAGCATGAAGAAAAATATCAGACTCTAAAAACACACTTATTGTTAAACTCAACCTTAATTTAAATTTTTTTTAATTACTAAACCATGTGTTTTGATGTTAAGCTGCAATTCTTCTGCCAATGTGATATAATTGTTTACTATAATGCAAGCTGATTTAAAGCTCTAGAAAATTTGAGTTTTCATAGCCAGAGATTTCCTTTGATCACTTGAAGTAGTTATTCATTATATAGACATTGTTTGAAAATTCTTTACATTGACTAGACTTAGATGATCCTGTTAAGAAAATGTTTGCTACTCTCATTCAGGTGTATGCACTAGATCAGCTAACATCAGATTGCTTTTCACTGAGGGTATTTACTTCTAAAATAAAGATAATTACTCTGTCAATGGTAGTAAATTCAGTTGGCCATTTATCAAACAAAAATGGAAACAATGAGTTTGAAGTGAAAGACTCTACATTTTGTTAAAGACACACTTGGGCTTTCCATTCTCCCACCTCCACTCCATCCATAATCAGAAGGAAAAACAGCCTGCAGTACTTCAGTTTATTGATTTGTTCTAAGCATTATAAATATTCAGTATTTGTGATGGTTCTTTGTAAAGGTTTGCACATTTTCCTGCAGTGTGGGTGGTCGACTACCTGTTCTCACAGTTCAGTCTTGCATAAGCACCAGCTTTAATGCCAGAAATAGGCTGGCCACAGCAGGGTCCCATAGCTGTGGCCTCTCTCTCAGATTGTTCATTCCTCTCAGGCAGTTGGCTGCATGCCAGTCTGTGCCCTACCTCCTCACTGGAGAAGTGCCCATTTCAAGCTGGCACCCTCATTTCAAGGTCTGTGCTACTCACGTGAAAGGCTTTTGCAATTTGGTAATGGTTGAAATGTGTATTCTTTTGGAAAGTGACAGATTCCAGGGCTTGAGAACATTCACTTGTTTAGTTTGGAATTTGAGAAGCACATGGGAGGAATTTATTTAACAGTAGTTCTAGCATTTTGGAATATCAAGTAAAGAATAAATAATAATCCTTACAGAATTCTAACTGCTTTTACAAGAGATGTGTTCCTTATTAAAAAATGTTTTTATAGATGAGCACTGTGTTTGTCCTATAAAATAAGCCTTTTCCATATTTGTCATGGCTTGTTTTTAAAATATTGGCAATGAGAAAGTACGGACAGTTTTTGTGTAAGTCCTGTAATCTCTTCTCACCCATTTGTACTTGGAGAAATTCTTGAAATTCAAGGAATTTGGAGCAGTTCATTTCTGAATTCCTAAAGGTAATAATGATAATTGTGTGACAGGTCAAGTTTGAGGGTACATCATTAGAAGAACTTCTTAGAATGTATTTATCCCCCTTAGTCTCACAGATCTTGGCAAAATGGAACTGGCCTGGAGAGGAGTGCTCATTCTCTGGTAGGGGTTTTTACTTCGAGACAGGAATTGGCCTATATTATGATCTATTGGCATGAATTCAGAAAAGAAATAACTTATCCTTTCTATGTGGATTTTCTGAATATGAAGGATCCTACACACATCTTTATCTCCCTAGGCACTTTGTGTTTTCATCTACCAAATATTGAATGTTCTCATGCGTCAGGCACTAGGGGGATGCAGAGATTAAGAAGAAATGGTCTCCGCCCATGAGTAGCTCCCAAGCTGGTAGGGGCGGCCAGAAACATAAGCCAATGGTTATAATGCACAGGGATAAGTGTAAGAATAAAAGTATGAATTAAGTACATTAGGTTTGCTTAAAGATCTGCTTATGTAGAACATTATTTCATACAGAAATAGATTAAATCGCATAGGACTTTTAAAAGTACATAATATAAACCTAAAAGAATGTACTTAACCACTTAAAAGTTAAATTGTTATTCAGTTGTGTGAGCCAGAAGGTATTCAAACAATTACTGGCCACCTGTAGTATTCACAGCACTATGGTGGTATACTATCAATGTTGAAAGATACAAAAGAATATACAGCCTCATAATGAGCTGTTAGCCTCAAAGAAGGCAGGATTAGTGTGCTTTTAAAAGCAAAAGCCACCAACCCTTGCTGACATAAAATCTCAGCAGAGTTTATGGAAAGACCAATGCTTACATTTGAAAAGCTATCAATAAGCAGATCTGGTACTTTTATTTAATACAAGGAAATTACTCATGTCAAAAGCATAGTCATATTACAAACCTGAGTAGGAATTTTGGCTGCCAGTGACCATCATACGGTACTCTAGGAACCACTGCATTCCATGTAGCTGTTAATCAGGGTTACACTGGATGTACTGAAATTTTATATAGTGGTAACTGAAGGATGAGATTCAGGACAAATATTAGCAGGTTGACCTGTGTGGCATTTGTTTCAGTCATTTTTGATAGAAAAATTTAAAGGGATATGAATATGAAAATTGTTTGAAGCCTACAATACTTCCATAATGAGCTGATTGCCTATCTTCTTTTCCATGCCAAGCTGAGACATACTTTATAATTCATTTCCCAAGTGAGAAGTTGAGGTATAATATTTTGTCACTTGGCTTGAAGTTTTCATTTCTTGTTGTCTTTGTATTCTATCACAAATGGACTCTTCTCTTCTTTTACCTGCTCTAAGTGGTTTGTGTTTGTCTGTAGCCCAATAACTTCTATATATTTTATACCCATTACTTGACTGAATTATCTTTTTATTTCTAACAGTTTTTCTGTTTACTCTTTTCAGTTTTCTGATGATACAGTCATGCCATCTGCAAAAATTACTGTTACCCGATTTCTTTTTCTTATCTAATTGCACATGCTCATTGTAATATTCAAGCTGATTCTAAATTCTAATACTCATATTTCAAAGGGAGGTTTTAAAAATAGCCACAGTTTTGGAGGAGAATATCAAGGAAGAACCTGCCCTGCTATATAGCAAGACTTATTTGGAACAGAGTAGAGCCCAGAAACAGACCTGCGTCAATGTGGAGACTTGGAATAGTAAGAAGGTGGCAATGTAACACATCCCTATGAGTGGAATGTTCAGTAAATGGTGCTGGGACTGGAAATGAAAGTTAACATGTCAAAACAGAACTCCTCATGTTTCCCCCAAAACCTCCTCCTCCTGCCATCTTCCCCATTTCAGTTCGTGGTAGCGCCAGCCTAGTCGCCCTGGTCAGGAACCTTAGAGTCATCCTTGACACCTTTCTCTCCCACACCCCATGTCCAATCAATCTGTCAGGAGAGCTTCTTGGGCTCTGCCTTCAAAACACAGCTAGAGTCCAAGCACTTCTCACTGAGCTCCCACCACCATGCTGGTGTGTGCTGCCTGCCATCTCCCGTGTGTGGCAGCGATAACCTTCTAGCTGGACCCCCTGATGCTACCTTTACTTCTTTCTACTCTTCTCAGCATGGCAGCCAAAGCAGATCATGCCACTCGCCTGCTAGAAACTGGCCAGGTAGCTGCTCACCTCACCCAGAGTCAAGGCGCAAGTCCTTACAATGGTCTCTGAAACCTCGTGTGACTGCCACCCCACCCCTTACCTCTGTGACCTCCTGGCATCCTCACCAACAACCTTTCTCACATGCTCAGCTTCAGCCAGACTGGCCTCTGCTCTTCTTCAGGCACTCAGGTATCCACTTGACGCCCTCCTTCATCTCCCTTAAGTCTTTCCCCAAAAGTCACCTCTTCAGTGCAGCTCACTCTGACCATCCAGTTTAGAGTGGAATCCTGTTACCCTGCTCTAGTCTTCTGTAGAATTGATCACCTTCAAACATTCTGTGAAACTCCCAGGATCGTTATGTTCGTTGTTTGTCCGTCTCCCCCTGCTAGAAGATAAAGGCCATAAAAATAGGTATTTGGGCCTCCTTTGTTCACTGCTGGATCCTGAGCACCTAGAACAGTGTCTGGCCCTCAGTTGAATTTTAAGAGAAAAATGGGCAAAGGATATTAGCAAGCATCCCACAGCACTTACTGGGTGTTAGGCATTCTACCAAGCGTAATGCTATATATGCATTTTTGAAAAGCTTCCACTGCCAGGCCACACACTAAAAGTCACAGTGATCATAGGGAGAATGGGATTAAGAGGCTTCTGCAATCCTATGGGCCTTTGTAACCAGAGCACTAATGAAAGCAGCAATCGCAGTAGAAATGTGGGCACGGTTCCATGTCTGCTGCATTTGTACCTGGCTTTAGCTGATTCACGCCTTGGCTGCCTGTAGTGGGTAGAATGGTGTGTCCCCCAAAGGACAGCGACCCACAGCCTGTGAATGTGACCATATTTGGGAAAAGGATCTTTGCAGTTGTGATTAAGTTTAGGATCTCAAGATGAGATCATTCTAGATTTAGGGTGGGTGGGCCCTAAATCCAATGACAGATGTCCTCCTAAGAGAAAGGAGGGGAAGATTTGAGACCCAGACATAGAGGAGAGAAGGCCATGTGAAAACAGGCAGAGATTGCAGCGATGCTGCCATAAGCCAAGGAACACCTGGAGCCACTAGAAGCTGGAAGAGGTGAAAAAGAATTCTCCCCTAAAGCCTCCAGAGGGTGTATGGCCCTGCTGACACCCTAATTTGGGGCATCTGCCCTGCAGAACCATCAGAGAGTAAATTTCTGTTGTTTTAAAAGCCACGCAAGTTTGTGTTAAATTTTTTAGGGCAACCTCATGGCTCATGCTCCCTTCTCTAGGATACAGGTTCTAGAAAGTGTCTGCTTCTAATAGAGACCATTCTCCTGAACATTAAAAATTGGATCCAGGCCAGATACAGTGGCTCACATCTGCAATCTCTGCACTTTGGTAGGCTAAGGCAGGAGGATCACCTGAGCCCAGAAATTCGAGACCAGCCTAGGCAACATAGTGAGACCCCCTCCTCCATCTCTACAAAAAAAAAAAAAAAAATGTTTTAAGTAGCCAGGCATGGCAGTGCATGCTTGCAGTCCTAGCTACTTGGCCAGCTGAGGCAGGAGGATCGCCTGAGCCCAGGAGTTCGAGGTTACAGTGTTCAAGATTTTGCTGAGCTACGATTGCACTGCACTCCAGCCTGGCAACAAAGTGAGACCCTGTCTCTTTAAAAAAAAAACAGAAACGTAATACTAAACCGCAGCATTCTTCATCAGTGCATTGTCTTCACAGCTTCCTTGTTGGTGTGCACAGCTTCAGCAAATAGTTCAACACAGTAGAAAGCAGGATGGTTCTGGAAACCACTACATGTGGAAGGCACTTCTGTAGACGTTTGGCTTTTTTCTTTTTTTTTCTTTTCTTTCTTCTAAAAAAAAGGGTGGGGGGATACATGTGCAGAACGTGCAGGTTTGTTACATAGGTATACGTGTGCCATAGTGGTTTGCTGCACCTATTGATCCATCCTCTAAGTTCCCTCCCCTCACCCCCCACTCCCCAACAGGCCCTGGTGTGTGTGTTCCCCTCTCTGTGTCCATGTGTTCTCAATGTTCACCTCCCACTTATGAGTGAGAACATGCAGTGTTTGGTTTTCTGTTGCTGTGTTAGTTTGATGAGGATGATGGCTTCCAGCTGCATCCATGTCCCTGCAAAGGACATGATCTCATTCCTTTTTATGGCTGCATAGTATTCCATGGTGTATATGTACTGCATTTTCTTTATCCAGTCTATCACTGATGGGCATTTGGGTTGGTTCTATGTCTTTGCTATTGTAAATAGTGCTGCAGTAAACATGTGTGCATGTGTCTTTATAGTAGAATGATTTATATTCCTTTGAGTATAATGGGATTGCTGGGTCTAACGGTATGTCTGGTTCTAGATCCTTGAGGAATCGCCACACTGTCTTCCACAATGGTTGAACTAATTTACACTCCCACCAACAGTGTAAAAGTGTTCCTGTTTCTCCACAGCCTCGCCAGCATCTATCATTTCCTGACTTTTTAATAATCGCCATTCTGACTGGCATGAGATGGTATCTCACTGCGGTTTTGATTTGCATTTCTCTGATGATCAGTGATGATGAGCTTTTTTTCATATCTTTGTTGGCCGCATTGTGTGTCTTCTTTTGAGAAGTGTCTGTTCATATCCTTTGCCTACTTTCTGATGGGGTTGTTTATCTTTTATTTTTATAAATATGTTTAAGTTCCTTGTAAATTCTGAATATTAGACCTTTGTCAGATGAGTAGATTGCAAAAATTTTCTCTTATTCTATAGATTGCCTGTTCACTCTGATGCTAGTTTCTTTTGCTGTGCAGAAGCTCTTTAGTTTAATTAGATCCCATTTGTCAATTTTGGCTTTTGTTGCAATTGTTTTTGGTGTTTTTGTCATGAAGTCTTTCCCCATGCCTATGTCCTGAATGGTATTGCCTAGGTTTTCTTCTAGGGTTTTCATGGTTTTGGGTTTTACATTAAGGTCTTCATATATTGCTTAAGCTTTCTAGAAAGTGCTTGCCCCTGATCCCTTCAAAACATTAACTTTCTGGAGTACTGTTCTGTTGTATATCTTGACCTGGGTGTGATTACCTAAATGTATACGTATGTCAAGATTCACTGAGCTGAACATCTGAAGATTTTGCACTGTGTGTGGTTTATATCTCAGTACAAAACTTTTAAAACTTAACATGCTGGGAGAGTCACGTTATGCTCCAGCCTGACTTCTGCCTTTGTATCAACATCAATCCCTTGTTTACTCATCAAAGTAGTCACCATTGTAGCAAAACAGATGCTATTAACTCACTTCACTCACACAATGCCATGTGAGGGCTATGCTGTTTTGATTCCCATTTTACAGATAGGGAAATGGAGGCACACAGAAGGTGAGGGGGCAAACCCAGCATTCATACCCAAGGCGGAGCATTGCAGAGCCGCTATGGCTGTCAGCCATGTATTCAGATGGGCAATAAGCACATGAAAAGATGTTCTAGCAGAGCAATACAAACGAAAACTACCGTGACATACCATGTCACAGCCCTCAAATTGGAAAAAAGAATAATAATCGTATGCTCCCAAGTTCTAGTGAGAATGCAGAACAATGGGAACTGCCAGGTATCACCAGCAGGAGCCTCTCTGCAGGCAATTTGGCAGCATCTGGTGAGGTTGAAAAGACCATATTCTACTTCTCAGCAGTTCCACCCCTAGGAAAATTCCTTAGAGAAACACTCGCATATGTGCTTGAGGAGATGTGTACAAGGATACTCAGTACAGCATTGAACACACTACCGAGGAGCCCTGGAAATCACTGATTACCCATCAGCCTGGGAAGGGGTGGAGAAACTGGTTTATTCCTTCAATGCAACTTAACAAGGATGAAATTCAGAAAACATGTTGGGTCAAAATGTCAATTGATAAATACCAGATGGTACCAGTGATGTAAACTTTGATAAAACACAAAGTAATACTGTATTTTGTTGCTGGATACTCACAGGAAAAGTGTCACAAATCTGCACAAAAAGGAAGGTCACATGGCAACTTGAGAAGAGTTGTCCCTCAGAGTGAAAGAGGACAGTGGGTCTGGGACGGGCAACACGGGAGACTGGAGCTGTGTCTCGGCTGACACATTTTCAAAGATAGTGACACGTGTGAGGAAATGTGTACATTAGGTATTTCTTGGTGAACAAATACTTAGTACTTGGGTGTTTAGTACTCTGTGTTGTACTTTCCTGTATGTGTCAATGAGGCAGTAGTTAAGGAAAGTATGTATTATGGTAAACTTTGAGTAAAGGGCTTATTTACAAATCAGCAGTCACAGCAGATGGGTGGAACACGTGAGTTCTCATGACGTGCGTGGCATAAAGTGTAACTCAAGTCTCTGGTTCTCTCCAGCAGCCGAATCCAGTGGAGCAGCGTTACATGGAGCTCTTAGCCTTACGCGACGAATACATAAAGCGGCTTGAGGAACTGCAGCTCGCCAACTCTGCCAAGCTTTCTGATCCCCCAACTTCACCTTCCAGTCCTTCGCAAATGATGCCCCATGTGCAAACTCACTTCTGAGGGGGGACCCTGGCACCGCATTAGAGCTCGAAATAAAGGCGATAGCTGACTTTCATTTGGGGCATTTGTAAAAAGTAGATTAAAATATTTGCCTCCATGTAGAACTTGAACTAACATAATCTTAAACTCTTGAATATGTGCCTTCTAGAATACATATTACAAGAAAACTACAGGGTCCACACGGCAATCAGAAGAAAGGAGCTGAGATGAGGTTTTGGAAAACCCTGACACCTTTAAAAAGCAGTTTTTGAAAGACAAAATTTAGATTTAATTTACGTCTTGAGAAATACTATATATACAATATATATTTTGTGGGCTTAATTGAAACAACATTATTTTAAAATCAAAGGGGATATATGTTTGTGGAATGGATTTTCCTGAAGCTGCTTAACAGTTGCTTTGGATTCTCTAAGATGAATCCAAATGTGAAAGATGCATGTTACTGCCAAAACCAAATTGAGCTCAGCTTCCTAGGCATTACCCAAAAGCAAGGTGTTTAAGTAATTGCCAGCTTTTATACCATCATGAGTGGTGACTTAAGGAGAAATAGCTGTATAGATGAGTTTTTCATTATTTGGAAATTTAGGGGTAGAAAATGTTTTCCCCTAATTTTCCAGAGAAGCCTATTTTTATATTTTTAAAAAACTGACAGGGCCCAGTTAAATATGATTTGCATTTTTTAAATTTGCCAGTTTTATTTTCTAAATTCTTTCATGAGCTTGCCTAAAATTCGGAATGGTTTTCGGGTTGTGGCAAACCCCAAAGAGAGCACTGTCCAAGGATGTCGGGAGCATCCTGCTGCTTAGGGGAATGTTTTCGCAAATGTTGCTCTAGTCAGTCCAGCTCATCTGCCAAAATGTAGGGCTACCGTCTTGGATGCATGAGCTATTGCTAGAGCATCATCCTTAGAAATCAGTGCCCCAGATGTACATGTGTTGAGCGTATTCTTGAAAGTATTGTGTTTATGCATTTCAATTTCAATGGTGTTGGCTTCCCCTCCCCACCCCACGCGTGCATAAAAACTGGTTCTACAAATTTTTACTTGAAGTACCAGGCCGTTTGCTTTTTCAGGTTGTTTTGTTTTATAGTATTAAGTGAAATTTTAAATGCACAGTTCTATTTGCTATCTGAACTAATTCATTTATTAAGTATATTTGTAAAAGCTAAGGCTCGAGTTAAAACAATGAAGTGTTTTACAATGATTTGTAAAGGACTATTTATAACTAATATGGTTTTGTTTTCAATGAATTAAGAAAGATTAAATATATCTTTGTAAATTATTTTATGTCATAGTTTAATTGGTCTACCAAGTAAGACATCTCAAATACAGTAGTATAATGTATGAATTTTGTAAGTATAAGAAATTTTATTAGACATTCTCTTACTTTTTGTAAATGCTGTAAATATTTCATAAATTAACAAAGTGTCACTCCATAAAAAGAAAGCTAATACTAATAGCCTAAAAGATTTTGTGAAATTTCATGAAAACTTTTTAATGGCAATAATGACTAAAGACCTGCTGTAATAAATGTATTAACTGAAACCTAACACTGTTTTCAGGGCTGTGAGTGTGCATGTGTTGGAAATGTGCATGGTGGCCATCTGATTTCTTTGCCCGGGTCTGCTTCATGTACTTTTTATCTCACCGGCAACCTTGCAGGGCTCTCCCAAAATTTCAGCAAGATTGGGCATTTAAGTGTATTAAACAGTGCAGATTTTAAGAGTCACGACTGTCTATGAGGATGGCTTTTGCAAAAGTGAACGCGCAAAACTCCAGGCTCTGAATAGGGAACACAGCAGTTGATAGTAAGGGATGCGAAGATACTGGTTAAATAAGCCATAGTTGACGTCTCATTAGGTAAGAATTTTTAAAATTCTTCAAACAATATTGCCAGTTGGAGATTATGTCGTTTACATATGTACGTTCTAAGAATGCTGAATAGTTGTAGCAGTAAACTAAAATTGACCATTTTTTGGCAATCAGAATAGATCACGTGGAACAGAGCTTAAAGAAAAAAAATCAGAATAGGACTCTTAAATGACTAAGTGTATCTTTCATAACGATGAGTATTTGAAGTGCTTTGTGAAGTCCTTCCTCAGACATTGCCTCATTGAACCCTCACTAGGACCTTATGAGCTAGGGGGCATTCTGTTACCCCTATTTTTCGACTGAGGAGAATGCTGTTGTTGCAGGCGTTCACTGACATGCCCCACGTCCTACAGCACCACCACAAGTTTCATACTGGTGTTAGCCTGAAGTCTACATTTGAGTTCCCACTGAATGGCCTGAGCTCTGCCTTCTTCATTGAAATTGAAAGAACCTCTCTTCCTGGGACAACTCTTCAAATAATTCGGAATCATATACTTTTTAGTATAGGTTTTGTTTCTAAATATAGTCATAGCACTTTCTGACCTGTTTTTGATAATGCAGCAAAGCTTATCCTTTTGCTTTCTTGGAGGGAATAATATTCAAAAAGTCTCAGAATAAGCTGAGTAGTATCTTGTCACTTGCATAATGCAGCTCTATGGTGTCATTCAGACAACTCTTGTGGCATTTGGGTACATTAGGCAAAAGCAGGACTGTCTAAAAGGAAATTCTTAATGTGGGAATGTATTAAAGAGTGTATACAGCTGTTACTGGAGGATGCACCCACTGGTGGCCATTAAAGCAAAAGGGGACACCCGAGAGAAATGGGAAATGTATGCAGTGCGCACCCCACAAACAAGAATAATGGCATATTTGCAGAAAAGCGTTACATGGTTGAACTACATTTCAGTTGAATTTTTTAGGTTTACAGAACCACTACCAGTATGAAGCTAGAATACCAATATTTGAAGTAGTCTGACATGCCAAACTTCATTGGTAGATTTAAAGTTAAGGGGTTGTTATCAAGGTCTTCCTTCCATATTGAACATACTTGGAAGAGGAAAGGGTAGTAAAATGCAGTATTCTCACTTTCTTATGAGGCTTAGATTCAGACATGGATTAGTTCTTATTTGCAATTTCTCCTTTAAAATCGAAGGTGATAACATATTTTAAACACATAAAGTGGTTCAATGCTTAGACACGACCATTAAGCCTTAGCAGTTTGTTTCTCCGGCTTTTGAGAGCGCTGCTTATTCATTTACAGTGGTTCTGAAATTGTTTCACAGTGGCTTCCATGCAAATTATAAAAGTTGCTTACATTTTATGAACTCTGTATCACAAAGCTATATTAGAATCCTGGATGGGATGTGTGGAAACCAGGGTTCTCATCGGCACCAGCACTGACTTGTGGCCCTATTTCCTGAAGGAAAGATGTGAGTGAAGTCCTCCTAGCTCCCAGATGCTACAGATATGGAGAAGGCCTCAGCCTCCATCTGCTCAGTGAGGGTGTGGGCTGCACGTTCTCAAAGTTTCCTTACAACTGAAACACAGCCCTTCTCAGAAATGCATTTTTAATGACATTTCATGCAGAGATTCACCTTTTTAATTTTTTTAAAATTTATAACTGACACATTGTAATTGTACGTACTTATGAGGTAAAATGTGATGTTTCAATGTATGCATATAAGCCAGGCGCAGAAAAACAAACACTGTATGGCCTCACTTACATGTGGAATCTTAAAAAGTTGATCTCATAGTAATAGAGAATAGAATAGTTACCAGAGACTGAGGAGGGTAGTGGGAAAGAAGGTACCAGGAGAAGTTGGTCAATGGGTGCAAAGTTACAGTTGGAGAAGAGTAAGTTTTGGTGTTCTCAAAAATGCATTTTAATCACATGTGCATGTGAAATATTTATCACACAAGATGGCATTTGCCTCATGAGTTTCCTGTTTCTTCTGTAAGAAATCCTCACGAACTTAGTGACTTCTTAAGACACAAATGCATTATCTTAAAATTCTAGAGGCCAAAAGTCTGAAATGGGTCTCACGGTTAAAATCAAGATGTTGGCAAGGCTGTGTTCCTTCTGGTAGCTCAAGGGAAGAATTCTTCTCCTTGCTTTTTCCAGCTTCTCGTGGCCACCTGCATTCCTTGATGCCATGGCCTCTTCCTCCATCTCCAAAGCCAGCAGCAGAACATCTTCAAGTCTCTGACTCTCTTTTTGCCTCCCTCTTTGACTTTTAAGGACCTTTGTGATACATTGGGCCCATCTGTATAGCCTAGAATAATCTACCCGTCTCAGGGTCAGCTAATTGGCAACCTTAATTCCTTCTTGTCTTGTAACATATTCACGGGTTCTGGGGATTGGGCTGTGGGCAACTTGTGTGTGGGGGTGCATTATGGTGCCTACCACACCTCAGTTCCTTTAGCTTTGGATGGTCAGAGAGTATGCAAGGTGAGAAATCAGACACTGCTAGGCTTTCCTATTACAAGCTATGCAATTATAATTAGGTAAATGACTAGTTCATTTCCTTATATCTCAGACAAAATTTACACTTACAGTTGCCTTCAGTTTTATTCTCTATTTCTATTGTTGCTTCTATCCAAAGCCCCAGACCATGTACTTCAACTCCCTTGGTCTCTAAATGGAAGAAAGGGAGCTATTAATTTGGGCCATATGTGCCAAACACTGTACTATTTAGCCTCCCCATAACCTTATAAAATTGATCATAATTTTTTGGTCATTTTACAAATGAGAGAGGCTCAGAGCCAGAAGTATTTTTTATTTAAAGTAAGATCACTTCAACAAATATTTTCTATTATAACACAGACCCGTGCCAGCTGTCGAAATACAAATAAATAAAACAGTAGGCTCCTTCAAGGAGCATCTGGCTTAGTGGGAAGACAATCCAGTTAACCAGTAATTTCCAAGCAGGGTGCTGCCTGCAAGGATAGAGACAGATGGTGGACTTCTGGGCCAGTATAGGGAACTAGGGAGGAACTTCTTGGCAATATTGTCAGAACTGAGCCTTGGAAGCTAAGTAGACATGCAAGGCTGGTTTAACATATAAATCAATGTAATATACCACATTAACACAATGAAAGATAAAAACCATAAAATCATCTCAATTGATGTGGAAAACCATTTCACAAAGTTTAGCATCCTTTCTTTTATGATAAAAACTCTTGATAGTTTATATTTAAAAAGTTTATCAACATAATAAAAGCCATTTATGAAAAACCCACAGCTAACGTAGTCAATGGGGAACAATTAAAGGCTTTTCCCCTAAGATCCAGTACAAGGCAAAGAAGCTCACTCTTGCCACTTCTATTCAACGTAGTACACAGTGCCAGGTGCAGTGGCTCATGCCTGTAATCCCAACACTTTGGGAGACCGAGGCAAGGAGATCACTTGAGGCTAGGAGTTGGAGACCAACCTGGGCAATATAGCAAGATCCTGTCTCTACTTAAAAAAAAGCCAGGTATGGTGGTGTGTACCTGTAGCTCCAGCTACTCAGGAGGCTGAGGCAGGAATTTGAGGCTGAGCCCAGGAATTTGCTTGAGCCCAGGAATTTGAGGCTGCAGTGAGCTATGATTGCACCACTGCATTACAGCTTGAATGACAGAGCAATTTCAGAGACTGCACCCTGTCTCTGAAAACAAAAACAAAACATAGTATTGGAAGAACTGGCAAGAGCAATCAGACAAGAAAACTAAAAGGCATACAAATCAGAAAGTAAGTAAAATTATCTCTGTTTTTATTTTTCTTTGAGGCAGGGTCTCACTTTGTCACCTAGACTGGAGTGCAGCAGCGTAATCATAGCACACTGCAGCCTTGGCCTCCTGGGCACAAACAATCCTCCTGCCTCAGCCCCTCAAGTAGCTGGGACTACAGGCATGCACTACCAAGCCCAGCTATTTTTTTTTTGTATTTTTTGTAGAGACGGGGTTTCACTATGTTACCCATGCTGGTCTCAAACTCCTGAAGTGATCTGCCCACCTCAGCCTCACAAAGTGCTGGGATTACAGGCGTGAGCCACTGTGCCTGGCCCAAAATTATCTCTATTTGGAGATGACATGATCCTATATGTAGGAAACCCAAAAGACTCCACACACAAAAAAGCTGTTAGAACTAGTAGATGAATTCAGTGAAGTTTCAGGATAGAAAAATCAATGTACAAAAACCGGTTGCATTTCTGTACACAAATAACAACCTATCCAAAAAAGAGATCAAGGGAACAATCCCATTTACAATGGCATCAAAAAGAATAGAATGCTTAGGAATAGAATGCTTAGAAATTTTGCCAGGAGGGTGAAAGCTCTGAACACTGAAAACTGTAAAACTCTAATAATAAGAAATTGAAGAAGACACAAATAAATGGAAAGATATCCCATGCTAATGGATTGAAAGAATTAATATTATTAAAAAGGGTCATACTACCCAAGGCAATATACAGATTCAACACCATCCCTAGCATAATGGAATACTACACGCCCAGGATAAATGATCAAACCACAGCTACATGCAACACAGTTGAATCTCATAAGCATGTTAACTAAAAGATGCCAGGTACAAAAGAATATAAAGTAGCTCCCCCTTATCCATGGGGGATATGTTCCAACACCCCGAATGGATGCTTGAAACCACAGATAGTACCAAACCCTATATATACTATGTTTCTTTCCTATATACACATAACTATGATAAAGTTTAATTTATAAATTAGACACAGTAAGAAATTAACAGTAGTTAATAACAAAATAGAACAATTATAACAATATGCTGTGATAAAAATTACATAACTGTGTTCTCTCCCTTTCTCTCCCACTCTTCCCCTCTTGAAATACTGTAATATTTTCAGACCATTGTTTATCATGGGTAACTGAAACCATGGAAAGAGAAACCTCAGGTAAGGGGGGAACCACTGTATACAATATTATTCCATTCATATAAGTTCAAAAACAAACTAAATTCATGTTTTGGGATGTATGTGTGGTAAAACAGCAAAGAAAAGCAAAGAAACCATCACCATAGAAGGGAACACTATGAGCAGAAGCAAATGGTGCATTAAGTAGGATGCAGCATTTGTGGAACTCAAAGCAAGCAGGTATTCCTGAGTCGTAATGTGAACGGGCCTGGCAAAAGATGACTGAGACGCAGGCAGGGGCAAGTCATGGAGTGCCTTGGGGGTCATGGGTGGGAGATGGATTTTAGGGTGGCAAGGCTGGGGACAGAAAGGCAAGTTTGAGGCTGATGTAGTTGACCAGATGGGGAGAACTGAGCCTGGAATAGAGACAAGTAGAGATGGAGATTGAAAAAAAAATTTTTTTTTAAGTTTGTGACTGAAAAAAAGAGACAAGAAAGAAGTCAAAGATGGTACTGAAGTTGCTGGTGGCTGCAATTGGTTGGCAAGTGGTATAATTTTCAGAAATAGAGGATATCAGGAGAGGATCGAGTCTAGAGCAATGCTGAGGCCAGTTTGGGATATGCTGAATGTGAGGAGAACAGGTGTCCAAGATGTGGTTAAGTTTAGCTCTGAAGCTCACAAAAGAAGTCGGAAACACAGATTTGGGGATAAAACTATGGAAGTAGATGACATTGCCCATGCAAGTAAATGGAGAAAAGTGGCACGCCCCAACTCCAGATTGTACGGGACAGACAGAGGAAGAGGAGACTTGGGATGAGATGGAGAAGGAAGGTCAGATAAGTGCAGAAGCAAACAGTTGCATCATGGAAGGTAAAAGAAGGATAATTTCAAGGAGTGAGTGCTTAGCATGGGAGATCTGGTGAATCAAGGATAAAAAAAAATGTCCAGTCAATTTGGAAAGTAAGACGTCCCTGGAGGACATTCGCAAGAGCTCTTTCATTGAGGCAGAAGTCAAAGAACAGCGAGTTAAAAGTCACCAGCCAGGATTCTAGCTCAAGCAGCTAAGGGGTGCAAAAGGCCGGAAGCGCACCCAGTTTGAGAAACTATTATTTTGGCACCAGGGTCTGCTTTAGCACCACTAAGCTGCAAAAAGATGCGATGGCCTGTGTTCTAGGTCCTAGGGCAAGGGCCGTGTAACAGTGAAGAGAAAAGAGAAACTGAAGAGGAATAGCCCCACCTCCTGCAGTCATTTATTCAACAAGTACCTGTGAGCCCTATCAGTTTAAATGCGACTTGATTATGGCACTCTTCCCCAGTGCCCCTCCCTTCAATACTATCTTAGGTCCCAGCGCTCTATGCTCCCTCAGGGCCTTATACCTCTCCTACTATTGCACTTGCCATACTTTGTTGAAATGAATGTCTTTCTTTTTCACTGCACTCTAAGCTGCCTTGTTTTTAGCTACAATGCCCAATAGGCTGCCTGGCACATGGTAGGTGCAAAATATATATATTTATTTGAATGCATGAATTAGTGAGTGAATGCACGAAGGGTACACAAGAGTGGGATTCTCTTTCTAGAGGGTTTGCTATAATGAAAGGTGAGAGTGGGGGGAGGGGGAGGATAGCATTAGGAGATATACCTAATGCTAAATGACGAGTTAATGGGTGCAGCACACCAACATGGCATATGTATACATACGTAACAAACCTGAACGTTGTGCACATGTACCCTAAAACTTAAAGTATAATAATAATAAAATTTAAAAATAAATAAATAATAAAAAAGATTGACAGTAAAAAAAAAAAAGAAAGAAAGGCGAGAGATTGGATAATAACTGTTGAGAAATGAGACAGACAGAATGGGCTTTTGAAAGGAAGAGACTTTCTTGGGATCATACATCGGGAAGAAGCCAGTGGCGAATGAGAGATTGCATAGAGAAGAGGGAGCTGTTACCTGATTGAACAAGGCCTCAGAGTGGGGAAGAGCCCAAGGACACAGAGGGGGATTTGCTTTGCACAACAGAAAGGACTCCTCTTCCTCAGCAACTAGAGAAGAGGAGGGTGGGTGCAGATGAAGAAACACTGATGGAGGGAATAATGGTTCCTCAAAGATGTCCATGTCCTAATCTCCAGAACCTGTGAATATGTGAGGTTACATAGCAAAGGGGAATTAAGGTAGCAGATAGAATTAAGGTTGTGATACTAGCTGACCCTTATATGAGGAGATCATCTGGATTATTGAGGTGAACCCAATGTCATTACAAGGCTCTTTAAAAGTGGAAGCTGGAGGTGGAAGAGACTTCAGAGTCATAGCCATGCCATGAGAGAAAGACGACTGGCCATGCTGGCTTTGAAGATGGAGCAAGGGGCCAGGAGCCAAGGACCGCGCAGCCTCTAGAAGCTGGAAAAGACAGGGAACAGATTTTTCTCTAAAGCCTCCAGAAGGAACACAGCCCTGCCCACACCTTGAGTTTAGCCCAGTGAGACCTGGGTTGGACTTTCATCCCCAGAAATAATAAATGATTAATATAATATTAATAATAATTAGTGAGATAATAAATGTATGTTGTTGAAGCCACTAAGCTTGGGTAATCTGTTACAGCAACCATAGGGTATGAACACAAGGGGGAATTTGAGGGAGTTCATGCCTGATTACCTCGACGTTCTTACACACTCCCACTATACCCACGATAGCAGAGGCCTGTAAGGAAAACTGTTTGGCCCAGAGCAGAGGAGAGGGAAGAAGATTCAAATGTCCCTGAGAAGTGGTGCTCACTAGCAGGCTTTCCAGTATAGTTCAAATTCACTTCACCTCAGTAGTTCAAAAATCCTCAGGCACCAGTCTTGTGGTGCCCCCAGGTGCCTGGTGGAAGCAAATGCTCTATGGAGGAACACACCTTTATCGCAGCCTCTAAGAATTCTCGCAAATCATTTTTCAAAGAAATTGAACATCTCTCAGTGAAAAATAGCAGACAGAAAGCCTTCAGCGAACATCAATAGAAACAAAAAAGCAGAAAACGACTTGTAAGACTTCAGATTATTCAAATTATCAGACACAAGCAGTCATTCTGCTGCAGTTGGCTTATATAGGTTGGTCAGAGACAACTGTGAGCATCTCTTCCTAATTCTGTATTCAGTGATGTCAAGGTGGTACTTTGAAATCGGCCAAGCTGGGAAGAGTTACACCACAGAAATGAGCAAATGCTACAAATAAAGGCTTTGTCTTTCTTCAGAGAGCTGATAATTAAAAATGTACTAGAACATTGCTGGAGGCAGATTATAAAAATGAATATGAAAATTATCTTTAAAGAAATAAAATCTAGGTGATCTTGACTTTGACAATGAGTGTTTAGATATAAAGCTCAAACACAATCTTTGAAAGAAAAAATTAACAAAATGGGCCACATTAAAATTTAAAACTTCTGTGAAAAATACTTAAGAGAATGACAAGACAAGTTGCAGATTGGGAAGAAATCTTTGCAAAACACATATTCGATAAGGACTGTTATCCAAAATATAAAAAGAACCCTTCAAACTCAACAATAAACACAACACAATTTAAAAATGGCCAAAAGACTAACAGACACCTCACCAAGGAAGATCTACAGATGGCAAATAAGCATATGACAACATGCTTCACATCGTATGTCATCAGGGAAATGCAAATTAAGACAGCAATGAGATACCACTACACACCTATTAGAATGGCCAAATCCAAAGCACCAACGACATGAAATACTGGTGAGAATGTGGAGCAACAGGGCCGGGCGCGGTGGCTCACGCCTGTAATCCCAGCACTTTGGGAGGCCGAGGCGGGCGGATCACGAGGTCAGGAGATCGAGACCATCCTGGCCAACACGGTGAAACCCCGTCTCTACTAAAAATACAAAAAAATTAGCCGGGCATGCTGGCGGGTGCCTGTGGTCCCAGCTACTCGGGAGGCTGAGGCAGGAGAATGGCGTGAACCCGGGAGGTGGAGCTTGCAGTGAGCCGAGATCGCACCACTGCACTCCAGCCTGGGCGACAGAGCAAGACTCCGTCTCAAAAAAAAAAAAAAAAAAAAAAAAAAAAAGAGAATGTGGAGCAACAGAAACTCCCATTCATTGCTGGTGGGAATGCAAAATGGCACGGACACTTTGGAAGACAGTTTAGTTTCTTACAAAGCTAGACATAGCCTTACCATATGACCCAGCAACCATGCTCCTTGGCATTTATCCAAATGAATTGAAAACTTATGTCTAGGCAAATCCTTCACACAAACGTTTCCAGCAGATGCCCCATGTTTGTCACTTAGTTGCCACAAGTTGGTAGCAGTGAAAATCTTCTTCAATAGGTGAATGGGTAAACAAAACTATGGTACATTCAGACAATGAAATGTTATTCAGCACTAAAAGGAAATGAGCCTATCAAGCCATTAAAACACATGGAGGAAACTTAAGTGCATATTGCTAAGTGAAAGAAGCCAATGTGAAAAGGCTATATACTGTATGATTCCAACTATGTGACATTCTGGAAAAGGCAAAACTGTAGAGACAGTAAAAAGGCCAGTGGTTGCCAGGGGTTCAGGGAGAGGGAGGGAGGAAAAGAGGGAGGGATGAGTATGTGGAGCACCGGGGATTTTTAGAGCACTGAAACCAGAAACCATTGTTTATGATACTATAATGGTGGATACATGCCATTACCATGTATTTGTCAAAACCCATAGAATGTACAACACAAAGAATGAACCCTAATGTAAACGGTGGACTTGAGTTAATAATAATGTGTCAATATTGGGTCATCAATTGTAACTTGTGTACCACACTAATGCAAGATGTTGATAATAAGGAAACTGGGACGGGGGGTGGGGCGTACTGTGAGAGGGTATATGGGAATTCTCTATAATTTCCACTCAATTTTTCCGAAACCTAAAACTACACAAAGAAAGGTCTATTAATTTTTTTAAAGGCACCCCAGGTAATTTTGTGCAGCTGGCCCAGTGCCAAGTGTTTAGAAATGACTATTTCAGGCAATACCTACATATTGGTCAAATTGCATCCTTAAATAGATGTCATTGAAAGAATTAATCACTGATTACAGAGTTAGCTCCTTTTGGAAAGGTGTGTTGTATTGATTGATACTCTGGACATAAATAGGCTTTAAATGTAGAGATTTCTTTCTTTGGCCCTACACCTGTAGAAGCACTGCCTGGTAGGATTTCGTAGGAGGAATTCAATCATCAAGTGGGATGTGGATTGGAAATAGGAAGACATTAGATTAGCGTTTCTTTCAACCCAGTAAGTCTGTGAGTGTCCACGCCACTTATCAATGCATTCTCAGCTCCAAAGGCATCCTCCTTTAACTGCTCTGTGATAATGGAGATGGGCTTTGTAAATATTTCTTACCAGCTGGCATAATGTAAATCCTTGTCAGTAGAGGGCGCTAGAGAGAGAGAGACCAGAGGAGAAAAAAGTTTTATCTTCCAGATTCTGGGGTGCCTCATCTTTTTGCCTCCTCCAGAGCACAGCTTGCTTTCTCTGTTGCTGGGCTCCTATGCACATGCTTTCTTTTGAGCTAGGCCCATGCATGTATCATCCCAAAGAAAACCACGTCAAAGCATTTAATAATCAAACGCCCAAAGATCAAACATTAAGAAAGAATCCTAAAAGCAGTAAGAGAATAGAAACAAATAACATACAGTGGAGCCCAAATAAGTCCAGCAGCAGACTCTTCAGTGCAAACCTTACAGGCCAGGAGAGTGTGGCATAGCGTATTTAAAGTGCTAAAGGAATACAACTTTAATGCTAGAATAGAATATCCAGCGAAAATATCCTTTAAGCATGAAGGAGAAATAAAGATCTTCCCAGACAAACAAAAGCTGAGCGATTTCATGAACACCAGACCTGTCCTATAAGAAATGCTAAAGGGAGTTCTTCAATCTGAGAGAAAAGGATATTAATGAGCAATAAGGGATTATCTAAAGGTACAAAACTCACTGGTAATAGCACAAAGAAAAACACAGAATATTATAAGACTGTGTGGTGTGTAAAACACTCAAGTAGAAAGACTAAACAATGAATAAATCAAAAATAATAACTGTAACTTTTCAAGACATAGGCAATACAATAAGGCAAAGGGAAACAATAGAAAGTTTAAAAACAGGCAGATAAAGTTAAAATGTAGAGTTTTTATTAGTTCTCTTTTTGCTTGTTTGTTTATTTGTTTATGCAATCAGTGCTAAGTTCTCATCAGCTTAAAATAATGGATTATCACATAGTATTTGCAAGCCTCATGGTAACCTCAAATGTAAAAATATACAACAAATACGCAAAATGTAAAAAAAGCAAGAAATTAAATCATACCACCAGAGAAAATCACCTTCACTTAAAGGAAAGAAGGAAGGAAGACAGGAAAGAAGGAAGAAAACACCACAAAACAAACAGCAAACAAATTACAAAATGACAAGAGTAGTCCTCACTTATCGATAATAACATTGAATGCAAATGGACTAAACTCTGTAATCAAAAGACATAGAGTGACTGAATGGATGAAAAAACAAGACCCTACAAGAAACTATTGCTTACAAGAAACACACTTCACCTATAAAGATACACAAAGATTGAAAATAAAGAATGGAAAATATAGTCCATGCTCCTGCTTCTCCAATGGACTCAAAATCTCATCCAAGAAAAGCATTTATCTTTCTCATCCCTAAACACATCTGCACACCTCTCCTAAGACCTGATGGTTACTGTCTATAAATTTCAGCCTCTAATTACATCAAGTCAATTACTATGCTATTTCAGACTTAGAGAAATGGATAATCCATATATAATATCTGATGTTTTAACTTATATTTGAATGTGAATATCTCTAGCGTTTGAAAAATCTCTAACATTCAAACAAGAGTGTTAAAACTCTGCGCTGAAGGCCTTACAAAGCAGTCCAGCTTTGGAGTCCAGGTCTCCTGCTGCCCAGTCCACCCTAGGGCTGCAAAGCATCACTGCCCAAGCCCAGACTGAGTTGACGGCTGTCTGCATAGGTGGCAAAGAGACTGTGTGTTTTTCTCCCCACTTTTGGTGAGCCCCATGTGGTGGTGCTCAGGATGAAAAGGATCCCCCTAACTCCAGCTGACATCTACTTGGCAAGCAGGGCAATGGAAGGCTTCAACATTGGTTCTCAAAGATGGAGCCTCATGTACACAGTCCTTACTTGGCAGTCATATGTTATGGTCCTGGCACACAACAATGGCAACAAGAACAATGGCAACAACAACAACAACAGTGGGTCTCGGTTTTGTTTTCATTTTATTGGTCCATGCAACTCAAAACCTGTGACTAGGTGGTCTGAACTCACTGTCTCTCTTTTTGCCCTCCCAGACATTTCTGTCCCTTGGGAGTGCTCTCAGCAGAGTCCACACCACCTCCTTGCAGTCAAATCCAGGGAACACTTCTTTGTCTTACCAGATGTCCCAGCAACACTTGACACTCTGGATCACTCTTTCCATCTTAGAACTCTTGACTTTCTTGGCTCCCATGCCCCCTCTGCCCTGACTCTTTGCTTGTCTCTGCCAACCCCCCGAGCTCTTCCCGGGCCGCTCTTCTTTCACCTGCCCTGTCAGTGCCAATGATCTAGTATGTCTCCTTGGCTCACTTGTCTTCTCATTTTACATGTTTTCCCCAGGCAAATTTACACATTCTCATCAGGGCCAACTTCATGGGTGTTTGGCCTGTGCACTCACACAGGGCCCCATGCTTAGAAAGGCCCCATTCCTGATTCAATGCTTTCCTATCACCATCTGGAAATTTGTAATACTTTTGAACAAGGTACCCTGCATTTTTCATTTTGCCCTGGGCCCTACACATTACACAGCTAGCCAGTTCTGCCTCTCGAGGTTTTACACCTTTAGGCTGAAATCTGTAGCCCGGCCTTTCTCCTGGGCACCAGACCCATCTACCCCGTCACTCCTGGACATGTTACAGGCTCTTCCACTTCAAATAGCTTCTCTTTCTTTTTTTATTCTTTATTTTTATTTTTTAATCTCAGGGACTGGCATCACTTTCCACCCAGGCACCCAAGGTCAAGATTGATTCTGAAGACAATGTTCTTCCTTTGACTTCATTGACAACCTCATCTCCTGGACCTCCTCCTATTTTGGACTCTTCTCCCTCCTTTGCAGACCACTATATCTCAGCTGCTTGCTTAAATGTGGCTGCCTTAAGGGAATTTATCTGGGAGAAATTTATGTGTTTACTGAGTGGGGCAAAAAGTGTGTCTCTGAAATATGCTTGCCAGGTTGAGGCAAGTGGAGTCTCTGGAGCTTTGAGAGTATGAGGTCTCTGGACCGCAGTCTCTGTGTGAAGGTGAGCTTGACACTGCATTGTAGAGCACCTGTCATAAGACTGAGGATACAGGAATCTCAACATCAAAGAATGGTGGAGATGATGGGGGTGGTGAAGGCAAAAGCCTCCCGAGGCATCCTTTAGCCTTGCCAATAATTGAACTTGTGGCTGAGAACCTTCCAGATAACTTCTAAAGGCAAAGTTAAGTCATCTGTGGTGCTTTTTCTGTAGTTTATTGTTTTAGTCCATTTTCTGTTGCTTACAACAGAAGACCTGAAACTAGATAATTTATAAAGAAAATAAATTTTTTCTTACAATTCTGGAGGCTGAGAAGTCATAGGTCAGGGGGCCGTATCTGGTGAGAGCCTTCTTCCTGGTGGGAACGCTGTTGCATCCCAAGGCAGTGCAGGGCCTCATATGGTGAGGAAGCTAGGCGTACTTGCTCAGGCCTCTCTTCCTCTTCTTGTAAAGCCACCAATTCCACTCCCATGATAATCCACTAACCCATTCATAAGGGCAGAAGCCCTGCTCTTTTGAGCTGACACTACAAACCCTCCAAATGATGGGAACATTTCTCTGCAGTGCAGTCACATGTAATTCCATTGAGGATTAGCTTTGCTCAGTCCTAGCAAAATTATGTTTTTGAGAAATTTATTTTACAAGGGACGATCAGGTCCACTTTCATTTGCTTAATTTGTTTTCAAGAAATGAAAGTGATGATCCCAACCGTAGTTTCCAAATCGTGAAGCTGAAGGTTAAATTACAAAGAGTTCCTCTGTCCTCAAATTTTACGAAAATTAGCCAACTTTTTATTACCTCTCTTTCCTGAGTTCCTTTCCAACTGTCTACTGGACATCTCCACTTGGATACCCATAGGTACCCCCCAAGACTGCTATGCATTGTTGCACAGGTTGTGAAGTGCACAAGGGGGCCACATCTAAGGGGGACTGCTATGGTCTGAATGTCCCCAGTATTCACTTGTTGAAATTTGATCCCCATGGTGGTGGTGTTAAGAGTTGGGGCCTGCTGGGAAGTGATTAAGTCATGAGGGCTTGTCCTCATGAATGAGATTCAGTGCCCTTATAAAAGGGCTTAACAGAAGGTGTTCACCCTTTTACCTTCTGCCATGTGAGGACACAGCGTTTCTCCTCTCTGAAGAATGTAGCAACAAAGGCATCATTTTGGAAGCAGAGAGACCAGGCCCAGACCAGCGAGAGGTTTGATGTTTCACATCCCAGCCTCCAGAACTTGTGAGAAATAAATATCTATTGTTATCTATTGTTTCTAAATTACCCAGTCTGTGGTATTTTGTTGTAGCAGCACAAACAGACTAAGACAGGGATCCTTCAGAATGAGGTCCACATAGATTTCTAGGTCTATTATGGCAGTCTCTTGGCATATGGCAGCCAAAGGTTGAGCTTTAACAAAATTGGTTATACTATGACAATTTTATGACTAACAGAAGTCCAGTGTTGTTAGGAAGGGTTTTCTTTTTTCTAATATACACAAAGGCAACTTATGGGCTTGGACTTAGGGTGGGTCAAGCTCAACATGTCTAGAATGAATTCATCCTGGTCACTGACCTCTCCCACCTGCTTGTCATCTTGGATTCCTTTTATCAGTGGCTAATATCTCCTTTACCCAGTTTTCCAAGTCTGAAACCTCAGTGCCAGGCTTGGCCCACGTTGGCATCTCCTTCCCTCCTCACTTCATGTCCAACATTCCATCAGTCACTGAGTCCTGTCCAATGTTAGGGTTCATGCATCAGGTCTTCCTTGATTATGACAACAACTTCTTAACTGACCTTCTCACGGCCACTCTTGCCCCTCCAGTCCATCCTCCATCATGCAATCCTAGTGATCTTTCTGGAGTGGAAATATGATCAGTTCACCCCTTTCCAAGATCTTGCTGTGGCTCCTTGTCACCTCTAACAGGGTTTCTCAAAGTGTGGTCCTCAAACCATGTATATCAGAATCACTTGAGGTGCTTTATCAAATGTGGATTCTTAGCACCCACCCTAGCTAACTACTAAATTTTCAGATTCTCTGTGGTGAAGCTCATGAATCTGCACATTAATTGATGTCCCAAGTCATTTTCATGCGTGTAATTTTGAAAACTACTACTTTCTACATAAACATGGCATAAACATGCATAAACATGTCACAAACATGCAGCATACTCATATACATTTCCCACTTCCCCAGCAGGAACTGCAGAGTGCAGCTGGGCATTCAAAGGAGGCCTTTCCTGTTTCCTGGTGAGCATCACCACGGGCCTGAGAAGTCACTCTTCACCTTGCCTCCCACCACACAACTCCAGCTCCAGGTGGCATACAAAAACCATGTGCCTGTCCTCTTAGAGTGATTTCTAGGAATGCAGTATAGTCAGCCCAGCAACTATGACTAGACCCCCATGTGGGCAGAAGGGGGTGGTAGGGCCTGTGTGTGTTTGGAGACAATTCACCATGACTATCTCCGGTTTCAGCATGGTCAGGGTTCTCTGAGGAAATACATTTACAGCCACGTTAGTAAAGTTGGTATGAGGAGACATTCCAATCCAGGGTAGTAAATGTAAATCTCCACAAAGGACATTTGTTTACATCTGATCATTCATTCCAAGGTAACGAGTAATCTCTCTCCCTGCAGGGGAGAATGGGTAGGTCACTAGTAGCCAGAGTTTCCTGCGTTGGGGTTTTCTCTCCTGTGGTGTATCCCATTACATGTGCAGATACTATCTAGCCTCCTATTGGTCAAAGGCAGTTACAGGCCAGCCCCCATTCAAAAGGAGGGGAAATAGGTACCACCTGTTTTTGTTTTGTTTTGTTTCGTTTTGTTTGAGACGGAGTCTCGCACTGTCGCCCAGGCTGGAGTGCAGTGGCAGGATCTCAGCTCACTGCAACCTCTGCCTCCTGGGTTCAAGCGATTCTCCTACCTCAGCCTCCCAAGTAGCTGGGATTATAGGCATGTGCCACCACGCCCGGCTAATTTTTGTATTTTTAGTAGAGATGGGCTTTCGCCACGTTGGCCAGGCTGGTCTTGAACTCCTGACCTCAGGTGATCTGCCCACCTCGGCCTCCCAAAGTGCTAGGATTACAGGCGTGAGCCACCACGCCCAGCCGATACCACCTCTTAATGTAAGAGTGGCAAGGTTGCACTGCAGAACAGCATGCCACCCTGTAGAGACTGGGGTTCAGGATGCAGATCCAAGATATTGCTGTGGCTGCTGATTTTGCTGTGAATAATAAACTGTCTTTGTTTCGGATCCAGAGGCTTTATATTTTCTCTCAGAGTGTTAGAGTGTGGTGATCAACTAAATTTTCAGCTTGCTAGTAGGGTAAAATCTTAGATTATAACAGCTTCTGACCTACTACTGTGGAGTACCCTCCTTGGAGTGTGGCTGTGATTTGTGCATGGATTCCTATAGCTGAATGGGGAAGGGAGCTGAGCAGGTAGGGGATTACTTCTCTGGATCATTCATCAAGAGCAATGCTTGGGTGCTCTATTGCTGCACAAAAAATCACCCCAAAACCTAGTGGCTTAAAACCATAATTCATTAGTTTTCAAAAATCTGTGAGTCAATTGTATGATTCATCAGCTTCATGTGGTGTTGGCTAGGCCACCAGAATGACTGAAAGGCTTGAAATGGCCTCACTCACATAGCTGGCAGTTAGTGCTGGCTTCTGGCCATGCTGCCTGGGGAACTCAGCTAGGGCTATTGGCTGAGAGCTTTGGTTCTCTTCCATATGGGCCTCTCCCTGTGGCTGCTTGGGCTTCCTCAGAGTATGGCAGCTGACTTCCAAGAAGGAGTATGCACAGAAAGCAAACTGGAAGTTGCAAATCCCTTAAGGGTTAGCCTTGGAAATTATACAGCATCACCTCTGCTACATTCTATTGGTCAAAGGGGTTACAGGGCCAGTCCACATTCAAGGAGAAGGTAAACAGAATCCACCTCTTGATGTATGAGTGGTAAGATCACCTTGCAAAAGAGTGTGTGGGATGGGGGATATTATTGCAGCAGTCTTTGGAAGCACAATCTATCAAATGGACGTAGATGGGGGACTATACAATAGTATTTCTCCAAGTGCAGCAAGCCCCGCATCAGAATCATGGGAGCATTTGCTGAAAATGCAGACTGGGGCTGATTCTTGCACACTAACATTTGAGATCTGGTGAGCTGCAGAACAAAGCCCAAACTTCTTGGCCTACCACCAGTCCAGATCCTCACTTATCTTGTCTGACTTTATGCTCCAGTAACACTCGATTTCTTGGCATTCTCTTGCACATAATAAGCTATTTAACCTACAGATAGAGTTTGGATGTTTGTGCCGTCCAAATCTCATGTTGAAATGTGAGCCCTAATGTTGGAGTTGGGGCTGAGTAAGGGGTGTCTGGGTTGCAAACTGGATTGTGAACATCCTGAAGGTGGACCCCTCAGGAAAGGCTTTGTGCCCTCCCCGTGGTAATGAGTGAATCCTCGTTCTATGAGTTCATGCAAGAGCTGGTCGTTTGAAAGAGTCTGGTGCCTCCCTCACCTTTCACTTGCTCCTTCTCTCACCATTTGACATGCCTGTTTCCTCTTCGCCTTCCACCATGATTGTAAGCTTGCTGAGGCCCTTACCAGAAGCAGATGCCAGCACAATGCTTCTTGTACGGTCTGCAGAACTGTGAGCCAAAATAAACTTCTTTTCTTTATAAATTACCAGGTCTCTGGTATTCCTTTACAGCAAAGCAAAACAGATTAATATACCTACTAATCCACACCTTTGCCCATAACTGTGCCTTCTGCCTGGAATAACTTGACTCCTTTGCCTCATCAAGGATTTACTCATCTTTAAAGATTCAGTTTTATGTCACCTTTTTGGGGAAGTTTTCCTGACCTCCTCTTCTCCTATGGATTGGGGTAGGTGTTCCACATCCTGTGCAATTGTCCCCATTATAGCACTTGCCAACTTGTAATGTCATTGTTAATTTGTCTGTCCCCTTCACTGGATTGTGAACATCTTAGGCAGGGATATGTCAGATTCATCTCTGTCCTCTAAATCCTAAGTGTACTTAACTGAATTGGAAGTATGACAGTGTCACAGTGAATTCCTCTTTGGCCTAATGTTTCTTAAAGAATATGGTACTTAAAATATGCTTAAAGTTGCACTGTTTTCTTTCTGACAATTCTCAGCACAGCTAAGATGCTTGCAGCTACTTGTAACAAAATACCCAACTAAAAGTGGGTGTCTTAGTGTGCTTAGGCTGCCAAAACAAAATACCATAGACTGGGTGGCTTAAACAACAGAAATTTTCTCACAACTCTGGAGGCTGGAAAGTCCAAGATTAAGTGTCCAGCAGGGACCTAGTAAGGGCTCTGTTCCTGGCTTGCAGATGGCCACCTTCTTGCTGTGTACTCACACGGCCTTTTCTCAGTGTGTGCATGTGAGTGCATGAGATCAAGCTCTCTGGTGACCCTTCTTAAAAAGCACCAGTTCCATCAGACTAGAGCTTGGCCCTCATGACCTAATTGCCTCTCAAAGACCCCATCTCCAAATACCATCACACAGGGAATTAGGGCTTCAACATATGGACTTCAGGGGGATGAAAACATTCAGTCCATAACAGTGGGTTAACCATTTGATTTAATAATTTTAGAAAGCCAGCAACCTGCAGTCGGTGATTCTCCAGTGTGAGATAGGAGCTATTATTGTCTGGGGATCTTCCTTTCCTTCCTCCTAGCCCTCCTCACTCTGTCATCTTCTTACCCCAGGCTCACCTCCTCTTGTGCGTAAGATGGCTGTCGGGGCTTCAGGCATCATATCCTCAAAGTTCAGTTTGAAGTTATTAAGCTGGTGGGGCAGGATGGGTCTGGGATGGGCATGAGTAACTCCCTGTCTGCAGATCTGCCTTTTAACAGTGAGCAAATTGTTCCCTTTATATCTTCTTTTCCAGACCTGGGTCGCAGGCCTCCTGTCTACACCCAGAGCAATCACAGGCAAAGAGGCTTAATCACGAGCCACACACCCACTCCCAACTTAATCAGGGGTGAGGTGAGAGGGGATGAGCTGTTGGATATTCGAACCCAAACAAAATGAGCAAGGAAATAAATCTAGCCCAGAAAGCAAATGTCCTAAATGCCTCACCAAGATATTGGCTTGATGTTCATAGCAGTGATTTTTTAATCAACAGAAGTTAAATGTTACTCTTAACATAAACCATGGGCGGAAGCTCCGAGGGCGGCATCAGAACACTTGGTTGCCCTACAGATGGCAAGGGGGTGGGTTTGTGGCGGGGCGGCGGGGTGCGTATGGAGGGGGAGAGTGGAGGGAAGAATGGGGTGGGGAGGAATTGCTAAAATGCACGGAATTGCTCCTGCTTCAAGATGTCAAGACCGAGGGAGCTTGAGCTGTTCTATACCTTTTCCGGGAAGGACAACTGAGGTGGGAAATCATTTTTGATACTTGAATGTCTTCAAACTTCTTTTTACACCCCACGTCTCTGCAGTCAACCCGGTGTGACTATAGAGTGAAGCACGCTACGCATAATCCGTTTGGGGATTCCGAACCCCAGTGGCTCTGTACGCACCCAGGTCGCTGGAGCAGGAGGTCCCAGATCCCCGCTGTAAGGCTCCGTGGGCGAGCGCCCAGGTGGGGCTGGGCGAGGTGGGGGTTCCCGGCGCCGGCCCCGCGCGCCGCCCTCCCCGCCCCCGCTCCCGCCCCCCGACCCCCGCGCGCGCGGCCTTGTGGGTAACGCGGGGCCGCCAGGTGACAGCTAATGGCGGCGGCCGCCTGAGGCGGGCGGGCGGTATAGAGCGGGCGGCAGGAGGCAAGCAGCGAAACCTTCCCGGCCGCCGCTCCCGTCCCGACGGCGGCTTCCCCAAGGCGGCAGGACTCGGCGCGCCATGGACAGGCCGGCGGCGGCGGCGGCGGCGGGCTGCGAGGGCGGCGGGGGCCCGAACCCGGGGCCGGCGGGCGGCAGGAGGCCTCCTCGGGCCGCGGGGGGCGCCACCGCCGGCTCCCGGCAGCCCAGCGTGGAGACCCTGGACAGGTAAGCGGGGCCCGGGCTGCCCCGGCCTCCCGCGCCCCGACTCCCGAGGGCCCCGCGCGAGGCCAGCCCGCCCCCTCCCCGCGCGCTGCGCAGGGCCTGGCGGTGGCGGGGTGGGCGGCCCCTCTTCATCCCCTCTGGGCCCTCCTCCCCCCCACCCCCGGAAACCTCAGCGCCCCATCCGGGGACTGCTGCCCTCGGACCTGCTGCGGGCCGCGCACCTGGCTCACTTCCGCCCCGAGAGCCCCAGCTCCTGGAACCCCGGGAGGGGCTTCGCAGCTGTCAAACCACTTCCGGCGCCGCCACCTGCTGCCCTTGGCGATCGCTTGGCTGTCCCTGCCCAGGCCACCAATCCTCTTGGGAGGGAGATCCCACCCGGGCTCTCCTCTTCTAGCATCACCTTGCCTCGTGTGGTTTTAAGACCCCAATTCTGCTGTGGCTGCTTAGGGTCTTTGATGGGGGGTTGGGAGTGAGGACGGGGAGATGGGACCCCGCGGGCGTGGGAGCTGGTGCAGATCGAGGCAAAAATCTGAGATGGAAAACGTCCAAACTGCTCAGGAGGCAAGAAAACAGAACCATTTACTTTCAGTTCTTCACACTTTGAGGGAACCAGTTTATTGTTTTCATGAACACACAAGCAAGCCTACTGCTTCTGAGGCAGCTGCAGAACTAAGAGAAATCAGTTAGAAACATAAAGTGACCGTGTCGAACTGGGAGGGGCCACCGCCTCCTCCGACGACAAGAGATGGCCTATCGTGTAACCCGGAACATCCAGTTTTCCCACAACTTGGCCATTTCCCTGACACCAGAGTGCACTCAGGCAGCATGCACTGTTGGAATGTAGCTCAGTCAGTTTTACATGCCCATTCCTGCCTGTCTTGGTCATCCCATTGTGCCAAACTTTTGGGAGTTTCCAAAAGCACAGAAACAAGAAACATTCCCTTCACTTTTGTTTCTACCTCAGTGTAATTACAATATATTTTAATAAATTAATCACCCAAGTGGTTAGTGTCACTGAAAACCAGTCACAGCTAAGACAGCACTTGAAATGGTGAGGACTTCACTCATCTGCAAATATTCAACCACACACGAGGTCTGGGCGATTCAGAGAATAGCACAACACGGCTTTTGCTGCCTTACCATTTTGCTAGACTTACCATCTAGTGGAGAATACAAACCAACCAACAGTGGAAATCGAATGTGATAAATGAGATAGGTGGTAGAGGCGAACACAGAAGTACTCAGGATGGGCATGCATCAGAATCATTTAAGAAGCCAAAGGAGACCAGAATGTGTCACCCCCAAATATGCCTCATCTTCTGGTTTCCTTCAGAGATTTTGATGATCAGGGAAAGCCTGAGAAAGCTGACATTTGAGTAATGCCCCCAAAGAGGCGAGGGATCCAGCCATACAGATACCTGGGGGTGATAGTATTCTAGTCAGAGGCCTGTGCAAAGCCCCTGAGGTGAATGTGAGCCAAGTGTTCCTAGATCAGCGAGGAGACTAGGTGTCACTAGCAGGGAGGGAGCTAGGGAGAGACAAGTAAGGGATGACGTTAGAGAAGTCACAGAGCCAGATGGTGGAGAGCCTCAGAGGCCATGGGGAGCCACTGGGGACTTTGTGCAGAGGAGTGACATCATCTGTTGTAGATTTCAGTAGGCTCTCCATGGTGCTATGTGGACAATAGAGTGAAAGGGGAAGGAGCTGAAGCAGAGACTGTCAGTAGGAGGCTATTGTAGTAAGCCAAGTGAGATGGTGGTCCAGAGTGGAGCGGAGGAGGGGAGAAGTGGTCAGATACTACATGTAATTTGAAGACCTGCAGGGTAGAGCCAATGGGGTTTGCTGAAGATTGGTTGGTTGGTATGAGAGAAGAATCTGGGAGAATTCCAAAATTTTAGCTTGTGGGAAAATTGTGTTGCTGAGATGGAGAAGTCTTTCTAAGGTGGAGCAGGGTTAGAAAATAGCAGGCTCTTCGCTCTGGACATATCAATTTTGAGATGCCAATTATATGTCCCAGAATAGATGTCAAAGATATAGTTGATCTATCTGAGCCTGGAGTTCAGGGTTGTCTGGGCTGGAGATTCAAACTGGGGAGTCATGGGCTTATAGATGAGGCTTAAATTCATGAGGCAGGTGGAGTTCACAGAAGAATGATGGAGGTCTGGAAAAGGGAATTGGGCTAGGAATAGGGCTGGGTGGATTTTCAAGATGCTTACCAGGTAAGAGTGACCCGACATGGTGAGCATTCAGATGTGAGGGGGGAGTGCCGGGTGGACTCCAAGGCAAACCTCAGCTTTCTAGCGTGTGGGGGCCGGATAACTGGCTGTGCTGCGCCCTGAGTTAGGAAACACAGGAGCAGAGTAGGTTGCGGGGCTGAGCGGCTGATGCTGGTTTAGACAGGTTGAATTGGCAGGGTCTCTGGGCCAGACTAGTGGACAGGTCTTGTAGGAACATCAGCATTGAGATCAGGAGAGTCCAGGTTGGAGAAACAGAGCTGGGAGCCTCCAGCCTGTAAGTAGTTATTGACACCAGGAGTATAGAGGGCAATTGCACAGACTACAGAGAAGGGATGGGGGAGGAATCATGGCCTCCTTTCTCAGTTCTGTCAGCTCAACAAGCTCAGATTCACACTTTTCTTTGAAGAGTGACCTCTAGAATGGAACCTGGCTCTATGGGTGGGACTTGGCCATGTCCCTGGGACTATGGGGCCTTCACTTCTCTTCTGAATACTGTAATTAATAATGAGGAAGCTGTGGTCCTGTAAGAGGATGTGTCTTGCCAAAGATCATGGAGTTAGCTGGTGACAGAAGCAGGACTCATGTCCAGGCCTCCTGTCTGCTAACCCACTGTGCTTCACTGTGTGTAACTACATTGGCCAGGATGCTTCTGGTTGCAGGTGACAGAAACCACAGTTCAATCTAGCTTAAGGCAAATGAGATGCCCTGGCTCACAGAACTGCTCCAGACAGGAGGAGAGATGGCCACAGGCACAGTTGAGGTCAGGATTGCAAACAGTGTTGTCGGGACTCCCCATCTCTCTCTCCCTCTCTCTTTTATTTTCCCTCACTTTTTAATCGCTGTGAGTTCCTTAAGATGGTAGGGGTGGGGTGGGGTGGGGAGTGGCCTCCAGCAGCTCTGGATACAGATCCATGTATTTCAGGATCCAAGGGGAAAAGTCTGGGATTGGCTGGTCCTAGGTAACTCACCTACAAGTGGGAGCAGGTGGAGGAAGGGGTCAACCTTCTTCTCCGCTTTCCCCCACAGAAGCCTGTGTTGTGGGGAAGGGCAGTTCCCAAAGTAAAGAGGAAGGTCTTTATCAGAAGAAGGGGGAAGGCATGCCGGGCAGGCAGGTGGTAATAGCAGGTCACACTCATGCTCAGCAGTTGGGTTTCTGCAGTTTCTTCCTGTATTTGCAACTGGTGGGTGCTGACAGAAAAAGGCATTATGACAAGAAAAGTATGATATACGTGGGAATGAAAGTGACTTAACCTTTAAAAAGGAAACAAATCTCTCCCTTTTCTCTCCTTCTCCCCCTCAGGTCGAAATTGTGGTATATAGATTCCTGGCATGTGATAGGAATTTCTGCTCATTCAGTATTTTCAACCATACAGATAACCTCTGGTCTGTTTTGATCAGAGACTGCAATTTGGATCACTAGCACAGAACTTCAGTTTTCTTTCTTTTACTATTTGGGTCATTTTCCATATTGCCTGGGGATTCCAGGTGTTTCTGTCCTTCAGATATGTGAGTGTGGGTTTAATTAGTGATATGATTTTTTTTTTAAAGGCCTGAAACATTCTTTACAGTGAAAGCTACCTGCAAGGTAAACTTTTGTCGGTGTTTTTAGCCCTCTAGCTTGATTTCTTAGTGTTTTGCCAAATTGTGAGAGGAACCCGGCCTCTGGGGGCAATTGTTAAATCTCTTACTGCGCTAGTTGGCTTATGTGGTCTTTCAGGTCAGGTGAGTACAGCCTGACCACTTGCCAGTCGTGTGACCTTGGGCAAAACTGGACCTTAATTTTTTCATCTGTAAAATGGGTCACTGTGAGGCTGGGCAAGGCTACGTGTGTGAAAATGCTTTGATGCCTCAGAGCTCTGTGGGAGTGAAAGATGACATTTTCTTTGCATTGCTGTGTTTTCATGTAAAGCGGTTGGCTCGCATCTGTGCTGCTGGCTTCAGTGCAGTGAGTCAGTCGCTATTGGTTGTTCCATGTCCTGTTGAGGACAGCCACTTTCTCACAGGGCATGTCACCTCTGTGCCTCGATTTTCTCTCCTCAAAGACAAGTCGGCTAGTCCCTGTTCTGCCTTCTCATCACACCATGGTTGTGAGGCTCTGATATAATAAAAACCATTTGTGCTTGTAATCCCAGCACTTTGGGAGGCCAAGGCGGGTGGATCACCTGAGGTCAGGAGTTCAAGACCAGCCTGGCCAACATGGTGAAAACCCGTCTCTACTAAAAATACAAAAATTAGCCAGGCATGGTGGCATGCGCCTAAATAATCCTAGCTACTAGGGAGGCTGAGGCAGGAGAATTGCTTGAACCCAGAAGGGCAAAGTTTGCAGTGAGCCGAGATCGCGCCACTGCACTCCAGCCTGGGTGACAGAGCAAGACTCTGTCTCAAAAAAAAAAATAAATAAAAAATAAAAACCATTTGTAAGTTGTCAAAGCACTTATAGAAGTGTAAGGTATTGTTAGTACTACACAGAGAACATCATTTTTCTAGGCTGTAATTTATAAATCTCATGTTCAGCTTTACTTTTCTGAGTCACTTTGCTTCACTCAAAAGTACACTATTTTCTAGATTTAAAACTACCAACATGAAATTGATTGAATGTTTGAAAAGCCTATGCTGTAAGATAAATATTTCACATATTTCTCCCGGCTGGGTGTGGTGGCTCATGCCTGTAATCCTAGCACTTTGGGAGGCTAAGGCGGGTGGGTCACTCGAGCCCAGGAATTCGAGACTAGCCTGGGAAACATGGCAAAACCCTGTCTACACGCGCGCGCACACACACACACACACACACACACACACACACACACACACACACAAAAGCCGGGCCTGGTGGCATGTGCCTGTAGTCCCAGCTACATAGGAGGCTGAGGTGGGAGGATCACTTGAACCTGGGAGGTTGCAGTGAGCTGAGATTGCACCACTGCACTCCAGCCTGGGTGACAGAGTGAGACCCCATCTCACAAAAAAAAAAAGAAGTATTTCTTCCATATAATTTTAATAGAGTAAAATTCCATTAAATGGTAGAGAATAGTAAGCTTAACTAACACCTAGAATCTTCAACTTTGTTTGAGAAAATTGGGTGATTCATTTAAAATTAACCTGGAATCTAATCTTATTTCCTAGTTGTCAGTCGCTATTTCAGTTCTTACATAAAATGTGAAGGTAACCAAAGAGTCTAGTTAGTTCATCTAAAAAAAGAAGTGTTATCATATTCCTATTCAGTGCTAATTTTTTCACTGAGATCCTATGATATAACGTTTTGTAATCCATGCTATTTTTTTTAGTCCCACAGGATCACATGTTGAATGGTGTAAACAGCTTATAGCTGCTACAATTTCTAGTCAGATTTCAGGTTCAGTGACATCAGAAAATGTGTCCAGAGATTACAAGGTAAGCAACATTGAGTGTTTAATTCATTTTCAGTATGCTAAGTAGCCAAGAAGCTTTGCAGTTTTAATTCAAGTGAGCTGTTGGCCTTTTGATGCAACATGGCCATTTGCTCGAGAATAAGGATGAAAGGTTCTCTGTTGTTAGATCTGAAATGTAGAAGAGAAATTTTACCAGTATCCAGTACATGTAGTCATAGTTTTGTAATTGAAAGGAGAAGCTGTCTTTAGATGACAATGATTCTTTTAAAAATCAAGTTCCATTTTATAATAATAAATGCATATAGCTTCTTTGTTAGTATTGTGAGTTTCAGGAAATATCTTGATGTACAATACTTCCCTAACTTCACAATTTTTTAATTTATGTATTATCTGTGAGTATTCAGCATTAACATGTGATACTAGAATGTATAAAAACCCTTCCAGAATCTCAAAAGAGTATTGTATGGGCAGCCTCATTTTTCAGTCCTTACTGAAGTGAAAATCTCTTTTTGTTCATTTTAAAAGTTAGATTCCCTGCTTATTCTAAATTTAAGTGATAAGCTCCTTGTCAGCAGAGACTAGGGCAGTTTTACCACTGGCTTCCCAGGCACAATCCTGGAGCATAACAGTTGCTCAATAAATATTGAATCAATTAACAAATCAAAAAAATCGCTTGTTCCATCTTTGTTAAGGCTAAAGACTAACTTTGTTTTAATGTCAATAAACTATTAATAGGTATATTAAATGAAATCACATTTATATTTCAGTACTGATGTTTGCCTAAGTTGAGGTTTCTGTTTATTAGTGGTCATTTTTCCTGCTAGTAAGAGATGATTGATTTTTCACAAGTGTGTGTAAAATGCATTTGGTATCCCAGACTACCATTAGTTAATAGTCTCTCAATATCATGGTCCTTGCCAGACATCAAATCTTACAAATATCAAGAATTACAGTAAAGATCCTAATTAATTCTTAATAGGTACTCCTTGTTTAGGAGCTTTATCTTCAGTTCCTCTTTAGAGCTCATAGGGTAATAACAAGTGCAGAAACAGGCTCAGGAGGCCAATTAATTGAGATTTGGCTATGGTGCTGTCTCTTGCCTCATCCAAACTGGCAGATGCTGTTGATTATGCCTACCAAAGGAAGGCATAGCTGTGGATTAGCAGAAATTGGATAATCTGCCCAGCTAGAAGAGTGACAGTGTATTTCTTAATCATTTTTCCTGCTATGTGGTGTTCATGTTTGCCCATAAAAGAGCAGCTGGGGCTCCTGGACCTTAAAACCTGGTCGGGCAAACACACTGTCTCCAGGTGGGAGAAGCATTTGCTGCATCACTGATGCGTGAATGGCTGGTCACTGAGCAGCTGCGGATCGCATCAGTTCCAGTTGCCCTATTGCCTGCACCTTAGCTGAGAAACTGCCCGCTGAGTAGAGAGACTTAAGAACCCATTTTAGCAGAGAATAGCTCTCACACTTCGGGGTGATTTTCTTTATGGACAATTATGAGTTAACTGTAATGTTTTCATTAAGGTTGAATAGTTGTTAGTGTTGTGTGTGTCCTATAAAAGATTGAATGTCGACTGTGTGCATAGCTTTCTAACATTGCATGAATAGATCAGACTGAATCTGTACTTTAACATGAAGCAACTAAGTTTTTTCAATCTCAGTCTATTTACAAATTTTGTGTAGCTGAATTAGCTCATGTTGGAATGGTTGAACAGATGGTATTCAGAAAAAATAAGGCTTTCTTTCTTTTGGAAATTAAATTTTAAGTTCCTACATCAGATCATAGCTAAAGTCTTTGATGAATTATTGTAAGGGGGCATGTTTTATAATTGTCTTTGTTATATTTGCCCTGCAGCCAAATCTGAAAAGTTGGTGTTAAATTTATAACTCAGGGGTTGTTACACTTTCTTCAAGGAGAGTTTTTTTTTTTACATAATAAATACATAAAATATTTCTAAACCACAAGGATAATTGTACATGTTCCCTATAAAGTAGTTCTTAAAATCAGGGTAACCAAAATGGGCCTTTGGGACCCCTCTGGCATGGGAGCTATTGCATGGGGTTGACCCTGAAGAGCCAGATAAAGTTCCTTGAGGATTTAAGTTGCAGTCATCAGCTGATATTTGAAATTATCTGTTGTGTAAATGTCTTATTTGAAATACACACTTAATTTGGGGGCTAATTTATTATAGATTAAACTCAACATCAGTAATTAAATGGGAGCAGATGTTTATGTGGAGCAGAATGCTTGGCATCTTATTTGAAATGCTGATTGTCTTCTGAGTTGTAACAGGCTGTCGAGAATGGTTCTATGTCATCATCATCATCATCATCATCAACCCTCTAACACATACAGGCTCTGGGGTTTTGTAATGCTTTTTGACATGTCATCCATTTAAGCCTTAAAACAACCTAGTGAATCTGGGTGTGGTGGTCTGTAGTCTCAGCTACTTGGAAGGCTAAGATGGGAGGATCACTTGAGTCCAGGAGTTCAAGGCTGCAGTGTGCTGTGGTCACACTTGTGAAAAGCCAATGCACTCTAGCCTAGACAACATAGAGAGATCTTGCTTCTTTAAAAAAGTCCATTGAGGTAGCTATTACTACAATCATCATTTAATGGATGAGGAAACCGAGGCCTAGAGAGATGAAATGACTTGCTTAGGGTCATACAGTTAGACTTGGGATTTGAACTCAAGTCATCCTATTGAAAAGCTAGAGTGATTTTAAGATTTTGTCCCACCCCCATTCCCATCCACTGCTTTTCGATCTTTTTTTTTCTTCTTTTTCTTCTTCTTCTTTCTTTCTTTTTTTTTTTTTTATAGAGATGGGGTCTTACTACGTTTCCCAGGCTGGTCTTGAACTCCTGGGCTCGAGCGATCCTCCCATCTCGGCCTCCCAAAATGCTGGGATTAGAGGTGTGAGCCACCATACCCAGCCTCATCCACTGTTTTTCAAAATGTGACCCTTGGGTCTTCCCAAGACAGCATTCTCTGGAGCACCTGTAAAAATGCAGCTTCCCGGGCTCCATCCCAGATTTACTGAATCAGAGTGTCTGAGGGAGGGAAACAAGTGTCTCATATATTTCTTATGCATGATAAAATCTGAAAACCTAGGCTTCCTGAGTTTCTGTCTGTTGAAATTGGTGATGGGACCCTGCATTTCTGGTATATTACTAAGAATCTGAATAATTAGCAACTCAGATATTGGAGAATAATTATTTTATTATTTACTCATATCATAAATTGTCAGTCAGCCCAGGGTCAGCTCATCTAAAGTACAGTAAGAATATCGCTGGTATCACGTGACATGAGTTTAGATGGTATGTCCATGGACGTATTTTAGTAGCTATGTAATTATTTTCTTGTGTATTAGAAAAATCAGCACATCAGGCTTGTGATTTAGTAGATGTTATGGCTTAGAGCAGGCAAAGTATTAAAAAGGAATGGATTTTAAATCAATATAAAGATAAATACAAAATTAGTATGGGCAGTTGGCAGATACAGCAAGCCAAACTTGTTGAGGTGGTATGTGAAATGGCAAGTTTGGCAAGCATTGTCCCAGCTGAAAGAGTAGATAGCTATTATACTGAATTGTGTGGCAGCTAAATTAATAAATGCCTGATTTAATACCGAGTCATCCTGAAGATTGGCCTGTTAATTAAGACTATTACACAAAATGTAATAAAATATTTGTTTTGCTTGTCCCCCCTCCACTACCAACTCAATTGCTTTCATTTTTACTAGGCTAACAAATGGTAAAAAATTTCTCTTGAATTTGCCAGAAATTTTAAGAACAAAATTTGAATGTAATCTTCTGTAGATTAGATGAAATAATACAGTTACAAATGGAAACATTTTTAGGAACTATTAGTAGAAGTGACATCATTGATCACAGCTTCCATTGTTTGGAAAGTAGGACTAGGTTATGAAAAGAGAACATGATGGAGTAGTACAAACAATATTGGTTAGCTTGTGACCTTGTATAGTCTCTGAGGCTCAGTTTCCTTTTCTGGAAGGATAAAGGGGCTTGGATTAGATTATTCACCTCTAAATGCCTTTCTTGCTAGAACATTATTCAATTGTGTTCAAAAGAATTTGATCTGGGCCAGCTTTATGAAAATTAGGACACTATAGTTTTAATGTGATCATCTTCCTTCCTCTTGCTTCATCATTATCATCAGCTCTTCTCTGTTCTCCTTCCCTCACCCACACACACACAGTAGCTATATCTCTTCTCTAAACATTCTGAAGAAAAATGAGAAAATGGAGATGGCCTTATACTAAGTTTAATCATTGGATGGGATAGTACAGTAATTACATTTGGAGGGAAGTCGAAGGCAGAGTATAGGAAAGACTTCATTATGCTTGAGCTGGGTCTTGGTTAACATTTCTTAAATTGGGCCCTAGTCTATGAAAAGGGAAGCTTTAGCATGAACCTTCAAAATCTACTTCTGTAATCTATAGCCTGGCCTTGTGACTTATAAATCAGAGCTTGCAAACTCAGATGCCTTCATGGAACAGTTCACAAATCTAGGCAGACATGGAAGAGTGCTGTAGAGAACTGGAGAGTACAGAATGCCCACCTAACAGCAATTAAATTTTTTTAAAAACCATAGGCCTCCAGTTTTGTAACCACTGTAATAGATAGAAGAGTGCTATCCTATCATGGTTTTTGTGGGAAATAATTATTTCTTAAAAATGTTAAGATTTAGACTTCTGTTTCTGGAAAAAATGGAGCAAATGTATTTTCTCTTATTCTTTGTACTAAGTACAACTAAAAACCTTGGACATTATCTGCAAAATAAACATAAGAATACTCTGAAAGGTAGAAAAGGCAGACTAGCTAGGGACCTCAAGACCCAAGGAATGACATGGTTGTGAGTTTCCTGGGTTTGTTTTTGCCACGTATGTCCCAGACTCATTGCTGAAGAAACCAGTGAGTCAGAAATGCCAACAGGCGCAGATAAGAAAAGCCTACTCTGTCTAGCCAGAGGACCAGGAAAGGGGCACCTAGCAAAAAGAAAACACACTAACTACTCTACTCCAGCCAAACACCACAGAAAAAAATTATGACCCCACACCCACCCCACCAACAAAGCCAGTTGGGAGAGCCTGGTTTCCACCCTTGCCAGGCTATAATGAGGCATACCAACTCCCTGCAGTGGTGGTGGTGTCAGGGGAGACTGAGTGAAGAGTCATGACTTTCACTGTCATCTATTGGTAGGCAGGTTGCCCCTTCTACTGTGGTGTCAGTAGAGGCCGTATCAAGGGCAACAATGAGGCACCCCTTTTTCTCTCAGCCAGGGAGGTTTCTGTGGAAGCCTAGCTGGGAGCTAGAACTCTCACCCTTGCTCAGCAGTAACGAGGAGCCCTCCACTCTGCAGTGTCAGTGGAGGCTGAGTACGGAACCTGGACTCCTACCCCTACCTAGAAGTAATGAAGTAGTGCTCCTCTTCTGTTGGAGCAGTGTCAGAGAAAGCCAGCTTAAACAAAGGGTTTGAATAAGATCCAGGGTCTTAAAACATAATGCCCCAAATGTGCAGATTTTAATGAAAAATCACTTGTTATACTAAGAATGAGGAAGATCTCAAACTGAATGAAAAAAGAGAATCAAATCAACAGATGTCAAAACTGAGATGATAGAGATGTTAGATTTTAAAGAAGTCCTCATAAAATTGCTTCAATAAGCAATTGCAGGTATGCTTGAAACAAACAATGAAAAAAAAAATAGAGAAGTTTCCACAAAGAAATGTAAGAGACAAAGAAGAACCAGATGGAAATTTTAAAACTAGAAAATACAATAAATGAAATAAACTCAAAGGATAGGTTCAACACCATAATAGAGAGGACAGACAAAAAGAATCTGTGAACTTGAAAATTGAACAATAGGAATGACCCAATTTGAATAACAGAGATAAATGAACAGAGCCTCAGGGAATTGTGGGAGTATAACAAAAGATCTAACACTGATGTCGTCAAAGTCCCAAAGGAGAGAGAGGGGATGGGGCTGAAAAAGCACCTGAAGAAGTAATGGCTGGAAGCTCCCCAAATTTGGCAAAACACATAAGCCTACAGATTCAAGAAGCTGAGTGAATCCCAAATGAGAGAAATCCCTTCAAATTCACACAAAGACACATTATAGTCAAATTTCTGAAAACTGAAAACAAAGAAAAAAATATTGAAAGTAGGAAGAGAAATAACACTTTACCTATAAGGAAAATTAATTCTAATGACAGTGGATTTCTCATCAGAAACCATGAAGGTCAGAAGGAAGTGGCACAACATTTTCCAAGTGCTGAAAGAAAAAAATCAACCATGTAAAAATATGCTACAGGAATGAAGAGGAAATCAAGACATTTTCAGATGAAGGAAAACTGGAAGAGAAGTTGTCACTAGCATACCTATCCTAAAAGAATGGCTAAAGAAAGTTCTCTGAACAGAAAGGAAGCAATAAAAGGAGGAATCCTGAGACCCCAGGAAGGAAGAAAGAACACAGTAAGCAAAAAAACCTCCTAAATCTAATAAGTGAGTTTAGTGAGGTCACAGGATACAAGACAATATAGATATAAGATTAATATACAAAAGTGAGTTGCATTTCTATGTACTAGCAACACGTGGGGACCAAAATTAAAAACACAGTGCCATTGACATTAGTATTGTAACAATGAAATACTTAGGTATTGTCTTAGTCCGTTTGCTGCTGCTGTGACAGAATGCCACAGACTGGGTAATTTATAAAGAAAATAAATTTTTTACTTTCAGTTCTAGAGGCTGGGAAGTCCAAGTTTGAGGGGTGAGCATCTGGTCAGGGCCTTCCTGCTGCATCATGACATGGCAGGAGACATCACATGGCAAGATAGAGCAAACCTGCTAGCTCAGATCCGTCTTCCTATAAAGTCACCAGTCCCATCATGGAAGCCCTACCCTGATGACCATATCTAATCCCAATTACGTTCCAAAGGCCTTACCTTCAGGCAACATGAATCTGGGGATTCAGTTTCCAATACATGAAATTTAGGGGACATGTTCAAACCCCTACAGTGGCTGTACCATTTTACATTCCCTCCAACAGTACACAGAGGTTCTGATTTCTTGATGTTCTTGCCAACAGTTGTTATTTGTGATGTTTGTGGTTTTTGTTGTTGCTGTTGAGACGTAGGAGTTTTTTAATATGTTCTGGGTATTAATACCTTGCCAGAGATGTGATTTGCAAATATTTTCTTATGAAATTTTGGGGATGTATTCCAACCATAGCAAGTATAAATCTAATAAGACATGAACAGGACTCATAAGCTGAAAACTATCAAATATTGATTAAAGAAATCAAAGAAGATCTAAATTAATGGAGACACACAGTGTTGTTCATGTATTTGGATGATTCAATATAGGGAAGATGTCACTTCTCCCCTAATTGATATACACATTTAGCACAATTCCTATCAAAATCCCAGAAAGATTTTTTGTAGATACAGATTTAAAACTTATATGGAAAGGCAAAGGAACTGAAGTAGCTGAAACAATTTTGAAGAATAAAGTGGGAAGAATCAGTCTAAATGACTTCAAGACATGCTGCATAGCTACAGTAATCAAGACTATGGCAGAGGTACAGACACATAGATCAGTGGAACAGAGCAGAGAACCTAGAAGTCATCCCACAGAAATATGCTCAGCCGATTTTTTTTTTCCACCAAGACATGAAAACAATTTAATGGTTGAAAGATAGGCTTTTCAACAAATACTGCTGGAGTAATTGGACATCTATAGACAAAAAAACAAAACAAAACAAAACAAAACCTTGATCTAAGTCTCACATCTTATACAAAAATTAACTCAAAATGAATCACAAACTTAAAAATATAAAACTTTTACAGAAAAAAGAAAATCTTAAGGATCTGGGGCTAGGTAAATCATTCTTCTTAAACTTTACACCAAAAGCACAATCCATAAAAGGAAAAAATTGATCAAAATTTAAAATCTTTTGCTCTGTGAAAGACTCTGAGAAGATGAAAAGACAAGCTACAAAGTGGAAGAAAATATTTGCACACCTCATATCTGACAGATGACTAGTATTTAGAATATATAAGGAATATTTGAAACTCGACAGTAAAAACATCAAACCATCCAATTAGAAAATGAGCAAAAAACATGAGGCATCTCAACAAAGAAGATATACACATGGCAGGTAAGCACGTGAAAAGACGTTCAACATCATTTCTCAATAGGGGAATATAAATTAAAGTCACAGTGAGATATCGCTATATCCTATTGGAATGGTTAGAAATTTTTAAAAAGTGACAACACCAAATGTGGAGAACCAGATTATTCACTGATTGCTGATGGGAATATAAAATGGTACAGCCACTCTGGAAACACAGTCTGGCAGTTTCTTAAAAATGAAATGTGCACCTGCCATATGACCAAACAATTGTACTCCTGGGCATTTGTCCAAGAGAAATTAAATCTTATGTTTGCATAAAAACCTGTACCTGAATGTTTTTAACAGTTTTATTCATAATCACCGAAAACTGGAACCCACCCAGATGTTCTTCATCAGGTATATTGTTAAACAAATTGTAGTATATCCATGCTATGGACTATATTACTCAACAATAAAAAGAAATAATGATACACACAGGCAACTTGGATGAATCTTAAAGGAATTACGTGAGTAAAAAAATGGCAGTACCAAAAGGTTACATACTGTATGACTTCATTTATATGACATTCTTCAAATGGCAAAATGATAGAAATAAAGACAGATGAGTGGTTGCCAGGGGCCAAGAAGAGAGGAAAGCAGGGAGGGAGTAAGATGTGGCTATAAAAGGTCAACAGTAGAGTTCATTGTAGTGATGAAATTTTTCTGCATCTTGATTGTAATCAATGCCAATATCCTGGTTCTGATATTGTACTATAGTTTTGTAATATGCTACGACTGAGGGAATTGGGTGACTGGTACATGGAATCTGTATTATTTCTCACAACTGCATGTGGTTCTACAATGATCCCAAAATTTAAAGTTTAATTTTAAATAAGTCAAGATTTTTAGACTGCTGAATGATTCTATATTACATGTAAAAATTTGTATCATTGTATTTATAACAACTGAAAAATATAGTTATACTAAAAAAGATGTTAGAAGTTAACTATTGTGTTTCTTATGTTAGATTTATGTAACAACTGAAATATATAGTTATATTTCAGTTATATATATATAACTATTTAACAACTGAAAAATATACTAAAAAAGATGTTAGAAGTTAACTATTATGTTTCTTATAATAAATTTAGTTAACGACAAGATGATGCAGTATGCTTGCTTTCTTAAATAGATTAAGATCACTATCAACTTTTTTTGCACCTTCTCATAGGTTCTTGACATGTTTAGGAGTTGAGGGAGGGGATGTGGGGCATGTGAAAATAGTTGTGGCACAAGTTGGGGCAGCTGAGACTCATCAACTGAAAAAGGTTACTTATCCACCCCAGGTACAATTATCTTAACTGATTTAACCCTGCCAACAATCTGCAAGGGAGGTGCTCTCGACATCTCCCATTTAGAGAAGAGGAGACTAAGATTCCAAGGTGGGTGTGTGGTTCGCCTGAGGTCCTGTGGCCAGTAAGTAGGTGCTGGAGCTGGGATTTCACTCTGGAGTGTGTTCTTTTAACCACTATGCCGACTTACCTCCCTCAGCCTCAGTTTGGCAGATGTTTTCTTAAGTCTTCTAATGAGGCCTAGATACCCCGAATCCTTCGGAGTTGGGAACTGGTAGGGTCCTGGCAGTCATCCCATAGACTCCCCTCATTTTATGTGTCGAAACTGAGGCCCAGAATGCAGGCATTAGGAAGCTCTGTATCATCAGCAAGAGCTGGCTTCCAGGCCTCCTGGCTTACAACCTATTCTCCTACGGCTTCCATCAGAATCACATTTAAGAAGAAAATGAAGCTCTGTGCATGTGTCTGAAATGGCTTATTTCAGGAGAGGGACATGGTGAACCAGAGAAAACACAATAGGTATCAACTTAGAGACTTTTGGGTAAGCCTCCATTGACCTTCTCCCCTCCACCCCCATACCAGGAACACTGAGGATTTCATGGCAGTAAGTAAAGAATTATGTGAGTTTAAAAGCAGATTATCATCTCACCCCTTTGCACCCTTTTTCAAGTTAGTTTCTCGTTTTAGTGGCAAAGGCCTATTGACAAGGAGTTATAACTCCCATATATGAGGTTTGTGTTAGGCTGTTCTCACGTTGCTATAAAGAAATACCTGAGACTGGGTAATTTGTCAAGAAAAGAGGTTTACTGGGCTCACAGTTCTGCAGGTTTAACAGGAAGCATGGTGCTGGGATCTGTGTGGCTTCTGGGGAGGCCTCAGGAAGCTAACAGTCATGGTGGAAAGCAAAGGAGATGCTGACGTCTCACATGGCCAGAGTGGGAGCAAGGCAGCGGGAGGTGCCATACCCTCTTAAATAACCAGATCTCAAAAGAATTAATTCACTAGCTCAAAGACAGCGCCCAGCCATGAAAGATCCACCCCCATGACGCAAACACCTCCTACCAAGCCCCACCTCCAACACTGGGGATTAGAATCCAACATGAGATTTAGAGGGGACAACGTCCAAACTATATCAGGGTTCAATTGCACAATTTGGTTCTGCAGTGGACAATATTTTCATAAAGATTTTGTTGTGAATGTTTTTAGTTTTCAGTTTTTACTATCAATTTATAGACAAAGCATCCAAACATTAATTGTAGTTACAGAATGGAGGTTGGGAGGTAGAGAGGTGGAGGAAGGGTTAGTGGTATTGATTTCTTCAAAAAACCTGAAGGGAGTTAAGAGATATTTAACATTTGAGGGGTCAAAATAGGTTTAGGGCTGTAGTTCAAATGGTTTAATGATAGAGGCGCCATGCTGAGGCAGTATAGCAGAGTTGTTATGGGCACAAATCCAGAGCCGGACTTCCAGGGTTTAACTGCTTGCTCTGCCACCTTGAACTCAGCCAGATTACTTAAACTGTGCCTTGGTTTTCTCATCAAAACATGGGGCCAGTTATAGGTGTTTTTTTCTGTTTTTGTTGTTTTGTTTTGTTTTGTTCTGTTTTTTTGAGACAGAGTCTGGCTCTCACCCAGGCTGGAGTGCAGTGTGTGATCTCGGCTCACTGCAACCTCTGCCTCCCAAGTTCAAGTGATTTTCCTGCCTCAGCCTCCCAAGTAGGTGGGATTACAGGCTCCTGCCACCAAGCCCGGCTAATGTTTTGTATTTTTAGTAGAGACGGGTTTCACCATGTTGGTCAGGCTGGTTTCGAAATCCTGACCTCAAGTGATCCACTTGCCTCGGCCTCCCAAAGTGCTGGGATTACAGGCGTGAGCCACTGCGCCCGGCCATAATAGTTTTTATCTTATAAGGTTGTTCTGAGAATAAAATGAGTTAATACAGTGCTTAGAAGAGTATCTGAAACATAAAAATCATGAGTGTTTTTTATGATGCAGCAGCTGCTGAAGGAAAACAAAAGAACTCAAAATTAGCATTTCAATCAGCAGAGATTGGGAAGAGGGAGATAGTAGTTTGAGAGTTAATTTTCTCATCTTTTAAAATGGGAGGTTAATAGACACTTTAAAGTTGACAAATCAAGAAATGGAAGCATAACTATCACAATGGAAGCAATTCTCAGAATTAAAAATAGATCTAGTTAAGTGTGGTTATTACTGGGGAATGAAGCTCTGGGAGACTTACTGTTTTGAGTTATTACCATAAACATATACTACTTTTATTTATTATCAAATTTCTTGATGTGTAGTTAACAAATGATAAACCTCAAATATTTAAAATGTGCAATTTGATAAGCTTTGACAGAAATACACACATTTAAAGCCATCACCACAGTTGAGGTAAACATATCCATCCTCCCAAAAAAAGACACATTTAAGCTTCTCAGTCTGAATAGTCTGTGTTTAGTAACTTATGTATAGACTTTGTCTTTTAGCTATATCATCACTTAATTCAGATACCTTTTAATGACTTCAAAGATTATTTTAATGATAATACAGTGATTTTTTTGAATCTGTATCATGCGATCTTATGCATTCTGAGTGAAACCATAAAACTAGTAAGAACCTCCAGTGATTCTTTTCTGATTATTTGTTTTCATAGGACATTCAGTGGTCAGAAGATAGGATTTCAGACTTTGAAATGGGGAACAGAGATGGTTAAAATCTTCCCAGGCTATTACAACTATTTGCTTTTTAAAAATTCTGGCCATTCCCTCTGACCAGGGCTTTCTGAGTGTGTATGCTGCATGTTCAATTAGGATTCACAGGCCTCAGGCACAACAAGAATATTGTTGCTAAAATCAGTGTGCCTGCTGAATAAAGCTGGGCTTTCCCTCCTCTCCGGGAACAGCCACTTACCTCTTCCCGCGTGGAGCCCCCCTTTGGCCATGCAGCTGGTGCTGGGGCGGGGAGCGGGCACCCTCCTCTCAGTAGTGGCCACATTGGAGTCCCCAGTATGAATTGGAAATGTAATTTCAATAGAAAGCAGGTTAAGCTTTGCAGGTAACTCAGCTTTATGATACCATCAATGCAATATAGCTGAGCTGTGCTTGCTCTGGGTCCAAGGTGGGGATTTCTGTGGTTTTTTGGTTTTGTTTTCCTGGGCTGGTTTGGGCATATAACTGCCTTTTTTTTTTTTATCATTGGTTTTTGGGGAAAATGCATTCAGTATTCCAAATGGAAACTAATGAACTTTTTGAACACAGCCTGTTCACAATAACTTGTAATAGCACTTGACAGAAGGGGTTTGCGTTTAAGGTAATGTAGTTAGTCTTAGCCTAAGGGCAACATGTTTCTCCAAATCATAGACTTCCCTGAAAATTATAGGACAAATGTGTTAGGATTGATCTGATATTGAATGAAACTTAGAGGGCAAATGTGTTATGATTGATCTTGTTGGTTTTACTTAGAGGATTATGATGTTTCTTAGGGAATAGGCTGTTGAACTTAATGGCATCTTTCACAGGTCAATAGTAACATGTCCATGATGATGATATTCTGTATTTTAACTAACAGGTTTTCAGGAGGCCTGATCTAAGGGTAAGGATATTTGGCTTTCAGCGGATGGGCCTCCTACTTGTGTGTGTCTGTGCTTTATCGAACACTTAGTCTATTTAGTGTTCTTTACCTTCTCACTGGTTTTTATGAATCACTCAGATCAATTTGCTCTGCTGTGTTATAGCTTTCAGTGTTCACTAGAAACGCTTTATTTGTTACAATGTTTTCATGTGCAATAAAAGCCAATGTGTGTGAGGGCGGGATGCTAAAATTGTTACCAGTGTGCAATACTGACTTTTGTTGTACTACATGAATTATGACCAAATGGATATTCATGACTGGGGTTATAAGGCTGGGGCTACTGAGGTCTCTTTTAATCTTGTTTATTGTGTAATTCATGCTACAGAATTTAGCAACTAAAAAAAAAAAGGTTAGTTGGCTGTCCTATCTAAGTAAGATTTCAAGTCATGTTTGTGTTTGCATGTTGAATCCAAAAAAGCAGAAGTGCTAATCTTGAAGCTAAATTTAGCAAAATCAATCCCAGTTACTATTTTTTAAAATACAGATATAGTGGGTTACAGCTTATATTTTCCTCATGATTTTCCTTCCCTTTATTTCAGAACATTCATAAAGCAAGACAAAGATTGGTAATGTGCATGCATTTAACAGACATTGAAAATTAACCTATTTCTATTCAAGGAAAACAATGTGGATTTTGATAGTATAATAACTTCAGTTTAAAAGTTTTAATCTTATTGAAGCCAATGAAGTAGTACAAAAATAAGCAAGCTAAGTCTTGTTATTCTAGCTGGTTTTCCTTTGTTTAGTCTTGTTTTCATCATGTTTTCTTTTGCTTGTGGGAATCATTTTCTTTCATTGATTCACACTGTTAAATATTAGTGCTTGGCTTTACACTTGCATGAACTTTGAAATGTTGTATTTTTTGTTCATTGAGTTTTCTGTTTCTAAAAACTTAATTACTCGATTTTCTTTATATTTAAAAAATGGAAATTTCAAAAAACTGGCTGCACTGAAAAATTACACTGCCTTGAAGTATGCTAAACTATACCAACTGTGTACTAAATTCAATCTGATGATAAAATATAAAAGTACATTAAGGAGTTATTGTACTTTATTGACAAAAATGGAAGGTGGGAAATAGTAAATTCTTTTAAAGCTTTACTAGTTCTTCACTGGTTGCCTTTGTAAAAACGATAATCATTGCAACCAAAGTTTCATGAAGCAAAAATATATATAGGCTAAATTTTAATATTTTTAGCCTCGGAGACTTGATAGAATTTTAAAAAGAGATTACAATCTTGTCATCTTCAGTATTCATATTCTTTTTTACCAGCTGCTGAATAAAAAGCCCAATTTTTAAAGTTTCAAAAAATAATAGATTCTATAAAGAAATTAAGAACAGTATACCTTTAAAGGGATTGGAAAAAATTAAAGATGTGTGGCCTTTTAGCTGTTTCTTGGAAGTGCGTTGATAGAGTAATTAGAAATATTTAATATGATATTGAGTTATAAATCACAGAATTTAATTAGCAATAAGCAATAAGAAACAGACATGTATATATATGTGTGTATACACACACACACACACACACACACACATACACATATATATATAATCTCCAGCATGTGATATATGCATGTGTGCAGTGGAATTGATCCCTGAGCAATGTAATATGAATACTTACTGTGTTTAAAATACATGTCTATAAACTGCCTTTGTATTTTGGCTTGACTTTGCCCTTTACCAGTTTTCTGTGGTATGCTTTATTTTCTGTGAGCACATTATGTGCCTGTTATTTTGTTTCTTTGCTATATGCTGTCTATTGCTTGGTTTTGAAAAGACAGTACATTCTTTGAAATCCATGATGTTTGTTTGCTTTTCATTTTTCTACCCCAACACAAACACAGAATAGATACTCCATTTTAGGCTGTGGATGCTATAGATGGCCTACATGTTATTTCCTTAACTCCAAGGGGGAAAATGTTGTGATTTGCAAAGTCATGAAAGGTGTGTCGACTTTTACATGCTTACTGTCTCCTTAAAAAAGAAATTCTGTCCTTTCACCTGTCTGTTTGCACGTGTTTCTCTTTCTCCTCTTTGCCTTTTCTTGTCCATGCACCTGGTGCTGTGCAGGAGATTCAGGAAGAACACAATGGCTACCCTTCTGAAGCTGAAGCTGATCAGGTGGCAAGTTCTACGTGTTCATCTGTTTGTAGCTACAGATCGTGTATTTAGAAGCCATTTCATTCTAGACTTCTAGATAATAAGCAAAGCTTTCCAGATGCCTCTACCACAATAGTAGTGCCCTCCTGTCCAAATTTGGTAGATTCCATATGACATTATTTGCAAAAATTGGTTTATCCAACATTTTGTCAACTAGAAATTTGTTTGTCTGTGTTTCTTGGTTTGCCCAGATAGGGTTATTGATGGGGTTAATGACCCTCCATCACGGTAGGATTCTGCAGTGCCTTTACATAGACATAGAGGGGACAGATACATATGCTAAGGGTGCTCCTTGAGGGTGCACACTTTGCTTTCTTCAAATATGCATGATCTATGCCCAACACAGTACCTGGTACCATGTAGATATTTGTGGAATTGGTACATATATTAATCAGAATACAAAATTATTCATAGAGTATTCTTGAGTGCTTACTCTGCTCAGTACCTCTAGACCCTCTCTGGAGTCTTTTAAAGCTGCAGTACTTTCCCCAATGCTTATGTGAAACAAAGAGAAGAGCAGCTCCAGGGATGTGTGGCATGCCCCAGGTGCTCAGCTGCACCATTGTCCACCATCATCCAGCCCCACTCTCCTTTGGTGACCCTGGAAGCAACTTGAAGAGCCCAGTTTGAAAGCCACTGCTTTTGGCATGCAACCATTATATAAACTATCCACCTGGCGGCTTGGATTCAGGCTGAGGAGAAAAGTAGCGGAGAGGCCAGGGTTGTTGGGTGGGCTGGAGCCCTCAGGAACAAATTCAGGGAGCTGGCAGACTTCGGCTAGACCTTCAGGGTCACTGGAACAAAGTTGGGATGAGGTCATCAGAGGGAATTCCCCAGCTGGGCAACACTTTGAGCCATGGCACCAAGAGGAATGGGTGTGTTTATGAAATCAAATTTAGTTCATAAGAATATTCCATCCTTTGATTGTGCTGAACATGGGTTGGATAAATCAAGGGTCAAATCATGTCCTGTGCAACCTTGTAGTTGCAGTAAAAGCTTAATGTAGCACAAGTGTGAGTCCCTTCTCCTAACAGCAGCTTCATAAAGGGAATCTACTATACTCACCAAAGCAAACAAAAAAACCTCCAAGCTTTTAAAACTCTTCTCTTGAGTTTCTATGCTAAAGCTAAATGTGTTTCTTTTACAAAAGGAATCTCCTACGGGGAAATCTGAAGCAATTGGGTCACTTCTTTGTTTTATTCCAGTAGTTGTTCTTTTTTGCCATTTAAAAGGCATGTCCCAGATTTATCAATTAGAGGTTTGCCTTACTATGTCTCACTGACATATAAATGCACAGAAGTTTCAAGCCAAACTTGACATGACTATGGGAAGAGAAGAGAAATGCTTGATTTTCAACTTCTATCTTGAGAGCATTGTGTATTCTTAAAATGGTCCTAATCACCTCTGTCTCCTATATGCAACATTTTATTAGCTAGTCCTGGATTGAGGACTTTAAAATGTTTGATGTGGCTTGCTCTAAATAGAGAGAGTCATACCTTTCCTAAGCTCCTCCAGATTCAGTTGATTAAAGCAGCTTGCTTTAGTAATTATATTTCAAAATAATCTATTTTCACTTATTTTTAACATATAAGAAACTTAAGTCTGTATAATACATGATAATATTTAGCCATTAAAATAGGCTTTAACAACGTAACATTTGAAGTAATTTAAAACTCTGATATTGATTAAAATAGCTTTCTCACTTCATGAGATGCTATACAGTTAGTCACTAGTTCAGGCAATAAAGCAGAGTTTCAAATTAAGGCTTCTAAGATTGGAGATCTTTTAGTGTTTCTAAAACCAGACATTTATAAGTATACCTGTTAGTTTATGCTTTATTGCATAAAATATATTTCCAAAACAGATGTGAGTATAAAAATGAATCCATTAATCGTTCTCCACACCTACCCTTAATGTGTTTACTTCCAAAAAATTTTGGCAGAAAATGTCTTTAAAAACCAGTCTGGGCTAAAAATTTGAATTGAATTAACTGTTTGGAGGTAACGATGATTCCTAATCTATATTATTTTAACCATGCATCTTTGGATAAGGAGGAGGATGGACCATGTCATTTTGTGGTCTCCCAGTAGAACTAACATAGCCCTGACCAACATTTAACATTGAATTTGTTATTTATAGTTTGGCTTTCTTCCCTGTATAAAATGTGATGAAACTACTATGTGTAGTATTTCTAAATTGACCTTTAGGTCCTTTAATAAAACATAGTGAAATATTCTTGTAACTATGAAAATAATTACTATTTTGAATTTTCAATAATTTAGAATTATAAAAGACATCCATTTAAAAATATTTTGCTTTACAAAATTATGCTGAAAGCGTAGTATTATTCGACCTATTTTCCACTGAACACTAGTGGCCTCCGATGTTAACAGGTGGAAAAAGCAGTCCCGATCAAATAGGTATGAGGAATGCATTATACTGTGGCGCCCTCTTGCGGATTCGGTGTGCATTGACACACTAAAGATGTCTCACTAAAAAAAGCAAATGAGGCCGGGCGCGGTGGCTCACGCCTGTAATCCCAGCACTTTGGGAGGCTGAGGTGGGCGGATCACCAGGTCAAGAGATGGAGACCATCCTGGCCAACAATGTGAAACCCCTGTCTCTACTAAAAGTACAAAAATTAGCCGGGCGTGGTGGTGTGCGCCTGTAGTCCCAGCTACTCGGGAGGCTGAGGCAGGAGAATTGCTTGAACCCGGGAGGCAGAGGTTGCAGAGAGCTGAGATTGTGCCACTGCACTCTAGCCTGGCGACAGAGCGAGACTCCATCTCAAAAAAAAAAAAAAAAAAAAAAAAAGGAGAAGAAAAAAAGCAGCTGAACTTGTTTTGCTTAACCCAGCATTTCCCAAACTTTTATTTATTTATTTATTTTTTAAGACCTATTCACATCTCTTGGGAAAGTAATGCTCTATGAAATACAGCTTTGGAATTGCTGGGGGTTCTGATCACCTTATTCTTATTCATGACACATTATGTCAGAGATGCCAAGGAGAAAGTGACTGGTTTCCTTGGCAGCGTCTCACAGGGTGGCGGTACCTTGGAATAGACCCCGAGTTCAGGCTTTGGTCCCTAGCTTTGTAGTTCAAGAACACCATTTTCTCACCTCCCCTCAATTATCTGGCACTATCCAACCAAGCTCACAAGGGAGTGGCTACTGGGCTGCAGTGCCAATCTGCTAATTTAAAAACGTGGGCGTGTATTTTTCTGGCCATCTAAGGTATCCTTTTCCTAGCATCATTGTAGCCAGGAAACCTAGTAAATCATTAGCAATTTGCTTGGTGAGTATGAAATTACTGCAAAGTAAATTGTCTTGAGACATGCCTGACGAAAACACCCTGCTCCGCAGCAGGGATTGGAATACTGTTGCCTGCCAGATGAGAGCACACTCTCTCATGGCCTGGATTGGGTGAACACTGACAACTTCACTCTTCATGTCCCTGGTCATACGCTTTGTGCATGCATGTCCGTGTGCACGAGCACACACAGACACACACACACACACATAGCTGGGCTGCAGTAGCAAAGCCTAGGCCTTTCCTTAGTTGTGTACTGTACCGAGACTGTTCTCCGGTTATTTTCATTAGACTTCTGGCCTTCCCAAACTTTCTCTTAGGCTGGGTCATTTCTCCAGTTAGCTAAGCACCTATAGCTCATGTTGGTTTCATTTGTATTAGTTTCATGCTCAGAAGGTAACCTTTTTCTGGCCTTATTTGCAAATTCTAGAGACACCTTTTAATAGCTATCTGTGTAGTGATTACAGTATCTTTCTGTCATGTCAAGCCATTTCTGTATTAATGCTTCCTAACTGTGAAATTTAAATATGTTGTAACAATTTGCTAGAATATGCAGCATGGTGTCTTGTGATGCTAAGCTTTTAAGTTGTCTTTGAAGGGGTTGGGTGCTTATTTTGCACGCTTCTGTAGCCTTATAGTGACATCACAGAACACCGAAATTCTTCACAGGTATACGGAAAGTGAGATTTACTCCCGTTTGGTGTCCTTTTTTTTTTTTTTTTTTTTTTTTTTTTTTTTTTTGCCAGGCTCTAAGGGATGGAAATAAGCTGGCACAGATGGAAGAGGCTCCACTTTTCCCAGGAGAATCAATTAAAGCCATTGGTAAGTTTAGTGTGTACACTTCGCTTTTTGAGATCCATAAAATGAAATGGCACTTAATTTGCAAGTGGAGGTGATGTATGTGCTGGAGATCCGCCAGACCAACTTAATTAGGGGACAAATGGACTAGATCTATTCATCCTCATTAGTGTCATCATGACCTAAGAGATAGAAGACTGCAGAGGATCCCGTTAAGTTCCAATTGAGTATTTGATGGCGTTCCCAACAGAAGAGGGGCCTGACTTTTCCTGGTGAACTGAAAGCTGATTAGACACTCAGTGTAATGTCAGTTCACTGCTTTGTTGGAATCCTTCAGTATAAGGAAAATATAGGAGACCTATATCATGTTTTAATAACAGTTTTGAGAACTCAGCAAAGAAATTTTAGTGGTTTATCAGATCCCAAAAAGTACAATTTTGGTGCATGGCAAGGGCTTGTGTTGCCATCCTGGCTTTTAAAGGTGATGGCATGAGGCCTCCCATATCCCTCCATGGTGTACTGCCAGGCCTTTCAGGGAGTAGTTGATTGTGCCATGGGTGGATGGGAGGGGCAGCTGGATGCGATCCGTTCATCTCATCACTTGGTTGGGTTGGACAGTCTGGTTTTCTAGACTGTTTCCTTCTTCCATCATGGCTTTCTCCCAAAGAGGCGCACTCAGTCTCAGAGTATAGTCATCTTGTGCCAAGAATATTTGAGTAGCGGGGCTCTCCCACCAGATCCTCCAATCAATTATTGCTGCTGAATATCCTAGTCTGTGTCTGTGGACCATGCTTATCTTGTCCTTGGTTTTGAAATTCTTTATTTCCTTGGGTTCTAGGACTTCATTCTATCCTGGCAGTCCTCTGGACTCTTTGTTCCTTCTCTGGGCGTTCTTCTAGCTCTGCCCTCATACTGTTTTCTTAATGATCTGTTTAAAATGCAGAGGTAATTATGTCATGCCCCTGCTTCTTCTTCAGACAGTAAACAACACAGGCGTAAAATGTAAAATGTGAAGAGGTTGTTTTTCACTTTAGTTTTATAATTTGTCAGTGAGTCAAAGTGAGCTCAGAAAAGATTAGAGCTCATGTAGGTGATTGACAACTTTGCACATCAGATACATATTTTGAATGAGCAGGGAGCGTTATAAAAGCTTGGATTGCAAGCTCACAGTTGTTGTAGTAAGAAGAGAAGGCTTCAGTGGATTTAGCTGCGGTCCTGGTGCTCTTTCTCTCCCATTTTCTTTTCCTTTCACTCTGGAAACAGAGCTCAGAGAGAGAGAAACTCCTGCCTGGCCCCACTCCAATACGAATTATTGGAAATATCTTAGAGTTAGATCTTAAGGACATCTGCAAATCCTTAAGTGATGTAAATATGCTTTATGCTCCTCTGGTGGCTTGCAAAGGGTAAGTAAATTGACCCTCTACTTTTTAATAAAATATATTCCTGGAGGCAAACTATTTAAATAGGTCATTGTGAAGTAAAATACTCCGTCTAAAGTATTACTTCAGTTTGTCATTGTCAGAATGTGAAGAGTTTTGACACGGTGTACACCTGAGAAACCATCATTCACAGTCAAGGTAACAAACATATCCATCACCTCCCAGTTTTCGTTTCCTTATTCCCCTTTATAATCCCTACTTCCTCTGCCTTCTCCGCCATCCCCAAGCACTATAGGCTAGCTTATGTTTTATGGAAATATAATCATAGAGTATGTTCTTTTTTTGTCTAGCTTCTTCAAATCAAATAATTATTTTGATATCCATATTGTGGCATGAGTTAACAGTCATTCTTTTTTATTGCTGGATAGAATTCCATTATATGGCTACATGACAGTTTGCTTATCCATTCATCTGTTGGTGGATATTTGGGTTGTTTCTACTGTTCGGCTGTTACAAATAAAGCTGCTGTGAACACTAATGTACAAGTCTGTATGAGCATACCTTTTCTTTTCTCCTGAGTAAATACCTAATAGATAAGTGGCTAGATCATATGATAGCTATACAGTTTCTTTAAAAAACTGCTAATGTGTTTTCTAAGTGGTCGTACCAGTATACATTTCTAGTAGCCGTATATGAGCATTCCAGTTTTTCCCTTCCAATTTGAATGCCTTTTATTTCTTTTTCTTACCCTATTACTCTTGATTGAACCTCCAGTATAATGTTAAAGAGAAGAAGTGAGAGTGGACATTCTTGTCTTCTTTCTGATCTTGGGAAAGCTTTCAGTCTTTCACCATGAAATATAATGTTAGCTGCAGGTTTTTACTATAGGTGCCCTTTATCATGTTGAGGGAGTTCCTTTCTATTCCTAGTTTGCTGTGAGTTTTCATCAGGAATTGATGTTAGATTTTCTCAAATGCTCTTTCTGCATTGATTGATGTAACCATGATTTTTCTTCTTTAACCTATAGTATCCTGGGTTACGTCAATTAATTTTTGATTGTTAAATCAACCTTGCATTCCCAGGATAAACTCAGCTTGCTTATTATGTAGTATCCATTTTATAAATTTTTGGATTTGGTTTATTAAAAGTTTGTTTAGAAGTTTTACGTCAATATTCATTTATGAAAGATATTGGTCTGTAATTTTCTTGTAATTGCTTTGTCAGGTTTTGGTATCAGAGTAAAGCTGGCTTCATAGAATGAATTGAGAATTATTCTCTTCCTTAGTTTTCCGGGATAGCTTATTTCTTACTTAAATATCTGGTAGAGTTTACCAGTGAAGCTGCTTGGACTTTGCGTTTCTTTTGTGCGAAGGTTTTTAACTACAAATTTAATTTATTTAGTAGTTATATGACTGTTTAGACTGTGGTTTTCTTTTGGGTAAGCTTTGGTAGTTTATGTCTTTCCAGGATTTTGTCCATTTAATCCAAGTTGTCAAATGATTGTCATAAAGTCATTTGTCATATTTCCTTACTCTTTAATATCTGTAGAATTTGCAGTGACATCTTTCTCATTTCTGATATTATTAATGTGCATGTCTTCTCTTTTTTGTTTTTCTCATCTGGCTAGAGGTTTATTGATTTTATTGATCTTCTCCAAGAGTCAGCTTTTGGTTTTATTATTTTCTTTGTTTTCTGTTTCATTGATTTCCACTCTGATCTTTATTATTTCCTTTCTTCTGCTTACTTTGGGTTTAATTCACTCTTTTTGTAGCTTTTGAGGTGGAAACTGTGGTCATTTATTTGAGATTTTTGTTATTTTCTAGTATAGGCATTTAGATTTTCCTCCCACTGCTACTTTAGCAGCATTTCATCAATTATGACCTTGTGTTTTTATTTGCATTCAGATCAAAATGCTTTTGAATTCCCCTTTTGATTTCTTCTTTGACCCTTGAGTTATTTAGGAGTGTGTCGTTTAATTTCCATATATTTGTGAATTTCCCAAATTTTCTTCGATTATTGAGTTCTACCTTCATTCCTTTGTGTTAAGAAAACATGCTTTTTATAACTTGAATATTTTTATGTTCATCAAGGCTCATATTATGTCCCAGAATATGCCCTGTCTTGGTAAATGTTCTACATGCAGTTGAAAAGAATGTGTTTTCTGCTGTTGTTGAGTAGACTGTTCTATAAATGTCAATTAGATTTTGTCGATCTGTATTCTTAGCCATTTTCTGTCTATTTCTACCAATTGTAGAGAGAGAGGTTTTGAAATCTCTGACCATAATGGTGGATGTGTCAGTTTCTCCTTGCAGTTCTATTAGTTTTGCTTTATGTATTTTGAAGCTGTTATTAGATACATACATGTTTAGGATTCTTACATCCTCCTGACGAATTGACCTCGTTATTATCATGAAATGACCTTCTTTATTCTTGGTAATATTCTTTGCTCTGAAATCTACTTTGTCTGATATTATTATAGACATTATAGCTTTTAAAAAATTTTACTAACATGATATACCTATTTTCATCCTTTGAATTTCAAACTATTTGTGTCTTTATATTTAAGGTGAGTTTCTTTTAGGCCACATATAGTTGGTTCTTTCTTTTGTCTCCAAACTGACAATCTCTGCCTTCTAATTGGGGTGTTTAGATCATTTACATTTTATATAATCAGTAATATAATTAGGTTTAAATCCACTATCTTGATAATTGGTTTTTATTAGTCTCATTTATTCTTTGTTCTTTTTTCCCTCTTTTTATGGTTGAATTGAGTACTTTTGTTTTAAACTTTTTTTATTTTATTATTATTATTATACTTTAAGTTTTAGGGTACATGTGCACAATGTGCAGGTTAGTTACATATGTATACATGTGCCATGCTGGTGTGCTGCACCCATTAACTCGTCATTTAGCATTAGGTATATCTCCTAATGCTATCCCTCCCCCTTCCCCCCACCCCACAACAGTCCCCAGAGTGTGATGTTCCCCTTCCTGTGTCCATGTGTTCTCATTGTTCAATTCCCATCTATGAGTGAGAACATACGGTGTTTGGTTTTTTGTCCTTGTGATAGTTTACTGAGAATGATGATTTCCAATTTCATCCATGTCCCTACAAAGGACATGAACTCATCCTTTTTTTATGGCTGCATAGTATTCCATGGTGTATATGTGCCACATTTTCTTGATCCAGTCTATCATTGTTGGACATTTGGGTTGGTTCCAAATCTTTGCTATTGTGAATAGTGCCGCAATAAACATAACGTGTGCATGTGTCTTTATAGCAGCATGATTTATAGTCCTTTGGGTATGTACCCAGTAATGGGATGGCTGGGTCAAATGGTATTTCTAGTTCTAGATCCCTGAGGAATCGCCACACTGACTTCCACAATGGTTGAACTAGTTTACAGTCCCACCAACAGTGTAAAAGTGTTCCTATTTCTCCACATCCTCTCCAGCACCTGTTGTTTCCTGACTTTTTAATGATTGCCATTCTAACTGGTGTGAGATGGTATCTCATTGTGGTTTTGATTTGCATTTCTCTGATGGCCCTATTTTAGGTACATGTGCATATAGGTAAACTTGTGTCATGGTAATTTGTTGTACAGATTATTTTATTACCCAGATACTAGGCCTAGAACCTAGTAGATATTTTTTCTGATCCTCTCCCTCCTCCCAACCTTCACCTTCAAGTAGGCCCCAATGTCTGTTGTTCCCTTCTTTGCGTCTGTGTCTGTGTTCTCATCATTTAGCTCCCACTTATAAGTGAGAACCTACAGTATTTGGTTTTCTGTTCCTGTGTTAGTTTGCTAAGGATGATGGCCTCCAGCTCTATCCATGTTCCTGCAGAGGACATGATCTCGTCCTTTTTTATGGCTGCAAAATTCCGTGGTGTATATATACCATATTTTATTTATCCAATCTGGCATTGATGGGCATTTAGATTGATTCCATGACTTTGCTATTGTGAATAGTGCTGCAGCAGACATACACGTGAGTGTGTCTTTATGGTAGAATAATTTATATTCCTTTGGGCATATACCTAGTAATGGGATTGCTGGGTCAAATGGTAGTTCTATTTTTAGCTCCTTGAGGAATCACCACACTGCTTTCCACAACGGTTGAACTAATTTACACTCCTACCAACAGTGTGTAAGCATTCCCTTTTCTCTGCAACCTCATCATCTCTTATTTTTTTTTTTTACTTTTTAATATGATAATAGCCATTCTGATTGGTGTGAGATGGTATCTCATTGTGGTTTTGATTTTCATTTCTCTAATGTTCAGTGATACTGAGCTTTTTTTTCATATGCTTATTGGCTGCATGTATGTCTTCTTTTGAAAAGTATCTATTCTTGTCCTTTGCCCACTTTTTAATGGGGTTGTTTGTGTTTTTTCTTGTAAATTTGTTAAATTCCTTATAGATGCTGGATATTAGACCTTTGTCAGATGCATAGTTTGCAAATATTTTCTCCCATTCTGTAGGCTGTTTACTTTGTTGATAGTTTCTTTTGCTGTGCGGAAGCTCTTTAGTTTCATTAGATTCCATTTGTCAACTTTTGCTTTTATTGTGATTGCTTTTGGCATCTTTATCATGAAATCTTTGCCAGTTCCTATGTCCAGAATGGTACTGCCTAGGTTGTCTTCCAGGGTTTTTACAGATTTGGGTTATACATTTAGGTCTCTAATCCATCTTGAATTGATTTTTGTATATGGTGTAAGGAAGGGATCCAGTTTCAGTCATCTGCATATAGCTAGCTAATTATCCCAGCACCATTTGTTGAATAAGGAATTCTTTCCCTATTGCTTGCTTTTGTTGAAGATCAGAGGGTTGTAGGTGTGCACCCTTATTTCTGGGCGCTCTATTCTGTTCCACTTGTCTATGTGTGTCTGTTTTTGTACCAGTACCATGCTGTTTTGGTTACTGTGGGCCTGTAGTATAGTTTGAAGTCTGGTAACATGATGCCTCCAGCTTTGTTCTTTTTGCTTAGGATTGCCTTGGCTATTCTTTTTGGTTCCATATGAATTTTTAAATAGTTTTTTTCTAGTTCTGGGAATGTCATTGGTAGTTTGATAGGAATGGCATTGAATCTATAAATTGCTTTGGGCAGTATGGCCATTTTCACGATATTGATTGTTCCTATCCATGAGCATGGAATGTGTTTCCATTTGTTTATGTCATCTCTAATTTCTTCGAGCAGTATTTTGTAATTCTCATTGTACAGATCTTTCACCTCCCTGGGTAGCCATATTCCTAGGTATTTTATTCTTTTTGTGGCTATTGTGAATGGGATTGCATTCCTGATTTGGCTGTTGGCCTGGCTGTTGTTAGTGTATAGGAATGCTAGTGATTTTTGTATGCTGATTTTGTATCCTGAAACTTTATCAAAGTTGTTTATCAGCTGAAGGAGCTTTTGGGTCGAGACTATGGGGTTTTTACTTTTTAGAATTCTATTTTATGTCCTGTGATTGCATATTAGCTATAATTGTTTGTTTTGTTATGTAACTAGTTATTTTACATCTTTATGTCTACCTTCAAATGATTGTATGCTGCTTCATGTACAGGATAAGAACCTTATAGTAGTATACTCCCATTTGTCCCCTCCTACCCTTTATGCTGTTGTTGTCATCCATTTTACTTTTACATATGTTATAAACCCCACAATATATTGTTTTTGTTTTTGTTTAAACAGTTATCTTTTAAGGATAATGATAATAATGCCTTAGTCTCCTACAGAAGCACTTGCCAATCCACTCCCTGCCAACTTCTCTGGCCTCATATTCGACTGTCCTCACTGCACCCATTGATCCAGGCATACTAACCTCTAACAACTTATCACTGTGCCCTTCCTCCCTTCCTTCTCTTACTCCCCCTACCCACTTTCCTATTGAGTTAAGTTGATCCTTTTCTGAACTTCCATTGTAATACTTTGTGTCCACATTGTTATTTTAGCTTTTGTCAACCTCTAGTGCAGGGATCCCCAACCCATGGGCCGTGGATCAGCACTGGTCCATGGCCTGTTAGGAACGGGGCTGCACAGCAGGAGGTGAGCAGCGGGCTAGTGAGCATTATCGCCTGAGCTCCGTCTCCTGTCGGATCAGCGGTGGCATTAGATTCTCACAGGAGCGTGAACCCTGTTGTGAATTGCGCATGTGAGGAATCTAGGTTGTATGTTCCTTATGAGGGTCTAATGCCTGATAATCTGAGGTGAAACAGTTTCATCCTGAAACCATCCCCCTACCTCTGCCCTGGTCCATGGAACAGTTGTCTTCCATGAAACCAGTCCCTGGTGCCGAAAAGGTTGGGGACCTCTGCTCTAGTATAATGGCGATTTTTCTGTGTGGTATCTCTCACAGGTCATGGGCTGCTCATGGACAGGAACTTCTTCCAATTATACCCAGAATCCCAGCAATAGAAGGCTCTCAGTACATAAGGAGTATAGAAAAGTTCAATGGAAGTATTCTGAGAATTTGGTTCAATGACGTTAATGCCTTTTGTTGTCTCACTTGGACTCATATATAGCTATGTATATTCTTGTCATTCCAGTGGAATGGCACTTTGGGAAAACATGAAGATGTGGTATCTTTGTGATAGAAGTGAGCTTCTTAACACTAATGGGAATTAAATATGTCACGCACTTAATAGATATTGACAAAAAATTAAAACTGATAAGGGGATAAGGAATTTGAAATAAGTCTTTTTCCATTTCATTGATGTGGTTCTAGGTTTTGTCTTCTGTAAAAAGAGTTTCCTTTGGAGATGCATTAGGAGACAATCTTTAGTTTTCATTAGTTTTAAGTAGCAGTAATTCATGAAACAGTAGCCCAGGGTTTTCAGAGTTTAATTAATGTTTTGAATATGATTAATTTATCACCCAGGGAAAATGTTAACTACCTAGGAAAAATGACAGAATATAACTTCTTATGAGGCCCTTTACTTAAAACCTCATTAAGTAGCAAATCAGAATTTTGTTTTAAAAAATTGAAATTTATTAGAAGACTATGCATCTCTCTATATTGAAAGTCATAATTGATATAATCCTATAAAATACAAAATTCCTGGAAAACTGGAATCACAAATATATATTTGGAAAACTCGTGTTAAGTTTTATGGAAGCACAAGTCTATGGCAGTAGTTGCTACTTTGGCCTTTTTCTTTCAGTGAAAGATGTCATGTATATCTGCCCATTTATGGGAGCAGTGAGTGGAACCCTGACAGTGACGGACTTTAAGCTGTACTTCAAAAATGTCGAGAGGGTGAGTTTTTTAAAGTGTGTTTTATTTTAAAAGAAACACTTTTAAAAGAACACTAAAAGAAGAAAGTAAAAAGTCCCCTGAAATCCCATTACCCTGAGATAACCACAGGTTGGATTTTGAGATGCACACATTTGCAAACAGATGTTTGTATCTTGAAAACAAAGGCTGTTAAAGTACCGCTTAAACCTGGAGGGGAAATTCCATTGTTGTCTCAATATATATTTCACAAGGAATGCTGTCAATCAGACTTCAATTTAGCTGGGACAAAGAGGAAATGCGAAGTAAACAAACATGTTTTGTAACCCAGCAAAGACTTAAAATATGAAAACTGTTGACTGACACTAATAGGCATTGATCTTAATTTTTGAACCTAGGACCCGCATTTTATCCTTGATGTTCCCCTTGGAGTGATCAGCAGAGTGGAGAAGATTGGAGCACAGAGCCATGGAGACAATTCCTGTGGTATAGAGATAGTGTGCAAGGTATAATAGAAACGCCAAGTGAAAACTAAAAGAGGGCAATCAGCTCTGAACTTTTTCTCCCTCAGTCTCTTCATGGTCTTTGGACAGTAGAATAATTTGTACTGCTAGTAACTCAAATGTTTTCGGGATAGCAACCTCTTCAAATCTCATATCGAATTTAAACTATTATGTAACCCTTTGAAGTAAACCTTTTCCATCGAAGTCCAATTGTCCCTTGGTATCGGTGGGGGATTGATTCCAGGACCTCTGCCTCAGATACCCAAATCCATGGATGTCCAAGTCCTTTATGTCAAATGATGTAGTATTTGCATATAACCTAAGAACATTCTCCCATATACTTTAAATCATCTGTATATTGCTTATAATAACTAATACAGTGTAAACACTATGTAAATAGTTGTTATACTGTATTGTTTAGGGAATAATGACAAGAAAAAATGTCTGTGCATGTTCAGCACAAATGCAACCATCCTTTTAAAAAATATTTTCCATCTGCAGTTGTTCGAATCCTCCAATGTGGAACCCATGGATAGGAAGGGCTGACTGTATTTCTAATTAACGTGGACCTATAACCTAAGTGATTGTTTGTCACATCTCAGAGAAGTCAAGTGAAAAGCAGAGACCAATACATTTCCCCAGTTTGTTGTTTTAAGACTACGTTCAGAACAATGTGGATGGTCAGAGACTTCCTAAAGGGACAGCAGTGGCCCATAAATTCTGTGATTAAAAATGAGATTAAGTTTCTTGGCTATCTTGGAATTTTTATGTTGAGCTGGGCTTATTTGTTTATTTTGTACCCTTCTTCTAATAATTTAAGTAGAAATGTGTGTGATAACTTTAATCACGAAGTCATGTAGGACCCACTCCTAATTGATGTATTTTATTCCCAGTGACTTGACTTTGGTAATGTTTACCAAAAACCCTACCTGAAGTACCAGAAAAGAGATCCTGCCTGCAGGATCATCAGCGCCCCTTCCAAATTTTGGGTTAGGATTCCTTACAATCTATTTATTTTGATTCAATCTCTGAAGATAGCTCCCTCTGGTTGGTCCTAGACTGCGTTCAAAACCATTTTTTTTTTTTCCAAAGAACCCTTTACTCTTCCAGATCATGAATCTGTTGGCTTACTAAACTCACTTTAGTCACTCCCTGACAACTGTCCTTCTCAGGCAGGGTTCCCCATATGGAACAATGGCAAGCAGAGGGGTGACTTGATCGGTTCTGCAATTTTGAAACATGTCGTCCCCTTTCTCATGACGCTTGAGTATCTTCCCATTATCCTTAGACTAAAAGAAAAACTCTCCTTACAAGACTGCTCTGCCTGACCCACTTTCCTCTGCAGCTTGGTCTCGAACTGCCCTCCTCTCATTCTGGCCATCCCAGTCACATGGGCTTTCCTTTGGTGGTTCATACTTGACACACCCACCCACACACACACACACACACACACACACATCCCAGAATCTTTGCATGTGCTCTTTCCTTAGCTTGTAAGCAATCTTAAATAGCAAGTCAGCTCAGTCAGCCACCAAGGTGTATGTGTGTAGCCATGTAGCTTAGAGGGAGGGCATGTCAGGAAATTATGTTGCTTAGGCAGGCATCCTGGGGCTCTTTTACTAAGATATTTTTATGGCTGGGGTGAGCATTTGCTAACAACTGCTTTAAATGTTCTCTAACCTAGATTACTAAGGTAATGCTCCCAGCCTTCTCAGATCATGCCTAAGAGCTTTACAAGGTGTGGGGTTTATTTTTTAACAGGTGATATACAATTCAAAAGATACAAAAGCTGTGTATAGTAAAAAATCAGTCTCCTTCCACCCACCACCCTGCCACCCTGTTCCACTCATTTCAGGCACCCACTGTGGCCGATTTCTAATGTAACCCTCCACAGATAGCCTATGCACATGAGAATGTATGTATAGTCCTTCTTTGAAAACATAAGTGGGGCCAGGCGCAGTGGCTCATGCCTGTAATCCCAGCACTTTGGAAGGCCGAGGCAGTTGGATTACGTGAGGTCAGGAGTTTGAGACCAGCCTGACCAACATAGTGAAACCTTGTCTCTACTAAAAATGCAAAAATTAGCCGGTAGTGGTGGTGGGTGCCTGTAATCCCAGCTACTCGGGAGGCTGAGGCAGGAGAATTGCTTGAACCAGGGAGGCGGAGGTTGCAATGAGTGGAGACTGTGCCGTTGGAGCAGGATAAAGTATAAAAGGAGAAATGAATTAAAAAAAAATAATTTCCTTATTTATGGCACGGTATCTGGCTTATAGGTGCCTGATGTATGTTGAATAACCGAGTTTTGCTAATTGTTTAACAGGATATGAGGAACTTGCGGCTTGCTTATAAACAGGAAGAACAGAGTAAACTAGGGATATTTGAAAACCTCAACAAACATGCATTTCCTCTTTCTAACGGACAGGTAAATACACCAGAGTAAACCTTTTCTGCATGCATTTGTGGGGGTCCAAATATCCTATGTTTAATTATTCCTTTTTCCAGAGGTTTTTTTTTTTCCTCTCTTTTTTCCTCTGTTGGTGACTAATATTAGAATATTTGAAATTTGTCAGTTCTGGGTAATGCTTAAGAAAAGCTGCTACTTTGTTGCTGTAAAATTTACAGACTAAAATAGGAATCTTAATACACTCAGCTCATATTAGAATGAAAAGCTTTAATATTGGGTATATGATATAAAAAGAAATAGTAACATATGTGTTTTGTGGTTTTTGTGTCCAGGCACTATTTGCATTCAGCTATAAAGAAAAATTTCCAATTAATGGCTGGAAAGTTTATGATCCAGTATCTGAATATAAGAGACAGGTAAAGTATATTGCTTATCAAACTGAAAATAATAGGTTGAGCATCTTTTTCTCTTCTAAAAGGTTAGAAATGATGTGGTGGAGAAGAAACTTTTTCGAACAAGTTATGCACAGGTTTAACTGCTAGCTTATAGGTTCTCCATCTTTCCTTGATTCTCTCTTCTCCCTGTGCCAAACCTTAGACTTTGTCATGTTTGTTCATCCTGTTTCCAGAGGGTGAGTGGGACTCAAGGACAAGGACGGGTTTAAAAACCAAATTTGCCAGATGGTTTTTATTAGATGTTCTGGTAAAGAATTGATGAGTAAGGATCCAAACCACTGACTACAGTTAGATTCGAAGCATGTGGTGTGACTACATCTGTCTGATCCAGTGTTCCCGGGTCTGGGAACTCTTCAGTGCATTGTCAGCTTCAAATTATTCCACTAAGATCTTATTTTCATGACGTTTGTTTCATGACGTTGTCTCTACCTTATATTTGGTATAATGTTTTACGTTACTTATTTTAGACATTCGTAAGAGGTATCTGTGTTTCTAAAGGACTTTTGAGTATATTCTCAAAAATAACAGAGCTCATTATTTATAGAAAATAGGACAAGAAATATATAGAAATGTGATTCTAGCGTATAATTTTCATGTTTTAGTATGGTTTGGATATTCTTATGCTTCTTTAGATTTTTAGAAATGTCTAGGAAATGGGTTTTACCGAATAAATATATATATTGACTTTTAAGTTACAATAAACAATAAATTATAAACGGATTTTAGTTGCAAATAAGAAATGGATGTACTTCATGCTTAGTACTTTTTCAAAGTGTAAAGTCATGCATTTCACCCTCTTCTTCTTTCTCCAACACCTTACAGGGCTTGCCAAATGAGAGTTGGAAAATATCCAAAATAAACAGTAATTATGAGTTCTGTGACACCTACCCTGCCATCATTGTTGTGCCAACTAGTGTAAAAGATGATGACCTTTCAAAAGTGGCAGCTTTTCGAGCAAAAGGCAGAGTCCCTGTAAGTAATAAACATTGTCATTTATATAGGAATATATATTGCGTTAGATCTAATATGGAGAGATTTAAGACAAAAAAGAAACTAGTGAACAAAAATGGAAAGCAGAAAAATAAGCTTATAAACCTGAACATACCTTTGATTCTCAACAAATACCTAATTATATAAACAATCTGTTTGCTATGACTCCCTCTTTTACGATTTCCTATAACTAAGTATAAGGGGAACTTCAGTCATACCCTCAAAAAGTAGTAGAGAATGACAAAGGAGTAGCAACAACAAGTTATCATGCTATTGTATTACCAGTTGGCATTGCTGGTTTCACTGAATCATCCTAGAGAAAATGCTTCTTTCTTAGATACTGAGCATGATGCCATAGCTGCGTGGGAGGGACATCATTACAGAAGTAGTAGCAGACAGCTGGGAGTAATGGTTTGAGCCCAGAGTTTGCATCTGTTGTAATCCTGAGTCACTTGGCCACTGGAGGAAAATGAGAGGTGGGGTGGCAGAGTGTCAGATTTTATAAGAGACTGTATATTCACTTTGTCCTTACCCTGCCACGTATATTATTGTTGAGATACAAAGATGTTTTTAAAATTAGGAGACAAGGTAAAATTAGTCAATCAAATTGGAATGGGGCTAGATTTTAGTAATAGTTTGATTTAGGATTTGTTTTTCTTAGAATCATAGAATATTGGGGATGGAAGGGGATTTTTAGAGCTCATGTAGTCAGAATTGTTTCATCCTGACCAAAACATTGAGTCTGATGGCCACTACAATGCTGTGATTGGCCTGCCCACTCTCACTTTTGAAGAAAATATGTATAAGAGACCGTGCTTGAGAAGGGAACTTGTTTTTCCTACCAGGTAATTAGAGCATACATTCTTTAGGAACTGTACTAATATTTATTGCTTAAAAACACTAGGTGTTGTCATGGATTCATCCGGAAAGTCAAGCAACGATTACCCGTTGCAGCCAGCCACTTGTGGGTCCCAATGATAAGCGCTGCAAAGAGGATGAAAAATACTTGCAAACAATAATGGATGCTAACGCACAGTCACACAAGCTTATCATCTTTGATGCTCGACAAAACAGTGTCGCTGATACCAACAAGGTATATTCTTAATAGCACTGCAGAAACACTGGATATTTTCATGTCCTGTCTGTAAATCATTATGCAGTTGGAATAACTCATTGATTTCCTCACCACCTGAAGTTAGAATCATTTGGAGTCCCATAGCTATTCCTCCCTGGTGTATGCTCCTTGGGCTGTGTTTGGTGTCTCACATGGGTTGGGATCTTGTCTGTTTCATTGCTTCTCTACAATATCCTGTCTGCTAAATCAATTAAGTAAAGACCTAGAAAGACAATTATCATCTAAAGGATTTAGCATTTTAATGAAATGATCGTGAGGTCCTTGGAAGTCCGTTTAAGGAATATAGTGGTTAGTTGATTAATTCATGTCTGGTCTGAATTTCTTTTAGAATGGAATCAGCCATGTGAAATGTGTAAATGTACAAAGTTTCCATAAATCTCATGGAGCACCTGTGTAGTGTACCTCGGGTGGCAGTGAGACATGGTTAAAAACACCTCCGTTCCCATGACTTTCATGATATCACACCCTGAGTTTCTCTCGCTCTTCAGCCTGGCCTTCTCCATCTCCTTCACTGATTTCTCTTCCCAGTCTTCAAATGGCATTGCTCCTCGAACTTGGTCTGGGGTCCTCTTTGCTCTACACAGACTCCTGGGGCCATCTCTGATGACACGGCTTTAAACACTGTCTGTATGCTGAGTTCAACTTGAGCTTGACACTGCAGTTTCTCTCCTGTCCTGATCCCTCCTAAGGTTGAGACTGGATTTCTATCCCATTGTATGGTTGACATCTCTGCTTGGCTGTTTCCCAGACCACAAACCCTCCGTATATTCCAACTGGCCTGAGAGGCACGATGGCAAGTTGGTGAGACCCCTTGGCTTTGGAATCAGTTACACCTGGGTTTTCCTCCAGGTTCTGCCACTTGGTGCTCTAGAATCCTGAGCCGGTTACTTAACCTCTCTCTGTGCCTCAGGTTCCTCTTCTGTAAAACAGGAGATAATATCAGTGTCTCATGTCATGGGTTGTGTGAGGATTAAAATTCAGTGAGAAGAATGCATGTAAATGACTTAGCACAGTGGTGAGTGCATCCTCAGGGCACAGTACATGATGCTGATAAGCTCGCCACCCCTGTGGTCAAGGGTGTTGCCCAGGTGTCTGACTTGAGGGTGAATAGTGGTGTCTGTTACTGAGATGGGGAAGACTGGGAGAGGAACAGGGCAGGGAGGAAGATGGGGAAGTATTAGTTTTCTGAGGCTGTCATACAAATTACTACCAATTTGTTGGCTTACAGCACCAGAAATGTATTGATCACAATTCTGGAGGCCAATTCTGCTCCCTCTAAAGGTTCAAGGGGAGAATCTGTTCCTTGCCTCTTCCAGCATGGGGTGGCTGCCCCAGCCTTCCTGGGCTTGCAGCCACATCACTCCAATCTCTTCTTCCGTCATCACATGACCCTCTCTTGCTCTGGGTTTCTGCGTCTCCTCCTTTCTCTTCTAATGACACTTGTGATGACATTTAGGTTCCACCTGAAATAATCCTGGATCCTTAAACACATCTGCAAAGACCCTCTTTTCAATTAATCTTGGAATCCTTAAACACATCTGCAAATCTCAGGATCCTTAAACATCTGCAAAGACCTTCTCTTCAAATAAGGTCACATTCACCATTGCCAGGGATTCGATGTGGATGTCTTTGGCGGGGCCACTTTTCAGCCTACCATAGGGAGGCATCCCTCAGTGAGGCCCCCTTGCTCCCCACATCTGGATCATTAGCTGTGTCAGTCTTTCTACATCTCTGCCTCCCACCTGTCACCACCATATCCCAAGGAATTACAAAATGTGAGAAAAGCCATATTGGTGGAGGCCATCTTCAGACTAGCCAACAGGGTGAGGGCAGTTCATTGTGTTTTATCCCATGCAGGAGAGATAGAGACAGGACACTAAATTGTATATCTAGAATAATTTTAACTATGGCAGTATATGTGTCTAGGAAACAGTATTTTCTAGGTCTCCACTGGTTCTTTATATATAAGATTATGTCATATGCAAGTCGAGATAATGTGACTTCTTCCTTTACAATCTGGCTGCCTTTCATATCTTCTTCTTGCATTGGTATTGCATTGGTTGATTTTTATATGTTGAACCACTGTCGTGGATTGAAAAATGTCTCCCAAAAGTTTGTCCAACTGGAACCTCAGAATGTGACCTTATTTAGAAATAGGATCTTTGCAGATGTATTAATTATGATGAAGCCATCTTGGAGTAGGGTTGGCCCTAAATCCAGTGCCTAGTGTCCGTATAAGAAAGCCATGTAGAGACACAGGCACACACAGAAGGAAGATGGCGATGTGGCAATAGAGGCAGAGATTTAAATGATGCAGCTAGAAGCTGAGGAGTGCCAAGGACTTCCAGCAACCACCAGAAGCTAAGAGAGAGACATGGAACAGATTCTTCCCTATACCCTCCTAAAGGAACCAACTCTGCCAGCACCCTGATCTCGGACTTTCAGCCTCCAGAACTGTGAGAGAATAAATTTTATGTTGTTTTAAGTCCCCCAGTTTGTGATAGCACCCTTAGGAAGCTAATAAAACCTCCTTACATTCCTGGGATAAATCCCACCCGTTCATGGTATGTGATCAGTCCCCTTCATATACTCTTGGATTGGGTTTGCTAGTATTTTGTTGAGGATATTTGCATGTATTTTCATAAGGGATGTTAATCTGTGGTTTTCTCTTCTTGTGATGTCTTTGTCTAGCTTTGGTATCAGGATACAGCTAGCCTCATGGAATGAACTAGGAAGTATGCCCTCCTCTTCTAGTTTTTGGATGACCCATCATCTCTTACCTCACCTACAGCAGGAACCTTGAAATTGGACTTCTGCCTCACACCCTGCAATCTCATCTCCACATTATGACCAGAGTGATCTTCTTTTTTAAAAAAAACTTATTGTTACTATTTCAATTGATAAATGAATTGTATATATTTATGGTGTACAACGTGGTATTTTGATTGTGTACACATTGTGGAATGGCTAAATCAAGCTAATTAACACACCATTTTTTGTGGTGAGAACACTTAAAATCTACTCTCAGCAGTTTTCAGATACAGACTACATTGTTATTGACTGTAGTCACCATGTTGTACAGAGTGATCTTCTCAGTGGACAACTCTGTGCACATCCCTCAGAGCCGCAAGGCAGTGATATCCAGGTTCCTGAACAGGGTCTCCAAAGCCCTCCACCCACGGGTCCTTTCCTTCCTGTCTCGCCACATCTTCCAGGTCCATGTCTCAGCTATGTGAGGTTCTTTTCAGTTCCTTAAGCACATCCCACTGTTAGCTCAGAGATATGTTGCAGTCCTAACTCCAAGTACCTATAAATGTGGCCTTATTTCACAATAGGGTCTTTGTAAATGTAATTAAGTTAGGATGTGGTCATATTGAATTGGGGGGTGGGGGTTAAGCCAAATGACTGTGTCCTTAGAAGAAGAGGAGAAGAGACAGACACAGACAAAGGAAAGAAGGTCAGGTGGAAATGGAGGCAGAGATCAGAATGATGTGTGTATAAGCCAAGAACACCTGGGACTATCGGAACCTGGGGCAGCCAAGGAAGGATCCTCCCCTAGAGTGTTCGGAGGAAGCATGGCACTGCCGATACCTTGAATTCAGACTTCCAGCCTCCAGAACTAGGAGAGAATAAACTTCTGTTGTTTTAAGCCACTGAGTTTGTGGTTCTTTTTCCAGCAGCCCTAGGAAACTCATACAAGGATATAGGAGGTTTATTTGCAGATGAGTTTGTTGCTTCTTTAGTGGTCTGTATCTCATAGCACTAGAAAGAATAGAAAAGTTAATTCCAGATAATGTGATGTATTTGTTTTGTTTTTCGTAGACAAAGGGTGGAGGATATGAAAGTGAAAGTGCTTACCCAAATGCAGAACTTGTGTTCTTGGAGATCCACAACATTCATGTCATGCGAGAGTCACTACGCAAATTAAAAGAGATTGTGTACCCTTCGATCGATGAGGCGCGGTGGCTCTCCAATGTGGATGGGACGCATTGGCTGGAATATATAAGGGTAAAGAGATCCAGCACTTTATATGCTTTCCAGTTAAGACTTCTTTGTGCCTGTGCCATAAATACGTATATCTCCAAGTGCCTCTTGGCTGTGTGCATGAACTTTCTTATTCAATAGTTTCCATGGACAGCATCAGACTGGGGTCTTTGTGGAGGGCTTTTGTGACATAGTGAAAAGGGAAAAATGCTTGCCTTAGGTCAGGCTTTTAAAGAACTTCGTGGCCCTTTAATAAGGAACCATATTTACTCCTGTAGTTTTTCTCCAGTATAAGATTTTTTCTTTTCTTTTTATTTTTTTAATGTGATGCTAATATTTCCTAGTGATTCTCAGCTGATTGCCTGCCATTCTTGCTTGGTTTATTGACCAGAACTTCCAAAGCTCTCCCCAGAATTATTTTACATTGTTTTACATTTAATTGAAATTCAATGTAGCCTGGTCTAATGTGCCTTTTTTTTCTGAAGATGCTGCTTGCTGGGGCAGTAAGAATTGCTGATAAAATAGAATCTGGGAAAACATCTGTGGTGGTGCATTGCAGCGACGGTTGGGACCGAACAGCCCAGCTCACATCTCTGGCTATGCTAATGTTGGACAGTTACTACAGGACCATTAAAGGATTTGAAACTCTCGTAGAAAAGGAGTGGATAAGCTTTGGACACAGGTTTGCACTGGTAAGTTCAGACAGTGAGGTTTATGCTGGACTGTTTTGCGGTATCATATGGATGTAAACGTCATGTGTGACACACGTAAGCGCATATATACACACACACGTGCAGGCTTTCTCTTCTGTATCATATCAGACCTGAATTGCCATAATAAAATACATGGACCTCAGGCATTGTATGTTCCTCATAGGGCGTTTTTATTTTAGTGTATTTATGCCTTTTTAAAAAATTGAGGTAAAATTCATATAACATAGAATTAACCATTTAAAATGCTCAATTCGGTGTCCTTTAGTAAATTCACAGTATTATGTAACCATCACCTCTAGTTTGAAAACATACTCTGGCCAGGCGCGGTGGCTCAGGCCTGTAATCCCAGCTCTTTGGGAGGCCCAGACAGGCAGATCACCTGAGGTCAGGAGTTCGAGACCAGCCTGGCCAACATGGTGAAACCCCGTCTCTACTAAAAATACAAAAATTAGCCAGATGTGTTAGCGGGCGCCTGTAGTCCCAGCTACTGAGTAGGCTGAGGCAGGATAATTGCTTGAACCTGGGAGGCAGAGGTTGCAGTGAGCCGAGGTCATGCCACTGCACTCCAGCCTGGGCAACAGAGCAAAACTCCGTCTCAAAAAACAAAACAAAACAAAAACCGTACTCTTCACCTCAAAAGGAAATGCTGTACACATTAAACAGTCATTCCTCACTTCCCCCAGCCCCTGACAACCACTAATATTTCTGTCTTCATATACATTTGCCTTTTCTAGGTACTTCATATAAGTGGAATCCTACAGTATTTGTCCTCCCATGACTGAGTTACTTCACTAAGCATAATATTTTCAAGGTTCATCCATGTTGTGACAAATATCAAATTTTCATGATTTTTTATAGCTGAATAGTATTCCCTTGTGTGTATATACCACATGTTGTTTATCTGCTCATCTGCTGATGGATGCTTGGATTGTTCCCACCTTTGCTATTGTGAAGAATACTGCGTGAATGTTAGTATATAAGTTTTTGCCATAACAAGGTACCACAGACTGCATGGTTGAAACAACAGAAATTAATTTTCTCATAATTCTGGAGGCTGGAAGTCCAAAATCAGGGTCCCAGCAGGATTGATTTCTCTTGAGGTCTCCCTTCTTTCCTTGCATATGGCCACCCTCTGGCTACCTCTTCACAAGGTCTTTCTTCCCTTTGGGAGCTACTGGACACCCCTGCTGTCTCTCTGGGTGGCCAAATGTCCTCATCTCATAAGGATACCAGTGAGATTGGCTTAGGGCTGACTTCAATGCCCTCATTTGAACTTCATCACCTCTTTAAAGGCCCCATCTCCAAATATGGACACATTGCTGAGCTACCGAATGTTCAGGCCTCAATTTTGGGGATCACAAGTCACCCTATAACAACTTGCTTACAATCTAGGGGGTTATATACCTAGGAGTGAAATTGTGAGGTCATCTGATGGGGCATTCTTGGGCTGCCATTTGTGTTTTAGTCCAACTGGCAGCTACTTCTGGTCTGTCTAGGCCATTGAGCTGTTAGGGATCTTTCTGAACTGTGCATTGAATGGGAATACTCCTGAAGTCCCCATTAGACTTGCTATGGAAAGCAGGAAGATGGGTAGTGCAAGGATTTCATTGGCTTTGGTGTGAGTGTGCCAAGCTTCCAGCTGTCCCTGCACTCCTGGGGTGGAGCGCCTGCAAGAGGACCTCCCAGAGAGAAGGGACAAGTCCGCAGTCTCTGAGCTGCATGCCCTTTGGGAGCTACTGGCAGATCCCTGGGCATGTGCCTTCCCCTCTCTTGCCTTGATTCCCTCCTCTCTGAAATGGGGGCATTGTGTGGGAGAAATGAGTTTATATGTGTCAAATGTTTAGGGCAGTGTTTGGCCCATGCTAAGTGCCAGGGAAGTTTTAAACAACATCACCAATTCCTTTGTTTCTTACCCCCTCAGCAAAGGCTGGTCTCGGTAAGGAAGAGAGAGTGTGTGGAATCTTTCCAGATGTTTGGGCCACCTCAGAAGACTCAGAGGCCACTGCCTTCTACCTTCCTCCCCAAACTGTATGTCCTAGGGGAGAGAAAGCTTGAATGGGTGCTTTGCCAGAGGGGTAGTGGTGAAGGCTGTCTAGCGAGGTGCCAGCGATGGCAGCATGTACTGGGACTGAGCAGAGGTACATGCATCAGGGTGTGCCTACAGCGCCCTGCTCCCATCCCTACTTGCTAATCCTGGGGCTCACTGCACCATGGCCACAGTGAAGCCAATAGGACTATCAGATTCCTAATGGCCTCAATTTACTAAGCCACCACTATGTGTTTGGCACTGTTAATGTGCAGCATCTTGTTTAATCCTGATAGTACTCTCATTCACAGATGGGGAAATTGAGGTTTCAAGAGTGTGTGTTATCTGCCTAAAGTCACACAGCTAGTTAGGGTGGAGCCAGCCTTTAAACAGTGATTTCAAGCCTGCAACCACCCACCCTCTGGATCTGTGTACTCTACTTTACCTGGAGTTCTGTGATTGAGCCATCAGGGCTTCCAGCTGAGGCTGATCCTGCCCTTGCCTGCTTGCCTCCATCATGGAACTTTCCAATTGTTCTTCCCTTTATCCTGCCTCCATTCCCCCCTCTTCCCTAGATCATTCCCATTGGTGTGGAGACATTCTGTTATATCCTAAAACAAAAACCCTCTTGACCCCACAGCCCTCCTCAGCTGTCACCCTGATTCTCTGCTCTTCTTTACAACAATGTCCTCAAAACTGTTGTCTGTACTCACTATCACTATTTCTCTCCTTCCAGACTGTCTTGAAAGCACTTCAGCCAGGGTTCCTTCTCACAATGCCCGCCCCCCCACAATCTGGTCGTGTCACCGTCATCACTTGTTTTATTTGGCCTGAGCATTCGATGCTGTTGATTCTTCCTTTCTTCCAAACACTTTCTTCATTCGGCTTCTAGGTTTCTTTGACCTTTTGAATTTCCTCCAACTTTCAGGTCTTCCCTCATCTTCCCAACCTCTTAATGTTGGGGTGTTCCAGGGATGAGTCCTTGGATCATTTTTCTTCTCTTTGTGGTTAACCTGTTAGTGATCTCAGCCAGTCCCATAACTTTGAATATATGGATAGCGAATCTGTGATCTCATCTCCATTGCCCCTGATGCTCCTGTAACTCAGGCCTTATCAACCCCCTTAGGCAGTCTCCTAGGTGGCTGTCCTAGTCTGTTTGTGTTTTTACAATGGAATACCTGAGGCTGGGTAATTTAGAAAGAAAAGAAATTTATTTGGCTCACGATTCTGCAGGCTGTACAAGAAGCATGGTGCCGGCATCTGCTTCTGGTGAGGGCCTCAGGCTGCTTCCACTCATGGTGGAAGGTAAAGGGGAGCCAGTGTGTAGAGATCACATGGTGAGAGAGGAAGCAAGAGAGAGGGGAGAGGGTGCCAGGCCCTTTGTAACAACCAGCTGTCTCGGGAACTAATAGAGAACTCACTCACACACTCCCCCATCCAAGGAGGGATTAATTTATTTATGAGGGATCCACCCCCATGACCCAACACCTCCCATTAGGCTCCACCTCCAACATTGGGGATCAAATTTCAACACGAGGTTTAGGAGGACAAACATCCCAACAATAGCAGTAGCCTTTCTGCAACCTAGCTCTGTCTAATCCATCGTCCCCATTGGAGCCAGATGGAGCATTCCAAACAACAGATTGGATGCTGCCACTCCACAGTGTGAGTCCCTCAGCACCTTCCTGTAGCACACAGGTTTATGAACAAACTCCTCAGTGTGCACTCAAAGCCCTTGGTGATCTGGCCCTAGCTACATCTCCAGCCTCACCTCTCATCTTCTTTCCCTTGCCCCGTCTAAGCCTCAGCTGTGCCCAGCTACTTGTGGCTTCCTTAGTGTTCCCCACCACATTGCCACTGGTTATCAATTCCTGGCTACCTGGGAAGCAGGCATCTCCCTGTCCTTCAAGGTTTATCTCAAATGAAATGTCCTTTATGACTATGACTCACATGACTGTCCCTCCCTGTTCCTTCCCCTACCCCATCCTAGGATGGTTCACTCATTCCCTTGTGCTCCCACCATACCCACTGCATACTTGGAAGCCCTTGGAACACTTTATTGCCCTTGTGATTTATACATCTTTGTCCCTTGACTAGACCACAAATGAATTATTCATCAAGCACAAGTACAGTGTCTCATTTGCTCTGGTCTCCTAGGGGCCTAGCCAAGGACCGGGCCTCTACCAGACACCATGACAATGTCTGACATTCCGAGGGCCAGGCATGATGCCTTGCACACGCCATAGGAGTTCCATGGCTATCTGTTGAAAGAATGATCCTAAATTGTGAACTGTCAGTGTAAAACAGTTCCCTAGGTGCCTTAAATACTGAACAGCAGGTCCTACAAGAGATTTTATAGTGGGGCAATGCATGGAGCTACTATGGAGAACAGAATGGCGGATACTCAGAAAATTAAACGTGGAACTACCACATGATCTGACAATTCCGCTGATGGGTATATACCCCAAAGAAGGGAAAGCAGGGGCCCAAACAGATATTTGTACATTGGTGTCCATAGTAGCTTTATTCACAATAGCCCAAAGGTGGAAGCAACCCCAGTGTCCATCAGCAGACGAATGGAAAAACAAAATGTGGTCTATATATACAGTCATGTGGTGTGTGATGATGAGGATACATTCTGAGAAATGCATCATTAGGTGATTTTGTAATTGTGTGGACATCATAGAATGTACCTTACAGAAACCTAGATGGATAACCTGCTAACATCTAGGCTATATGGTACAGCCTATTACTCCTAGGCTACAAACCTGTGTGGCATGTGACTATACTGAATACCGTAGGCAACTGTAATACCATGGTAAGTATTTCTGTATCTAAACGTAGAAAAGGTACAGTAAAAATATGGTATTATAGCCTTATGGGACCACCATTGGATATGCAGTCATCATTGACTGAAACGTCGTTATGTGGCACAGTTAAGTGGCACTGTAAGACTAACATACAGTGCAATGTTAGTCTTAAAAAGGGAAATTCTGGCATGTGCTATAACATGGATGAACCTTGAAAACATGCTCAGCAGGCCAGGCGCGGTGGCTCACGCCTGTAATCCCAGCACTTTGGGAGGCCGAGGCGGGCGGATCACGAGGTCAGGAGATCGAGACCATCTTGGCTAACACGGTGAAACCCCGTCTCTACTAAAAATACAAAAAAATTAGCCAGGCGTGGTGGCGGGCACCTGTAGTCCCAGCTACTCGGGAGGCTGAGGCAGGAGAATGGTGTGAACCTGGGAGGCAGAGCTTGCAGTGAGCCGAGATTGCGTCACTGCACTCCAGCCTGGGCGACAGAGTGAGACTCCATCTCAAAAAAAAAAAAAAAAAAAAAGAAAGAAAGAAAGAAATCATGCTCAGCAAAATAAGCTAGCCACAAAAGGACAAATATTTATGTTTCCACTTATATGAAGAAACTAGAATAATCAAATTCATAGGGACAAAAAGTGAAATGGTCATTGCCAGGGGCTAGGAGGTGGGGAATGGGGAGTTAGTGATTAATGGGTATAGAGTTTCTGTTTGGAAAGATTAACAAGTTCTAGAAATGGTGATGGTTGCATAATAACATGAGTGTGCTTGATGCCACTGAACTGGACACTTAAAAATGGTTAAGATGAGATTGGATGTAGTGGTTCATGCTTGTAATTCCCAGCACTTTGGGAGGCTGAGGTGGGAGGATCTCTTGAGGTCAGGGGTTCAAGACCAGCCTGGGCAGTATAGTGAGACCCCATCTCTACAAAATAAAGAATTAGCTGAGCATGATGGCTCACACCTATAGTCCCAGCCACTCTGGAGTTTGAGGTGGGAGAATCACTTGAGCCCAGGAGTTAGAGGCTGCAGCAGGCTATGCTCGTGTCACTGCACTCCAGCCTGGGTGACAGAGCGAGGCCCTGTCTCTAAAAAATAAAAATAAAAATAATGGTTCAAGTGATAAATTATATGTCATGTGTATTTCACCACAATTAAAATTTTTTTTATAAAGAAGGTAATACACTGTTACTCTGAGATGTTAATATTGATTTTGTCATTTATTTGTTTTCATGTCTTTCCAGGTGGCAATTTCATAGAGTATTTTTGCTCTTTCTAAGTGATTGCTTTGTATTTTCTTAATGAGTTTTTTTCCCCACATCCTTTTGCTCATAGCAAATTATTTGAAGCTTCTCTTAGAATCCTCACCCTTCAGCTATCTTTTTACTTGTGGCATTTTCAGTGTTTTGGCAATCCTATTTGTGTATTTGAGAATACTATCTTTTACCTTTTGGTATGAATCTATTGATATCTTACAAAGTATCAAAAGATATGAAATACAATACTGGACTGCCTTAAGCAAGGACCCCACCTTTACCATTTCAAGATTGAGTTGTTGGGGTTCTCTGAGTCATGAAGAATTGGTTAAAAGTTGTAGATTGCTAATCATTATTTTGATTCTCAGACTTCCTGACATTTCTGAAAAATGGAAAAAATGTTTTTATACTTGTAGAGAAAATGGCATTCATAATGTGCTTTATGAACTGCTAATTGGCATCCTACGTTGACACTGTACACTTAGTGTGGTGGCTGGTCTTGACCCTACCATTTTAACTGAAAAGTTTGCTAGCTAGTTGCTTGTACTTTCTTGATATCAGCTATATTAAAGAGAAATTATAAAACAACATGTAAAAATACTGTAAACTGAAATTTTGTTTTCTAAAAGTAATGGAAGTCATTTCGATTTGATAGACATTTTTGAGTGCCTGTTATGTGCCAGGAATTCTATTAGGCCTGATGAGATGTGATTCTTACCACTGGACAACTTACAGTGACTTTCAAGAGGACTATAACATACGTTAAAACGTTTAACCTTCTGTTTCTGTTCAGCGAGTGGGCCATGGTAATGACAACCATGCGGATGCTGACCGATCTCCCATATTTCTGCAGTTTGTTGATTGTGTTTGGCAAATGACAAGGCAGGTGAGAGATTTCAAGTATATTTCTATATAGTCTTTGCTTTAAATATATCTTAAAGATTAAACTATTATTGCTGTTTCATTCAAGATGAATTTGTGTAAAATATGACCCCATTATTTAACACAATTTGATTCTAATTCGCTTAGAAATATAAGCAGAACATTAGAAACAACCAATTTCACACCAAAAGTTACTTGTCTTTGCAAATGGTTTTTATCAATCATCTTGTCCACTAGGTCCAAACCAAGGCCCTACTCCTCTATAGATTCTGCTGCTTTTGCTCCCCTTCAAAAGGTTAAGGAAGTACAGTCTCCTGCTGAGCAGTTCATCTAAGATTTGGCCAGATGTTAGAAATGAGGATGGGAATGAACTGCTAGTACATGGGATTAGACCAGGCAATCCAGGAATCTCCACACTCTGCCCCAGTCCAGAGCCTCTCCCACCCAAGGTCACTGAGGGAAATGAGTGTCCAAGAACCAATGGCATAGAGGAAGCTGCATAGCATTTTGCTATTAGCTGGTGCATCGTTCCCAAACCCCAATGCACAGGGCCCTGGTAAAGAAGGGAGCCATCTAGGGATCCCCTTCCCTTGAGCTGGTCAGGCCCTTTGGCTTCAGTTCAAAGTAGGCCATAAGGCCATAGTTCCTGCACTGTTTTGTTGTCGTTGTTTTCCCCCTCATCTCCAACATCTAAACCTGAGTTTGGTCTCCTATCCTTGTGATAAGAGACAGTGCCAGGGCAATGGACCTGGAACCAGAGAGAGAGGCAAAAGAGAGTAGTTTCCCCAGTGCCTGCTGCGCAACCTGGCTGAGGGTGGGGCTATGGGGTACAGAACAAGTTAGGGGGCTGAGATCCAGGGTCTGAGCCTTCTCTTGCTAGTCATTCACCAGGAGCTCTGGCCTTGGCTGCTTCAGTCACGGGGAAGGGAAGCAGCCAGGACACTGCCGGTGATCTGCGGGGATGCTACCAATAGCCCTGCTGCTCTTGATTGATCCTCCCGCAGCCTTATCACCATCAGCCCAGGGCCTTTTCAGAGGACATCTGCCTCCCTACTGCAGAAAGTCTGTGAAATACTAGGCCTGTTTCCCCACTGAGAGCTACTGTTACTGATGGCAGTGTGTGTTGGGGCAGAAGGAAGGTTGATAGTCATGATGCTGCCTGTGCTGTCCGGCTCCCCAGCAGCTCTGCCCTGAGGAGGACCTGGAGAACTCAGAAGATGGCTCTCCACCTTGAGTGCACACAGCCAGCCCCTGGGAACCTTCTTCCTGTGAGCCTGGAGACAGGCTTAGGTGTGTGTAAAAGTTCCCCAGGTGATTCAGATGTGCAAATGAGTTTGACAACCAGTGATCTAGCTTAGTGCTCCAAATGTGGTCCTGAGAACTTGTTAGAGACACCAAACTTCAGCCTCACTGATGACCTTCCAGTGCTCTGGGTGTGGGGCCCAGCCCTCTGGTTCCACAAGCCCTTCTGGGGGCTGATGGATGCTCAACTTGGAGACCATTGCTGTAGACTAACATTGCTCAAACCTTAATGAGCACACAAGTCCCCTGGGACTCTTATTGAAATGCAGATTCTGATTCAGTGGGGCTGAGGCAGAGCCTGAGATGCCACATTTCTGATAAGCTCTCAGGTGATGCCATCGGGTCACAGATCACATTTTCAGTGGCAAGGGAGCACAGAGACATACCTCTAGAAATAAGGAACAAAGGGGAGGGAGTCTGAATAGCCAAAGTAGATTTCATGGAGTCCTCAGGCCCTCACTTAGAAATTAACACTGACTTTTACACCCAGCTTCAACAAACTGATTGGGGTCTCACATGATCTGATGGCCAGGTCACAGGTGATTAAAGATAGCCTGTTAGAGAGCTGGCCTGGGTAAGAGGGGCTGGTCCCAGAGGTAGGTGTGCTGATGGTGCATGTGAAAGGTAGCAGCAAACACACTCCAGAAGCATGAAGACTGGCCTGAAGCCTTACTGTTTTATAGAGCCAGGCACTGTTGCTATTTGTGTTGATGCTGAGCCAATAAGAAAGTTAAATGATTGTCATGTTCAGGTTAGGACAAGAAAGTATGAAACACATTTTAGAAAAATTGCATAAAAAGGTTGAACACAAAAAATAATTGCAGTGCTTCTAAAGGGATGAGCACCATTTCGGTGGATGTGAAATAGCTTATTCCTCCCAAATGTGGATTTTTAAACATCTTCAAACTGACCTCCATTCTTTATACTGCTTAGTGCCTGTTTTCATGTCTAAGCCATGTCATTTTTGTGCTTTTATTGGATTTTAAGAAAAGGGGTTTGAATTAGAAGATTTCAGATGCTTCTCACAGCTCTAAGATTCTGTCTGTGAAATGTGTGTATAATTAATTTCTTTTAAAATTACATTGTTAATGCATTAGCACAGACATCCATGACTAGTCTTTATCAGTTCATTAAGAAATGAATGAGATATATAGCAGGTATAAGATGCAGTCATAGGAAAGATTATTTTTAGGTTGCCTACTGTTAAGTAAGCTATGCAGTGTAAAATTGTCAGAAATATCAGAATAAAATGAACTAGTCTGTATGTGAACAAAGAAACTAAGGGAAAAATAATTGAGGGACTCTTTAGAGTCCCAAAGACACTCAATAATATCCATAGTTTAATACAATCCTTACTCCTCTGGGTAGGTTTAATAGTCATTGATATTTTTGTTCCTCAAGAGGTGCAGAATTGGGGCCAGGTGTGGTGGCTCACACCTATAATCTCAGCGACTCAGGAGGCTGAGGTAGAAGGATCGCTTGAGGCCAGGAATTCAAGACCAGCCTGGGCAACATAGTGAGACACCCCATCTCTTCAAAAAAAAAATTAAAAAATTAGCCAGGCATGGTGGTGTGCACCTGTAGTCCCAGTTACTCGGGCGGCTGAGGCAGGAGGATTGCTTGAGTCCAGGAGTTCAAGGTTACAGTGAACTATGATTGTACCAGTGCACTCCAGCCTGGGTGACAGAGTGAGACCCTGTCTCTAAAACAATAAAAAAGGAGGTGCAGAATTTTATTATAGATTACTGTGCTATGTATTTTCGGAAATCGTACTTTTAGGTAAAAGGTACAGTTTCCAGGAGAAGAGGCCAAAACAAACTATGAATTGCAGCGACCTAATCTTTCGTTTATATTACTCCACCTGCTACTGTTTCCTCCAATGAGCTGTTTTTTGAGTTGAGCTTAATGCCATGACACCCCCTGAGTATAAATGGCAGTCTTGACCCAACATGAGTAGGTGGAGCCTTTGTTTTCCAGTTTTCATGGGTGCCAATGGGCTTGGACTGAGCCCTGCCCACTTTGACCTCCCATATCTGGTACCCAGTGACCAGAATAAGGCTTGTTGTCACTGACTCTAGAACACACCTTTCCAAGCTCCCAAATCTACAATGCAGGCTCAGGGGCTAGGAATGAAGACTCATTGTCATAGTCTGTTTGGGCTGCTGTAACAAAATATCATAAATGAGGTGGTTTATAAACAACAGAAATTCTTTCTCACAGTTCTGGAGGTTGGGAAATCCAACATCAAGGCCCCAGCAGATTCAGTGTCTGGTGAGGGCTTGCTTCCTGGTTCATAGATTAGCTGTCTTTTCATTGTAACCTGACATCATGGAAGCAACAAGAGAGCTCTCTTGGGCTTCTTTGAGAAGAGCACTAATCCCATTCACTAGAGCTCTACCCTCATGACCTGATCACTTCCCAAAGGCCCCACTTCCTCATACTACACCTTGGGGATTAGAATTTCAACATAGAAATTTTGGGGGGATACAGATATTCAGTTCATAGCACTTATATGGCTTGAAAATATGTCAATAATTTGCTATCTTTTAGTAAACATTTGTTTTTAAAAGTTTGAGAATTATAAAATATAGGACAAAACCCTGGATCTTTCATTCCTATCCTTGATTTAATAAAGCTTTAGTACACAAAAATGTCATATATTTGCTTACAATTCACAAATTCTGTGGTGCCAATAATTTATGAATAGGGCATAACTAAGCAGCATAGAGAAGTCCTGGGAAAATTGGACATAGTGTGCCTGGCCTGTTAAAAGATAGCTATTTGAGCCGGGCACGGTAGCTCATGCCTGTAATCCCAGCACTTTAGGAGGCCGAGATGGGAGGATCACTTGAGATCAGGAGCTCAAGACCAGCCTAGGTAACATAGGGAGACCTTGTCTTTACAAAAAAAAAACAAAAAACAAAAAACAAAAAAAAACTAGCTGGGTTGTGGCAGTAGTCCCAGCTACTTGGCAGGCTGAAGTGGGAGGGATCACTTGAGCCTGGGACGTTGAGGCTGCAGTGAACCACAGTCGCACCACTGCACTCCAGCCTGGGCAACAAAGTGGGACCCTATCTAAATAAATAAATGCATGAATGAGAGAGAGAGAAATAGAGAAAGATAGCCGTTTGAAATGTGAGGCCACTGTCAGAGTTGCGAGGGGCAATCTTAAAGGCTCCAAGAAAGGATGAACCAGTAGATATTGTTAGCATTTCAGCCAGAGACATCACATCATTGATTTAGTTCATCTAAGAACAAGGGTGCCAGTAAGAACCACCAGAATTAGTTTCCAGAGGTTTCTGAAGCAGTAATATTCTGATGGGATTCCTTAGAGGAGAGTTGTGTGTTTCTGAGAGCAATCCTTAAGATGGAGAGAGAAGCAAATCTTAATCCACGGTATCTGAGCATAATTCCTTAAGTCAGCTAATATAATAGCCTGGTGAAGAAAACAGTTTCAGGTGGAGTTTGGACAGTCCTGGATTGACCATTGTTCTAATTGAAAAGCCTGGTGCTAGTCTAGTAGTAAAGCTAAACTAAAAAATAAACTTCTCTACCAGTGATCCTGATGTGATCATTCTGGAGATGTGAAGATTTGTCATGATAGTGTGCACACAGCACTCTGATTGAAGAATAGGTTTTTAAGTAAACCAACTTAAATACAAGCATGCTGGGTAGTACTATTTGGCTTTGCTTCATTGAGTAGGTGATGAATATTTTACTGTGTTTTTACATTAGAGTTCTGGCGCATGGTAGGCACTCAGCACATGCCTGCTGTTAGGGTAATTATTATCACTTCCAGATCATCTCATGGCCACAACACACCAGCTACTGGCTAGAACCTGCTGGCAATAGTAATAGTCTTCACTGGAATTCTGCAAAATCCCATCAAGAATTACCTAAAACAATCAAGACGATCTGTGGTTTTGCTCCCTCACTCTGCCAATATGGTGAATTACAGTAATTGATTTGTTTTGTAACATAGATTTTCATATGTTAAGCCAGGCTTACATTCGTAAAGTAAACCCCACTTGGTCATGTTGTGTTACCTTTTTAAAATGTATTGCCAGGTTCAGCTTGCTCATTTACACTGGTAAGAAGTCAGGCGTGCTGTAATCCCAGCACTTTGGGAGGCTGAGGCGAGTGGATCACGAGGTCAGGAGTTGGAGACCAGCCTGGCCAACATGGTGAAACCCCGTCTCTACTAAAAATACAAAAATTAGTCGGGCGTGGTGGTGCGCACCTGTAATCCCAGCTACTCAGGAGGCTGAGGCAGGAGAATCACTTGAACCCTGGTGGTGGAGGTTGCAGTGAGCCGAGATGGCGCCATGGTGCTATTGCACTCCAGCCTGGGGGACAGAGAGAGACTCCGTCTCAAAAAAAAAAAATTCAGGGGTGTATGGTCATGGAGTTGTCTTTGTAGGAAGGTTCTTAACTAGGAGTTGTTTATTTAATAGATGCAGAGCTATTCGGATTTTCTATTCTTCTTGAGTCACTTTGGGTACATGTTATGACTGGATGTACTGCTCCCCTTACCCCCGACCTGGGATGTGGCTGCAGCGGGGAAGCTGGCACAATAGAGGGCTCCCCTCATTTGTTTCCCTTCTCTCAGGGTCACAGTCCAGTACTGCCTGTTGCCAGTGTCTGAAAACAGTCATTTCTTATATTGTATCCAGCTTGCTAGATGTTTCTGACAGAAGGGTGAGTCTGGGCTCTGTCCTGCCGCCATGGTGAGAAGTGGAAGCTACATAAGCTTTTCTGGGCATTGAGTACAACAAATTTAGTTGCTGCTGGTTGTTTCTCAGCCAGATCTATAAGTTTGGACCTAAAACTGTAGGTAGTTGAACTTTACATGGGCTCAGTCTTCCTTTAAATCTTTGACTATATTCCAAGTTGTAGTTTCGCTGTCTTTCATAAAAAAGTAATATTACTTTTAGAAATTGGACTCTATGACTAAACCTTATTTTTCTCTTCATTTAAGTTTCCTTCAGCATTCGAGTTTAATGAGCTATTCTTGATTACAATTTTGGATCACCTTTATAGCTGTCTTTTTGGGACCTTTTTGTGCAACTGTGAACAGCAGCGATTCAAAGAGGTGAGTATGCTGCATCCTTGTCTGTTGCTTTCCCTGTGGCTCAGGCACCTCTCCTCGGAAGTGCTACTGTAGGAGGGCTGAGGGGAGGGAGGACTGCGCTCTGGTGCTATTGCTGACTGTAAATGCCCTCCCAGGGTTCTGGCCAGCCCCACCGCATGTGTCTAACACAAGCCCCTTCCTTTCTAGGCATGGGGGGCTGGGACCCAGCGAGCCCGTGGCTCTCTCAGGAGTAGATGAGTGCTAGACCCTGGACCTCCTGACTCCGAGTTCATGTAGTCTCCGCTGCACCAACTCCAAAACCGTGGGATTCTGCTTTTCATCCTCTGTGGTGTTGGCCAGATCATACTTGAAGGCCTTGGAAATGGAGTCTGCTGATTAGCCAAAAAGCCCACTTTAGGTAGCAAGCTAACACTTTTTTACATCAAAGTAGTAAAGAAGCAGTTACCAAACTTCTCAGAGTTACATCTCATTTCTTTCTTTTTCCCTCAGTGTGGGATAAAAGAGAAACGTGGTCAAAAGTGAGAAGGCATTGGAAAAAGGCAGCTTAAGGAGTATATGATCCTGTTAATAGACAAGGACCAATGCCTGTGAGCCAAGTATGTTAGGACAGTATAGAATTCAGGAGAAAGCAGTCTGTCAGTAACGCCCGCCTCCCCCTCTCTCAGCAGCCTCCCCACAGTTGACAGTGCCCTCATTCTGTGACCCCACCTGGTCCTGCCTCTTTCCTGCCTCCTCGGCCTCCCCTGCTCAGTCTCCTCTGACTGGCTGCCATTTTAACCAGTCTCTAAAGTTGGAGTCACCTGGGCCCAGTCCCAGGTCCTCTTCTCCCCTCAACTCTTGTTCCGTCTTTCTAAGTGACTTTGTCTCGCCTCAGGGACCTAAATGCCTTTTCCTGCTCCTCCCCTGCTCTTTTGCATCTCAGTACACAGCACCACTGGCCATCCAGATGCCGAGGCCAAATACACGGGAGCCACCTTCCACTCCTCCCTCACCCTCACCCTAGCTACCACATCCAGTCCCCTGGTGAATGCTGCTGGCCTTGTCCCAAAGTATATTCTTTTTCTTTCTTTTTTTTTTTTTTTTTTTTTTTTTGACGGCGTTTTGTTCTTGTTGCCCAGGATGTAGTGCAGTGGCGCCATCTCAGCTCACTGCAAGCTCCGCCTACCACATTCAAGTGATTCTCCTGCCGCAGCCTCCCGAGTAGCTGGGATTATAGGCACCCGCCACCACGCCCGGCTAATTTTTTGTATGTTTAGTAGAGACAGGGTTTCGCCATGTTGGGCAGGCTGGTCTCAAACTCCTGACCTCAGGTGATCTGCCCGTCTCAGCCTCCCAAAGTGCTAGGATTATTGGCCCAAAGTATATTCTTAATCTGCCAGTTCTTAACTGCCTTACAGCTATAAGCCTAGCTCAAGCCCCTACTGTCTCACACTCCTACTGTCTCACATCTGGACTAAGGCAGAAACCCAGGAATGGGCTTCCCTGATTCTCTTTCTGACCTTCAGTAGTCCATTCTAAACATAGCAACCACAGCGAGCATTCAGTAACTGAAATGTGATCATGTGCCTCTCCCCTGCTTCCCACTGCAGTTAGAGTAAAATCCACACTCCTGCGGGCCCAGTGTGATGGGGACTTGCTAACCTCCTAATAAAAAGAAAAACATTTTTAAAAGAGTGAGTTTTGTGTTACGTGAATTATATCTCAAAGCTATTTAAAACAAATAAAATCAGAAGCAGAAGAATGAAGTTCATATATAGAATTTTAACCATGGCTTTATCTTGTTTTTTTTTTTTTTTTTTTTTTTTGAGAGGGGGAGTGCAAAATTCATTCTTAAAAAAATGAGCTCTCTTGACACATAATTTACATACCATAAAATTCACCCATCTAAAATGTACAATTTCATGGTTCTAGCATATTCACATATTGTGCAGCCATCATCAATATTTAATTTCATAAAATCTCTTTATTTCTATTTTTTGTAGCGATTGGGGTCTTGCTGTGTTGCCCAGGCTGGTCTCAAACTCCTGGCCTCAAGTGATGTTCCCGCCTCGGCCTCCCAAAGTGCTGGGATTATAGGTGTAAGCCACTGTGCCTGGCCTAAGTTTATAAAATTTCTGTCACCCCCAAAAGAAATGGCATACTTGGTAGCAATCACTTCCCATTTCCCCCACCCCTATCCCCTAGCAACCATCAATCTGCTTTCTGTCTCTACGGATTTGCCAATTCTGGACATTTCATAGAAATGGAATTATACAATAGGTGAACTTATATGACTGTCTTCCTTTGCTTAGCGTAATGTTTTCAAGGTTCATCTATGCACCAATACATCCTTTTTATGGCTGAGCAATATTCCGTTATATGGATAGACCACATTTTGTTTATCCATTCATTGGTTGATAGAAATTTGGATTGTTTCCACATTTTGGTTTTTAGGAATAATGCTACTATAACTATTCATGTACAGGTTTTTATGTGGACATACGCCTTCATTCATTTATACCTACGAGTGGAATTGCCGGGTCATGTGGCAATTATGTTTAACCTATTGAGGAACTGCCAGATTGTTTTCCAAAGCAGTTGCACACACGAGCAATGTCTGAGGCTTCCAATTTCTCCACATTTCACCAACGCTTACTATTTTCCTTTTTAAAAAAATTATAGCCATCCTAGTGAGTGGGAAGTGGTATGTTGTGGTTTTAGATTTGCATTTCCCCAACGACTAATGATGTTGAGCATATTTCCATGTGCTTATTGGCCATTTGCATATCTTCTGTGGAGAATGTGTATTCAGCTCCTTAGTTCATTTTAAAATTGTGGTGTTTGTCCTTTTTATTATGGAGTTGTAAGAGTTCCTTATACATTCTTTATATATTCAAGTCCCTTATAAGATACATGATTTGCAAAAATTTTCTCCCACTCTAGGGGTTGTTTTTTTTTACTTTCTTCATGGTGTTCTTTGAAGCACAAAAGTTTTTAATTTTGATGAACTGCAATTTATCTATTTTTTCTCTTGCTGCTTACACTTTTGGTATCATATCTAAGAAACCATTGCTTAACCCAAAGTCATGAAGATTTGCTCCTGTTTTCTTCTAAGAGCTTTATACTTTTAGGTCTTACATTTAGGTCTGTGATCTGTTCTGAGGTAACGTTTGTATACGGTGTGAATTAAGGATCCAACTTCATTCTTTTGTGTGTTGGCTATCTAGCTGTCCCAGCACCATTTGTTGGAAAGATTTTCTTTCCCTCATTCAATTTTCTTGCCAACCTTGTTGAAGATCAGTTGACCGTAAATGTCAGAGAGTTCATTTCTGTGCTTTCTATTCTGTTCCATTGATCTGCATGTCTGTCCTTACGCCAGCACTGCTGGCATTGATTACTGTAGCTTTGTGGTAAGTTTTGAAAATGGGAAGTATGAGTCCTCCTACTTTGTTCTTTTTCAGGATTATTTTAGCTATTCCAGATCCTTTGAATTTTTGTTGGTGTTTCTCTTATAAATAAATAAATGTATACAAATTGAAATGGTCCTAATTGAATGTTCCTGTATTTAGATAGCTCATGGGAAGTCAGCAGCAGAGTGGGAGAAAATGCTGTTGGCCTTGCCGTTTTCTCATTTGACTTTGTCATTGTGCTTGATCCATTGTTTAACGTTTACCTGCCTCACCATGCCTGCACATTTGGGTGTTTTTGTTCAGATGAGCAATGCAAGTAGGTACAGTGTTTCTGAATAGTGTACTACAAAATTAGGGGAAGAAGAGATAACTTAGTGATATATTTACTTGTCTTTATAGAGCTTCTCCAGCCTGCACCACAGCACATTGTCCTCCAGATAGCTATGATTTTCCAGCACAAGGAACCTTAACTGTAAAATCTATTCTCATTTCTCAATATTAAGAGTCACAGCCAGGTGAGGTGGCTCATGCCTGTAATCCCAGCACTCTGGGAGGCCGAGGTGGGAGGATCACTTGAGGTCAAGAGTTCGAAACCAGCCTGGGCAACACAGTGAATCCCCATCTCCGCCAAAAAATACAAAAATTAGCCGGGCATGGTGGCGTGCGCCTGTAGTCCCCAGCTACTCGGGAGGCTGAGGCAGGAAAATTGCTTGAACCCGGGAGGCAGACATTGCAGTGAGCTGAGATCATGCCACTGCACTCCAGCCTGGGTGACAGAGTGAGACTCCATCTCAAAAAAAAAAAAAAAAAAAGGAGTCACAAAAGCTCTATTTTCTTTTAGAGGCAGGGTCTTGCTCTATTGCCCAGGCTGGAGTACAGCGGCACAATCATAGCTCACTACAGCCTCAAACTCCTGGCCTCAAGCAATTCTGCCACCTCAGCCTCCTGAGGAGCTGGGACTATACTTGGCTAATCTTTAAATTTATTTTTTTTGTAGAGACAAAGTCTCACTGTGTTGCCCAGGCTAGTCTCAAACTCCTGCCTCAAGCAGTCCTCGCAATGTGGCCTCCCAAAGTGCTGGCCTTATAGGCTTGAGCTACTGTGCCCAGCCTACAAAAGCAAACCTTACACCAGAATTCAAAATTATATTTGTTATTGGTGGGTCCTATCATCCTGTGGTTGTTAGAAAGTTCTCACTCTGCCTTTCCATAGACACAGTTGTCGGATGCTACCTAACTTCAGCAATATGTTTTTCCAGGACAGCAAGCAGTGTGTTTTCATTTCATCCCACCATGAGGCCATGAGTGGGAAGAAGGTGGGGCTGGGACCTAGTAGACATTCATGAATTTTTCAGCGTTTGAATTCACTTCATTATTCAAGTCCTTTTCTCGGTGTAATACTAATTCTTGATGATATGAAGAAAAGTTTATTTCCAATGTTCTTTTTTGTTTTTCAGGATGTATATACAAAGACGATATCTTTATGGTCGTATATCAATAGCCAGCTAGACGAGTTTTCTAATCCCTTCTTTGTGAATTATGAAAACCACGTGTTATATCCTGTTGCTAGTCTGAGTCATTTGGAATTGTGGGTAAATTATTATGTACGATGGAATCCACGGATGAGACCTCAGGTATCTTTTTGTTTTTCTTTTCATGAATGAGAGAGTTTGCCTTTTTTTCCAAGTAAAGATGGTGGTATGAAAATGTGTTAATGGTAGATATTAACATACCATACTGACCGTCTTCTGCCCTCTCCTGTCAGGGTTCAATCCTTTGCATTCATGTTCCAGGAGGTTCCACCCATACGCCAACTCTGATGATGTTTGCTGGGTTACAGTTAAAAAGTCTTAGCACTTCTGTCTCGTACTGATGAGGTACATAAAATGCTATGTGCTCCAGTGCTTGGCCCTTCTTCTTATAAACTACTTTACCTGCAGATATGGGGGTTGGGGTGGCAGCCCTTTTCCCTGTTTCCACGTAGAGGTGGTAGAAAGGCGTGTGGAAGATGCATCAGGGCTACAGTGTATAGACCCTGTTAGTCCAGCAGTAGGAGGGCAGGTGCTTGAATCACAGAACAGGTGCCCCTTTGAAGAAGGGGGAGAGTTTGCCCCTCCCCACCACACTTTTTCACTGTAATATTTTCTGAGATTGAACAAAATTAGAGAATGGTGCACTACAGGGGCCAGTCCGCCAAGCCTGTGTCCTCTCTTTGTGTTCAGTGGCTGAGCTCTGGCTGCGGGTTCCTGAAGGGCTCCCCACATCCTCCACTGTGTCGTGGTTTGGATTCAGTCCTGCCCCGCACCCCCAGTCTCCACATGGGTGGCCAGGGCATGGTTGGTTCTGGGTGGTGAAGAAGACAGATAGAGGCAGCCTGTACCTCCATGGACAGATAACTGTCTGCTGAGACTTTTTTCTTTTTTATTTATTTATTTTTTGAGACGGAGTCTTGCTCGTCACCCAGGCTGGAGTGCAGTGGCATGAGCTTGGCTCACTGCAACCCCTGCCTCCCAGGCTCAAGTGATTCTCCTGCTCTGGCCTCCCAAGTAGCTGGGATTACAGGTGTACAGCACCATGCCTGGCTAATTTTTGTATTTTTAGTAGAGACGGGATTTCACCATGTTGGCCTGGCTGGTCTCAAACTCCTGACCTCAAGTGATCCGCCCGCCTCGGCCTCCCAAAGTGCTGGGATTATGGGTGTGCACCACTGCGCCAGGCCTGAGATTTTTCTTTTGACTTGAATACTCTCAGAGTTTAACTGCAGTCCATCAGGAGCGTGTACCCAGGGCATTGTTTAATAGCATTGCTCTGTCAGCCAATGATACAGAAATCTGCCTTCCTCTCCATCCTCCTGCTCCCTCATCCCTCTCACCTAGGGTCTTCATGATCTCTAGATCGTCTCCACACTCCACTAGCCATGGGGCAGTCTGAACTGCTCATGTTCCTTTTCAGCTGCCTGGCCCTGGAACCTCAAGGATACGTCACTATAGTACCCCGGCCTGCCAGCTGGAAAGCTCCCTCACTGGTGGCCTTAGCTCCATGCTCCATCTGCTGGGTGCGCCCCGCTGCCCCAGGCCGCTGCTTGGCCACTCCTCACTGGATCCTTTGCCCTCTACCACAGACCAGGCTAGTCATCACTTGCCTCTTCTTTCCTAGATGGCTTTCTATTTTGTTCCACAAAGCTTCCACTGCAAATGCTTTTCTCCTCTGGACCCTCTGAGTTGGCCCTGCCACCCTTACGACCTCAGGAGTGTTTTCCAGAACACTGTGATGGGTGCTCATTCAGCCTAGTACTTGTACGCTGGGCCTGGGGAGTTGGGAAGGAGTCCTGGCTGCAGGGGTGCTCCTGCATCCTAGGGTGCCCTTAGCCACATCTCCCCTGTACACGCCCTGCCCCTGCTTGAAGCAGATCCCCCGTGTGAATGAGCCGCCCTTTGTGTCTTCACATGTATGAAAACAACTAGTGTTTGATCACCTCTTTCAGCTCTTCCCAGAGTCTTCCTTGGATAGGAGAGACTTGCATCTGTGTCCCTCTCCCACTAGCCAGGGAGCTGCTGGGACTTGTGCTGCCCTGGAGCCTTTCCCGTTGAGCGCCCTCTTCCCTGCTCACCTAGTGCTCTGGCGGCCCTATGTTGATTGCCCAAACTAGCGTACTTTGAGAAAGAGAGTGGAGGCGCTGCTAATAATCAGTCTGTAGAATTCCCCAAGACACTCGATACTGCACCGGCCTGTTTGCCTGCCTGCTGCCCCTACACACCACAGGCTTTGAAACCACAGGGCCCTCAGGATCTAGCATGGTGTTTGGCAACTAACGGAGACTCGACAGATGTGACTGAATGAACGCATGAGTGAATGAAGAGGTGCGCCCCTCTGCTGCAGGCCAGTTCCCCCTGCACATCTGCTCTCTCCAGCCCCTTGAACCTGCATTTATTCCTTCTCCCTGTGGTGGCTCTTGCCCCTCAGCCTACAGAGGACTCACACCTGCCCACCCTAAACCTGTCCTGTCCCCACTGGCCTCTCCCTCAGGTCTCCCCTCCACACCCAGTCCTCTGGGATATTGGGACAGCTTTCTACCTACTCTCCCCGCCTCAGTCTGCCTTGTGTCCACGCTCCACCTTCCTCCAGAGAGGCCTTTTGCTCCTGCCTAACAGCCCAGACATCACCTTCTGTGGCTGCCCGATGGCTCCAGCTCCCCACGCCCTCTGCCACTTGGCCACCACCTGAGCTCCTGGCATCAACTTAGCTTCCTTCTTCCTCTTTTTAAAAAAATTTACATTTCTGGCCGGGCACAGTAACTTACGCCTGTAATCCTAGCACTTTGGGAGGCCGAGGTGGGCAGATCACGAGGCAGAAGTTTGAGACCAGCCTGACCAACATGGCAAAACCCTGTCTCTACTAAAAATACAAAAATTAGCCAGGTGTGGTGGTGCACGCCTATAATCCCAGCTACTCAGGAGGCCGAGGCAGAAGAATCGCTTGAACCTGGGAGGCGGAGGTTGTAGTGAGCTGAGATGAGATTGCACCACTGCATTCCAGCCTGGGCGACAGAGTGAGACTCCGTCTCAAAAAAAAAAAAAAAAATTACATTTATCTCTCCCTTTAGACTTTGTGCTCTGCAAGACATGTCCCTGCTTGTTATTAATTGATCTTTAAGTTATTAATCTAATAACTGCTTGTCACTAGATTGAATCCTTCCCCAGATGAGAACTGAGTTTGAAGGCGAGCTGTCTTTGAAATGGTCCATGTGCCCAGGAACTATGAGTGAGCGTGAGAGGTTGCTGGTCCCATTAGCATCTTCTTTCCTGGCTTTCAGCCCAAGAAGTCTATGTGCAGGGTGACCTGCTGCCCTGTCACTGGAGTCCAGGTCCAGCACTGTCCTCCTTTCTGACTTCAGGTGCATTATTTGAGATGCTAAACACAGGGGCCCATCAAGCACTTCTTTCCAGTCAGTGGTCAACTTGGGAACCAAAGCCTACATCCCCCTTCCAGCACCTTCCTCTTCACTGATGTGTATTTCTACTTAGGCATCTTGCTGAGTTATTCTGTCCTGGGTGGCTTCTATTTCATCTATTTTGGCAACAGGGAAGATGGGCTACAGAGTGTCAGAAGTCACTATGTTACTGAAATCACATAGGGTTACCAGGTGATATTCTTGGTGACTCAAAGGCCCGGGTGGTTGGTGGAGTGTCATGAACATTAGCAGAAAATCCAACAGAACCATGCCTGATCTGGAGTGCCTTTGGCTAAACAGAGCCTCTCGATTACTGCAGGAGACCCCCGTACCCCTGCCACGCTCCCCCTTGTGCAGCAGGTTGCAGAGGTGAAGAAATGCTGAACCAGCAGAGAGGGTTAGAGTGGTGTCCCACAGGGGTGCACCCAGGCTCAGATTCTTGCCCGCCGCGTGAGGCAGGTAACAGACCTTTCCTAAAACCTACAAACTGCGCGACAGATCTGTTCCCAGATGTGGTCAGGTTCTCACTCATGTAGGCGAAGCCACCTGCAACATCATGATGATGATGGAAACCACAGCGACAGCGCCTATAACCTGCAGTCCTCTTGTGTGCCAGTGGGTTCTGTACACACATGATCCCAGTTAACGCTCCCAGCAATTCCACGACGTAGAGAATGAGGGAAGGGTCAGAGAAGCAGTGACTTGGTTGAAATCTTGCTGCCCAGTGCGTGTAGTTGTGGAAGGATGCCCCCGACAGGGCCAGATCCCGTCTCTGGCAGTGACTCACCGCCTGATCTGCAGCAGGGTCCTGAGCCTCACGGGGACCTCACAGGGGGTTGCTGAGCAGGAAGTGAATCCATTCCAAGTGCACTGTGCTCGGAGGGTAGTAGGTGTGTGGTCCTGCTTTTTGCATTCTCCCTCCATTGTGCTACACAGAAGAGAGAACCAAAAAAGAGTACATGGGCCGCAGCTTGTTATCCTGTATGCAACAGGCATGTGTCGGACACCTCCTAGGTGTGGGAATGGGGGTGGGGGAGTGCATTGAAGACAGGCAGAGATCAGTGGCTGGTGTGGGTGTCCAGTGACAGGGCCTGAGGAGCCAGGTGAGGCAGAGAGAAGGAGGAAGAGAGGGGAGGGGAGGGAGTGCAGGGGGGTAAACGACAGGGCAGATGCAAGCCTGTTGGGCCTCTTTTCTCTGAGAAGGCAGTGGCTCGATTGGCTGCCGAGAAAGGGGTTCTTTGGGCATCCATCAGAGGATGGCTGGGTGTGGAAGGCCCAGGGGCGTCCTATTTCCTTTGGGACTGTCTTGCCTTATGTCTTGTGATGCTAGTACCCATGCGGCAAACATGACTGGCCCTTAGATGGGAATTTTCTCTAACACAATCCTCTGTTTAAGCCTCCGAGTTTTCTATTCCTTCAGGCATGCCCTTGATTTGTTGCAAATGAAAATATGTGAGTAGGCCAGGCGCGGTGGCTCACGCCTGTAATCCCAGCAGTTTGGGAGGCCAAGGCGGGCAGATCACTTGAGATCAGGAGTTCGAGACTAGCCTGGCCAACATAGTGAAACCTCATCTCTATTAAAAATACAAAAATTAGCCAGACACAGTGGTGGCGGGCGCCTGTAATCCCAGCTGCTCAGGAGGCTGAGGCAGGAGAATCGCTTGAATTCGGGAGGCGGAGGTTGCAGTGAGCTGAGATCGTGCCGCTGCACTCCAGCCTGGGGGAGAGAGTGAGACTGCATTCCGCCTCAAAAAAAAAAAAAAAAAGAAAAAGAAAAGAAATAGGTGAGAAAAGATGCAAACAGCTGGTGAAGAGATGATAGTGGTGCGTTTGAGCAGTGCTGGGTCTGCCCTGGGTGTGTGTCAGTGGTGTATTTCCCTGCGTGTCTTGCTTCTTGCTGAGGTCACATGCCTGTAGATGGATAATGGGAACTTGATTGCAAGGCGTCCCTTGTCTGATCAGAATTAAATGATCCTACAGACAGGAAAACGCATGCCAGATGGGTCCTAAGGGTAAGAGAGGAGCTGGTGCCACCTCCCAGAGGCCTGTGGGATCTGCCTTTGCCATCACACTCCACTCCTGTCCCCTCTGTTCTTCCTGTGGCCTGCCCAAGGGGGTCATTTCTTCTCAGCCCACTGGGTGCTGGTTACTGAGCACCTTGTTATTAGAGGGACCTGGCTGCCCCCTTGCGGTCTCGCTCTCATCCTCCTTCCGTCTCCCCCTTCCCTCCAGGAGGGCTGATCACCATTGGCACACACGGTGGAACAGCTCAGTCTTTGAGGGAGTGGGGGAAGGACCTGGTGAAAGATGAGCCAGAGGGCCAGGCTGGGGCCAGACTGCAGAGGGCCTCGAGGCCCCTCTCAGGGCAGGGGGAAGAAGTCCCTGGAAGGTGTTAAGTGGCCAGTCACATGGCCTGGCTGAGGCTTAGGAGCCAGCCCTGTGGCTGCTGTTTACACATGGGATCAGAGACAAGGGAAGGCTAGGGAGCTCCCCAGACCCCACCCTGTTTCTCCCTCAGCCCAGTCGGTGACCCCTCACTCTGGTCAGCCTTGCCCCCAGCCAAAGAGCTCCAGGTGAGAAAAGCTGGGTCTCGGATGTCTGGCCTCCTAGTAGCTGCTGGGGACAGCTTGTTAGGCGAGTGGGTTGGGTGCTATGACTATAAAATAGCAGGACTGGATGTCCCATATGCCCCGGGAAAACCTTTCTTGTTTATATTCACCCCTGCCCCACAGTTGATGGGTTTAAAAGAGAAAAGCTAATTAAAGGTGAGGCCTTGCGGTGATGCTGAGCAAGGAGGGAGGGGTTGGTCCTTGGGGAGGCTCCCCACCCCCCTGCCGGCACTGCCCGCTCCGGGGGGCTTCTGGCAGATCCTGCTCCGGTTGATGAAAACACAGCTTCAAGTTGTAAAAAGTGCTGATTTAACAGAAGGATTTTCAGTCAGCAGAGCTATTTATAAAAATGCAAAAATACAGAGATAATGGAGATGCTGGAAAGGGGTCTGCGTGGAAACATTTCTGACGCACAGTCTTTAGGACACTGCTCGTGCCGAGTCTGCACACGGCGCCCTCGGTTGATCCATGGTGCGCAGTGTCCCCGTGCCTGCTTGTCTTCTGAGAAACTGTGGGAGCCTCCCCATGGTGCCTTTTCATCCCGGCTCAGCGGCTCGGCCCCCGGAGCTGCAGGGCGGCCTCAGTGGCAGCCAAAGCTCATGGGATGGGGTCCCATTGTCCACCTGACGCGAGATCGGTCAACGCCTCAGGAGACTTTGGCCGCTCCAGGAGTCTGGATGGTGAAAAGCTCCTGAAGCCAACAGCATCTCCATGTGGAAACGCTGTGGTAGGAGGATGGCCTGATAATGCAGCTTTGTCTCTGCTCCCTCCAGATGCCCATTCACCAGAATCTCAAGGAGCTGCTGGCCGTCAGGGCGGAGCTGCAGAAGCGTGTGGAGGGCCTACAGCGGGAGGTGGCCACGCGCGCCGTCTCATCCTCATCTGAGCGGGGCTCCTCGCCCTCCCACTCCGCCACCTCCGTCCACACCTCGGTCTGATGGGCGAGGTCAGCCTGCTGCTCCACTGTCTCCCGGTGGCTCAGGAAAGGGACCTGGCGATCACTGTTATGGCTGTAGCTTGTGATCTTGTCTTTTAGGATTAGGCCCAGGGACCATTTGTGTGGCTAGGTGACAGCTCCCACTGTTGGCAACCGTTACCCTCCTGTCAGCGGTTTCACAGGGGAGCCGTCTGTCACGCCCACCCTGTGAAGCAACTTCTGGCATTCAGGCAGCTTGGGAGAAACTAAGTGAACGGAATGCAGTACTGAGGTTCAAGAAAGCTGTACGCCATTTCTTTCCAACTTAAATCCTTCAGTAACAACAAACACCACTCACTTCAAGATGCATTGCCAGCCCCGTGGCTTCCCTCAGCTCTTGGCCACAACTTGAAAACTGTCTTGAATGAAGTACTTGGGGAGAAGACAGGCCACTGCCCTCTGTTCCACAGTTTTCTTCATGCACGGGGTCCTCCTGTTAACAATTACTGTTGTGTACATATAAGGTATTTTTAGAGAAGAGAAACAGGCCTTTATTTTCCTATGTCCTTTTTTACGTTTAGAATAGTCACCCGAGGGGGGATCAGCTCAACTGTACTGTGGGAGAAATTCTTTTCCAACAAACCTCATGCTCGTTTTTCTGTGGTGCAATTTCAAGGGCAACGTGTTCTGTCCTCACCTCACTCTGGTACTCGCCTCTTGGGGCGGCTCAGCCCATTCATGGGGATGGCACCAAGCGGCCATGCTCAGTCTTCCAGCCCCGCTGAGGGTAAACCGAGGCCTCTGGCAGCTGTGCACAGGTGCTGGCCTCTGGCTCCTTCAAGGAGCACTGCCTGTCACTCGCTCCTGGGCTGTCTAGCCATGTCTCCCACCCCCACTTTACCGCAGCCAGCTGCTGGGATCAAAGCAAGTCTGTTCTTATGTTATTTGCCTGTATGAAATCATTTCTCATTTTATCACAATTCCTTCAACTCAGCTTACTCGCGTGGCTGCCTGTTCATATTTGAAAGCAGCCACCGTGCTGTGGCTTTGGTTTGGAAAAGCATAGCACGCACTTCCCTTGGTTTTCCCTTCCCAGAGCCGACCGCAGCTGGTCAGCCCTCTCTTCCCGCTCCTGAACCTTTACTTACTGACTTTGAGCTCTGTGACTCCGTCGGTTCTCGCAGGAATTAACTAACTTACCAATTGGTTCAATCCACTTGAGCGCCATAGCTCTGAGCTCCTCTGTGTGACATGCCACAGATGACTATTGCACACCTGGGTCCTGCCCCAGCAGGCCATGCCCCTCCCATGTGCCGTGCCTGTTGCTGCAGCTGCCCCCCCACCCCGCCACTGGCTGCAGGAATTCAGCCTTTAGAGGCAGAGGCAGCTGCAGCGGCCCCTGAGGTCAAACCCCAGTGTGACTGCATAGCAGTGTTAGCTGGTTGGTTTCAAACTACTGGATTCCAGGCAAAGGCCTACAGATTGACCTTATTATTTTTGAAAATATGTTAAGGGTTTTTTCGTAGAGAGAGAAAGAATGGATTTTTTTTTAACTGGGAACCTCCTGATTCTTACGGAAAATTATCCTTCTATAAGAAGATACCAGAGAGATTTATTCAAGGTAATTTGATAACCTAAAATCAATTCTCCATTTTTTATCATATGTGGGATTTGTTGCTAAGTCGTGTTCAACAATAGCTTTTATGTTCCTAACATATCTGAAAGCTTATTTATGAATGGATATACTGGATTATTGATATACTGATTTTTTTTTTAATGGGGACATTTGCCATTTTCTTCCCAGAAATATGTAATCCCCTGGCTGACTAGGACTGTTAAACATAGTGTGGACTGGATGATGCCTTCGACAAACCAGAGAAGCCAAGTTGGGGGGAGCTGGTGCCTGGAGTGGGCCCTGTGCACCTCACCTGGCGGAGGCTGGGGGGGGCTCTGTCAGCAGGACCCTAGAGGAGACTCTCATTCGATTTTAAAGAAGCACAACGGGTCATTTTCCTTTGTATGTTCCTAGCGCAGAACTGTTTCTAAAACAACTTGAAGTATAGTTTTGTTATCTAAGCAATTTTTGTTTTAAGTAAGTAAGTGTACTAGAATGCGAAGCCGTTATGGTTCAGGTTTTTAAAAACTGGTACAGTATTGTATTTGTCTCATCTGTTGCACTGTATTTCAATCATCTGTAATTAAAATGATCATATGTTTGCTCCCTGGTCTTTTTTAAGTAAGTAAGTAAGTATCTTAGTAGATTTTTCCTTTGAGGAAAATCGGTAATAAAATAACATGGATTGAATGTTTACTGTGCGTCAAGCACAGTTAATATATGATGATGTAAAGTAACTAACTTTATGTGATTTAATTCATTCAGTAAATTGTAAATGTATCATGAGTCTTAAGTAAGTAAGTAAGTAAGTAAGTAAGTATTTTGGCTGAAACAGGAAATACTGATTGATTGATTGATTGATTGATTGATGATTGTAAAGTCAGAAACGCCCTCAGCTCTAACCTTGAGAAAACGTGGACGACTTGGGGAAAGGTCTGGAGACACCTGAGAGGAGCCAGTCAGGGTGATGAGTCCTTCGCATGCAAGTGCAGTGCTCTCTAAGGCCTCAGACTGCCCCCACCCCAAAGGAAGGGGCGTTCACCTTTTCAGGGCCACGAAGGCCTGGATGAAATCACACCACCCCCTGTGCCCTCTGTGTGTTGTCGGTCTTCTTGTTAAGGGTGTGGGGTCCCTGTCCCTCTCCACACACGTTACTACTGAGTGAGCCAGAGAGCCCGGTATTCACTGGGCACAGAGGATGCCCAGGGGACTGCTTGCCAGCCAGCCTTCCCCAGCAGTGAGACCATAGCAGCTAGCCATGCAGAACTCCTGCACGAGACAGGCATATGGTGGTCTCGGGTTTGAGAGGACCTGATGCTATTATTTCACTAGAAGCCGAGGTTGGCAAAACAAAATGAAAAAACAAACAACCGACCTCCATGTTAAAACCCAGGGTCCACTGCATCTTGTTTGTTTTCATGCTGAAATGCCCTGAACTGAACTGTCGTCTTCTCAATTTGAAGCCAACATGCGAGCTGATGAGAAGGACATACTTCATCCCAAACGGGCCACTCTCCATGAGGCTGCAACAAGTGACGAGGTGCAGGGCTCCTTTCTCACCCAGCTTTCTGGTTGAAAAACAACTGCGCGTTAACTGGAACCTCCACTGGTTACCAGCCTGCTTGGAAGGCGGCAGAGCAGTCGACTTGGGATTTGTGAGCCTGGGACTTTTTGCTGCTTCCAGGCCCCGGACTGCGCAACCCATGTAGCCCGGGAGCGGCCCCGCAGCACTCTGCTCCTGCCTCTGCCCTCTCTAACCCCAGGACATTGGTCGCTCCACATCCCCTGGCCTTAGCTGCTTGTACGGTGAGGAGTCACCCTTGGAAGTCCTGACACTGAGCCAGTCACTGAGGGGTAAATGCAAGAATTCTAAGCTTCTCGAGAAATACCTTCAGCTGGGGGCGGGGCGGGGGGAGGGGGAGGAGGGCAGCTCTGCATCATAAATTACTTACTTTAGGGAAAAGTGGCAACACTTGACCAAGGGCGTGCCTTAACACCATCAGAAGACAAGAATCTGCTCGGTGCCATTTTATTTAATGCAAACACTAGACAGTTTACAAGTCACACCTGGACACAAGCACGTGAACAGATGTACAGGGAATTCTGGAATTTTGAGATCAGTCCCCATTTCTTCCTCAGGGCCCTGGCACTGAACCCCAGCCCCTGTCCCAGAGCCTCCCCTCTGGGTCCCACCCCAGAAGCCACGCACACCTCCTTCCGCCCAGCTTTATCTTTCCTTGAGCTGTGACTTCACCCAGCATGTGCTCAGAGTTGTTACAAATTTTCTCTGCCAAATTAAGCTGATAGAGATTGGCCACTTTCAACCAGTCCTTTCAGTCCACTGTGTCTCCCCTCTCGCTTGGGACAGGCCCATGCTGGCCAGTGCAACCTTCAGATAGACACATGGTGACCAGAGCCCGCCAGGCTTCTGCAGGTGGCAGTGTCGAGCAAGTGTAAGATGTCTGTGGGAAGGAGAAGCTCCTGAAATGAACGTTCTGCAAACAGAAGGCTGAGGGGTCTTCCAGGCATGTCCAGTCACTAGGAGCTGCCACCGGTGGGCTTGAGTGCCAGGCTCTAGGCTTTGTGCAGAAAGCACCCGGGGCGGGGGGCGGTAAGGGAGAGCAAAATGGGTCTCTCTCAACTGCAGTCAGTGCTCCTGGGAACACGGTCTCACAGACAGCACATATTCTACGTCACAGCTCTAGGGTTTCAAGGACTTAGCCATCCGACAGGCCTCACCATAAAGGTAAAGTGGACAACCCCTGAGGTCACGCTGTCCAGGTGGCGACAGGCCACGCATGCCAAAATCCTCCATAGCCACCTCCGGCCCAGCACCAGCCAGAGGGTGGGGCCATCGGTTCTCGACATACTTGGTATCAGGGAGGGACAAGCCTGACAAAGTTCACAATCTGGCCAATGAGTGTGGGAGGCCCTGGAAACAGGCCAATCCTGCAAGCCACCCCACCCTTACTAACTTCCTGAAGCATGGGAAGCTTCTCGAGACCAGGCCAAGGTTTCTTTCCTTCATGGCACCACGCAGAGGCATTTCTGCAGTGCTGCAGGTCCCCCTTCAGCCACACAGTCCAGGTCTGTCAGGGATTAAAGGGCCGAGCAGGAAAAGGGGTGGTAAGGAGCTCAAGGGCACGCACTGGGAATGGCCTCACAAGGCAGCCTTGAGACGCACAGGGCTACAACTGACCACCCTCCACCACAGGCATGTTTGCAAAACGAACACGAGGCATGCGTTAGACAGATGCATGTGGGGGCTGCAGATTCCAGTGGTTTCCTTAAGAAACTGGAGTTGGCTCATCCCACTCAGCAGACAATCCCGCTCAGTGGACAGCCTATGAAACGCATGGGGCCATCATGCAGACCAAAGAGGCCCGTGAGTTTTGTAAGATCCTGCCTGTCTGGTGACTCATATCTGCTTTCAGAAGTGCTTTCTGACACAGCAAACTGACTATCAGTAGACAGGGGCCCTAGACCCTAGCATGTGGTTCTGTCCCGTGAGCCTCTGACAACAGAGCTCACCGGGACAGAACCATATGTGGGCCAAAGGAACATTCCAGGAAACCAGCTCTGCTCCAGCCCAAACCAGGCAGCTCCACGCCAGGTGAGGGGCGAGTCATGGGGTTCCTGTGTTTGCCACGGTGAGCATGGCTCCCCACGCACTCTCCCTCAGAGCAGACAAGTAGGCTGACCACAGAGCTACAAAGTCACCTGCGTTTCACTAAACCAAGCGAATGTCTCTTTCCCCTCTCCTCCCCCGCCGCCCCCAATTACATTTTTAAGCAAACAAGCAGGATTCTGGCTTTGATGCTCGTTCTTGACATCGGTCACTCTTGCTACCAAAACAGGGACACAGGGTGGAGGGTGAGCACCTCTCCCCAACACAGGATAAAACTCATCTCCGGTGCAGAAATGATTGCTAAAGACCTTTCTCATGTCAACCCGAAGGCCACACCCAGCCCCCTATGGAATCAGATGGGAAACAGGCCTACGAATTGCTTCATACTTATCCGGAAGATTCCTAAGCTCTCAAGGCAGGACTATCACGAGATGCATGTTTGTACTTAAATCACTGAAAGCCTCCGCTTGGACCGGCTCTCCGGAAGCCCAGCAACATAAAACCTGGGATGGGGAAGACTGAAGTGAAACCATCATCCTGGGTGCTGCGTGTGTGTGGTGTTACTTGGTGCTGACCGGTTCGCTCCTTGCAGGGGCTCCAAGTGGGTGCAGGCTGAGCCCCCCACCTGCAGCTCCTTGAGGCCACTGTCAGGGGCTGTCTATTGGCAGAAACCTGCCACAATGAGCCACTCCAGTGTGCAGGGGTCACAGTCCCTTGAGTTCAAACTCTTGTCCCCTAAGCATAAATGTCATCAGGCCTCAGCATCATCTTGGCCCCCGCATCCTGTGCTCAGTAAAGCTGGAGGCAGGCTGGCTTTGGGAGTTGGTGGCTCAGCAGCTCCCGAGGCTGGTGCTGGCTTTCTATCAGAGCTGGCTCTTGAATTTCGGCACCAAGTCTCAGCACGCTTGGGGCAGGGCAGAGAAACCAAACTCACAAACACCCAGAGCTCATCCGGGAAACTCAGACCAACAAGGAGCCGATGGCACAGAGCAGCACAGCAGCTGCGGGTCCAAATGAAGGGGTGGGGGGAGCCGGGTGACAAGCGGTGGCACCATTGTGCATGCCTGCAGCTGGACAGGGCCCTCAGATCCGGGCTGGTTCGGGCGGCGGCGGCGGCTCTGCAGACTGCGTGTGCAACGTGGAGTATTTCACTAGGGGAAAAAGAGGCCGTCAGAAGGAATTCTGCTCTGTCTTGCACAGAAGAAGCAAATACAGCAGCAAGCCCGTGCTGGGAACAGAACTGGGTTTCCCTTTGTATCCCCTGGGGGGCCGCTTAGCAACCTTCCCTCCTGAGCCTGGGAGCAGTTTTGGGCCGGTCAAGGGGAGAGAAAGAGAAAGCTGGACAGGCTCTGGAAACAGCTCAGCCTCCATCTCCTCACCTAAAAAATGAGCGTGTTCCTGCCAGCGCTGCTGGAAGGGTTATTTTAAACAAAGGGCTCAACCTAGCACCTGCCCACACAGATGCTGGCCTCGTGGTGGCTAACCGTGGCAAAGCTCATGACAGTGGATGCGACAGCGGAATCCATTTTTCCACATCTGAACCCAGGCCTATTTTAGTTCATTTGGTGCAGCACTGCCACCCGTCTTCAGCAGCATTGTAGGGCACCTGGCTCCCAGTACACACCACACAGGCTGAGCCCCTCCTGGTCTCCCAGGCCCAGTCCCCACGGCTGCTGCACTGTAGTTCCACTGGCAACACTCGCCTGAGCTGTCCTAGTCTCCCTGCCTGCGCCACCAGGCCTCGGCTGCTCCCCGACCCCAGCAAGCCTTTCCGGACCTCCTCATTGGCATCCCGTGGGCACAGGTCATATCTGCCTCGAGCAGTTGGGCACTCTAGGCCTGTGGCCTGAACTTATGCGACCTCAAATTGCCAACAGCTCCTGAATCCAGAAAGTGCTTGATGACCACAGAAGGGGGAGGGAGGGGCACAGGTGTTGACAATAGGGTCTGGGTTTTACCCAAGTTCCCTCTTGCCTGTGGCAATTTGCAAAGGGAAAAGTTCTAGGTCTAGGTGAAAAGCTTCCCCATGGCTCTGTTCAGGATGTAATTGTATTCGCTGATGGGGAGCAGAGGTGCCTGGGGCTCTGGCTCGGACGGACGAATCAAGGGCAGGGGCCGAGCAGCCGCAATGCCCAGAAGTCACAGGCATGGCAGCAGATGGCCCTGGCTGTCACCCCAGCATCTTTGGGCTCCTGAAACTGGGAGGCAGGCTCATCAGGGCAGGCTTTTGCTCTGGCCGGACATTCTAGAAGCAGACGCCTCTGTGCTTCCCTGCTTCTCTAGCACAGTTCTGCTCAGTGCTGGGACCAACTAGGAAAGCGTCAGCAAGGGACAGTGAGTACAAAGTTCTCACCTTGGGGTTCCTCACATACCACGGCTTCCAGGTTCTCTCCCTTCACGTAGTCTGCGTTGAGACCCTCTGCAAAGGGAAAAGGGCAGAGTTAGTGATGCGCACAGGACCTAAGGGTCCCCAATCGTGACTGAGAACTCCTGACCAAGTCCTCTGCAGCTAAAAAAGCAGCACAGCTCCCCTGGGGAACTCAAAACCCTGCACCCTGAGCCACCTGAACATCCTTATCCGGATGAAGACTGTTCGTCCCAGAATTCACTGCCCAGGAGTTCTCATCATCGTCCTCAGAAATAACAACGACATGCAGCGAAGGCTTCCGGCACTCCATCCTCATAGGGCAGCTGCCACCGCGTCAAGACGGCAGCTCCGCCCAGTGGAGGGGGCGCCCGATGGCAGGGCTCAGCACCATCCACAGGTCCGTGTGCGTGTGCGGCCCGGGGGCCAGGGAGCCAATCGCTATGAGTGATTGATGGATGCAGGGCAGGGAGGGGCGGATGGCTGAGTGGGGCTCAGCATGTAGATGCAGCAAAGCCTCCTGCCAACATGCAGCCTCCCAGCAACACCCGCGCGGAGGCCAACTGCTCCTCCCAGCAGCAGGAATAACCGCTGTGTCCACCTGAGCTTGGAGGGGCCAGCCCACCAGCAGCTGCTTCAGTCTAGTTAGTTATCTAGGCTTTCTCTACACCTGTTACAAGAGGGATTCGGGGACTGTACCAAGCATTCCCTCCCGCCAGCAAGGGCCAGTGTTCAAGTTCTTAGAGTGGACCCCACCCCTGCTGCTGCTTGCAGAGAGTCAAGAGTCTGTGTCTCATCCCTGCGTAGCACAGGGACTGGAACCCTTCAGCCCCGGGTCTGTGGGAAAACTGGGGCATGGTTCCAACCGACCGACCGACCGACCAGGCACCAGTGCAAGTCAAGCCATCGTCCTGGGCTACAGGCTCCTTGCCTAAACAAGAATGCCCACCACCTGCCTGCCCCGGTGGCTGCTGGGCTTGAGGTGGGAGCCAAATGGGCCTGTGGCAAATGCGGGCGTTGCTCTTTGGCAGGTGTGGCCGGCCCCACGCAGAGCGGGGCAGGTGATGAGTGCAGTGGAAGCTGCCCCAGGTGCACCTTCCCAGCTGACAGGTGGGGGCCAGGAGACACACCCTGAGCCTCGTGATCACTGCTAGCTGCCAACCCAGTGGGCGCTGGATCGTCTCCTTCCTGTGGGTGGCCCTCTATGTGCTCCCCAGGCATGACCACCAGTGGGCACCTGAGTCCTCACCATGGCACCTCAACTCTCCCCCCACCCCTGCCACATCCAGCCTGGGGACAGAGTGTCTGGCAGGTGGCATCCTCTCACACGCATCAGGGTAAGCTAAAGATGGTCCTGGTTACAGCCACGTCGGTGAGTGCCAGGGAAGCAGGAGGGAGAAGAGCGGCAAGGAAGCGCCAGAGCAGGGGGCGAATGAGGAAGCATCAAGGCTGAAGCAAAAGGAAAGTGAGGAAGGCAAAGCAGCGTTACCTTGACCTGCTGCTGCATCTGAAGGCAAGACACAAAGCTTAGAATCCCTGGAGTAAGAGCGCTCCTGACAGCAAACATGCGGGCTTTCCACACTGAGGGCAAAGGCAAGGGAAGCCAAGGGTCCCCAGCATGGGCCTTTTGGCAGCAGCAGAGGCCGAGAGCACCTGAGGGCCACAGTGGTGGGGGCAGGCCTTCCTCGCAGCCACCTCCTGCTGTCTCCCCAGAGCTTGGTGTTCTGCACCCCGGTCCCCTCTACCGCCATCTCCATGTGGCAGTGGCTGAGACTCAGGGGAAAGAGTGGGGACAGGAGGCCCAACCCCCAGCTTCTCAGTGTTTTCAGCCACCCCACAAACGTCTGCGGGACTCCTCCTGATTCTGGCCCGGGCCAGGTGCCAGGGACATGATGTACACGCAGCCCCGCCACGGAATGGACGGTCCAGAGACTCCTGATCACGGAGGGGGCAAGGCGAGCTGGGAGTCGCACACTCAGAAACCAACCGGCCCAATCCCGCCCCATGAGCACCAGGTGAGGTCAGCAGGGGGCGCTGTAGGACCACAGGCTGGGAGAGGCTGCTCCAGGCCTGCAGGGCGAGAGGAGCTAGGTCAGGACGGGGGACAGCAGAGGCCCGGGATGGGGATGGAAGAGCACCTGGCGCCCTCGGGAAGTGAAAGGCCTCTGGGAAGCCTATGGAGGGGAAAGGATGTGGTTGGGACCAAACCATGAAGGGCTTCCACTGCCAAACTCAGGCTCAGCCAGGACCTTGAGGGCAGCAGGAAGCATAAGGGGGATCCAGGCATTTTAAAACAGGTCCCGCTGGAGGAGCGTGAGGTGTGGAGGAGACTGCACAGGCAAAAAGGTCTATGGAACCTTTTGGACGGGAGATGAGGAGAAGACCTTGGCTCTGGACTGGCAGGGGCCATGGCAATGGTGATAGGGAGGTGTGGCTCAAGAGGAGACCTACACAGGTGGCACAAATCCCAGGACTGGGGAATGCACGGACATGAGGTGGGGGGACAGGAGGACTCCCAGCCTCTAGCTTGGGGAGACAGCCACACAGGAAGGCGCCATGGGAGAAGGAAGGTTGGAGGGGAGGGGAAGGGCACTGAAATCCAAGATGGACACACTGGGCCGACGGGGTTCCTGGGAGCTGCCCCGCTTTGCCTGCTGATCCAATTCGCAAAACCTCACACTGGCCCGTTTTAGGAAATAAGCATGAAAATAATGTATTTTCCTTTCATTTTAATGTCCCACAGAGACAGATACAATCAAGATGTTCACTTTGTGCTTTGGAAATCAACCTATTTTTCTCTCTCTGTTCCTACTGACACCTGAGCAGCCTCAAGCCAGCCTCTGACTTTTTAATTCCAGAGCAGAAGGAAGTCGAGATACCCTTGATGGGGAAACTGAGGGCCCAGCAGGAGAGGGCCCAAGCCGGCCACCCTGTCTGCTCAGCCCAAGAACTCTCCCCATCCATGGCCCTGCCCTTGCCAGGCCGAGTTACAGGGCTGGCTTTTCACCCATGTGCAGAGCCCGGAAGAGAGGCAATGGCAGGTAGCTGGCAAGCGCACGATGCCCGGGACACTGCTCTTACGAGGAACTACAGACCTGTAGTTTAAATAGTTTCTTTTACCCAGCATGCTTTTTAAAGTCTCAAAGCCATCCTTTGGCCTGGCCATCTCACCCAGTTTTGTAATGGGCATGGATGTGAAAACTGTGGACTGTCGCATCTCACCATTAGGCTGACGATGCTATAGTGAAGAATGCCCCGCCCCATGCCAAAAAAGATCTGCGTGTGTCCTCATCCCTGGAACCTGTGAACATGGCCTTATTCAGGAACAGGGTCTTTGCAGGTGTAATTAAGTTAAGGATGTTAAGATGAGGTCATTCTGGATTTAGGATATAAACCGAGATTGGAATGATATGGCCACAAGCCAAGGAACATCCGGAGTCCCCTGGAACTGGGAGAGAATCAACTTCTGTTGTTTTGAGCCACTCAGTTTGTGACTCTCTGTTCTGGCAGCCCCAGTGAACTCATACAGCTTTGGCAAACCTCACCAGTGAGACCTTTTGGCTCCCAGGGCATTAGCCTTTTCGTTCAAAGAGCTCACAACTACTTTGTTGCTACGAACCAAACCTCCTTGCCACCCCAGCCACCTAGAAGGGGAAATCATCAGAAAATCAGGCCAAAATGTATCTGACATGGTGCTTCCAGCCAAATAAGCTCTCCAGCAAAGGTCCACACAGGAGAAGCCCTCTAGCCAGCCACCAGGACCTCCCCTGCCACTGTGGCCTCCATTTTGAGGACATCTTTGGGTGTAGGATTTTTTTTAATAATAAATATTCGTTCAATGACATTTTAGTTACCAACTAGTTTAGTCAGTCATACAGGAAAGATTTTTCTGTCAGTCAGTTCTAACTTTGTCCTACAGATCTGGTTTAATCTAAATCTGGGCTTTTATCTTTTCCCAAGAGGCCACCTTGAGAACCTGGATGCTTATCCAAAATCTTCACTCCTCTCCTGGCAAGCGGGATGCTCTGAGTTGTTCTCCCAAAGTGTCCCTGGCCAGGTCCTTGCTCCCTCTCCTCTAAAACAGGGAGGGGAGACGAGTATGGAGAGCTCCCAGCCCAAAGAGCAGTTTCAAATGAGGATCCCTGGCCGTGGGGAAGGCCATGTGGATTGAGCTGTGTCCCAGAATCCCCATCTCGTTCCAATCCACCTGCCGGAGGGAGAGCCCACGGAGGACAGCCTTGGGGCCTCTTGAACAGAAAACCCCTGTATTAGGCGGCTTCTACTTTTTTGCCAAATGCAATAAGAACACGGTCAGAGATGAAGGGCTGTGACTATGTACCTGGTTGCCCTGGGCTCCTTGTTCCAGGCACAGCCCAGGAGGCTGATGCAAAACTTCCCCCGCCGCGCTAAATGCAACTCGACCCTCTCGCCCAATGTCTCCTTCTAAATATCAGTGTCCAGGCAATTAGAAGGTTGGATTCCCATCTTTTTCACCAGTTAGAGGATTCCTTGATTTTTGATTTGAGGGAAAAGGGTAACTCTAAAAACAATCCATTCCCCAGCCCTGGACTCTGTCTGACCCATTCCCTGCTCATGCCACTCTACAGTCAAGCTTCCGGATCCACGGTGGGTCCGTGGGATCTCAAGCAGGGTGGCCATGAACAGTTTCGCAGGCTGCGCACTGACATGTCAACGTGCTCCTGCAGTACTGCTGTGCCTGCTGTGTGTGTCGCCCTGGTCAAGAATGTTCTACAAGAGTGAAGCAAACAAATATGATGGTCAGATTAATAAACAGTTGGAGACTTCCGTAAAGCATCTTGGGACCCAGGTTAGTTTTCTGGGAAGCTCAGCTCAGGCTAGACTTAAGGGCGGAGGGCCACAGCAAGGGTAGGGAAAGACCCACGTGGGTTGCTTCTAAGCTTCCCATTGCATCAAAGGGGCCGGGGAAGGAGTGGAAAGAGACAAGCTACAGCTGAGTCACATTCTGTCACTTGAACTGAAAATTGCCAGCCTTGAACTGGAGACACGCTCCACTCAGCAAACAGTGACAGAGCATCCATCTGTGCTTACAAAAGGGACAAGCAAGGTCTTGTTCCCTCAACAGCATCCCCACAGGGCTGCCTGATGTGGGGCGCCGATGGGTGAAGACAGGATTCCATTTGTAACTATTCCATTAATCTATGACTTCCAGACTCACAGCTACAGCATGAGATGAAAACTGTCTTTTAAAAACCTAGTAAAGGGTGGTGGGTCGGGGGGGAACCACACCATTCTTTCTCTCACATTCCTACTTCTTTGGAGCAATTAATGATTCCATACAGTTTGTGGCTCGTAGGGGGAAGAGCACCAGGCAGTGACTTCTCACGATGTGACGGGGGCACTGCCAGAGCAATAAGGGCCGTGCTTTGCAAACCCCCAGGAACTGCTGCCCTCTGCTCCTGAGGGAGCCAGCAGCATGGGAGGGAGCTGGTGACGCAGGGCCTCCAAAGGCCCTCATCCGCTTGGCTGAGGTCTGAAGCTATGGGTGCAGTCCAGGGTCCCTCCCATTCTACGTGAAGGAAACATCACAGTGGTCACTGAGCTCTGTCCCCACAGAAATACCCCTGGGAGCTGGGGCCCTGGAAGGTGAAGGTCATCAGGGCCAGCCCCACGCGCTCTTGCAGGGTGGTTTACACTTTAATTCAGCCCAGATCTGTCCCCAGGGATTTCCAAAACTGTTGCCTCCACCCCCGTCCCAGGAAGTCTGCTTGGGAGTGGGTCTCAGGCAGGCTGTGGAGGGATCTGGATCTGTCCTGGCCCCTTTCCCTCCAAAGACCTTGCCAGCTGGTTCCTAGCCACGAGTGGGTGGCTGCACTTACGCTGAATGCTGAAGCAGAACTTCTTCTGCTGGTAGGAGATGTAGCTGGAGACGGCACCGATGAGGGCCATGGCCAGGGCGCTGGCCACCCCGGCAATGGTGCCAGGCTCTGCCACCATGCCTGCGTGAAGAAGGGGGAGAAATGAGGACAGGTGAGGTCAGAGACAAAGCACCGCAGGGAGCAGCCTGGGAGCCTGCTTCTCCTCTAGCACCAAACTACTAGACGCCCCCAACCCCCAAGCCAGCAGGAGAGGGCCATGCCACACAGATCTACGGCATTACAAAGACATGGTGCCCCTTGGATTTGCCTAGGACTTCTCGTTTTCTGTAAGGGCTTCACTTTTGAGGAGCTTGAAAGGGAGACACGGAAATGGTGCAGAGCTCTCTGTGACTGACGCCCTGCAGGCTTCCCACTGGGCTACTTCCCCCGGCACCCCAATCTTCATGCTTCCTTCCTTCAAATGGCTACACCCCTCTATTGGCCTCATGATTATCTATTGGAAACGTTCAGGGGAAGGCCAACTCTGAGACCAGAGTGGGTCAGCACTATGTCTCCTTGTAGCTGCTGTGAAATATCTGAGATGGGCCTCAATCAATTTAGAAAGTTTATTTTGCCAAGGTTAAGGACACACCCATGACACAGCCTCAGGAGGTCCTGACGACACGCGCCAAGGTGGCGGGGGCACAGCTGATTTTATACATTTCGGGAGACATGAGACATCAATCAATATGTGTAAGACGTACATTGGTTTGGTCCAGAAAGGTGGGACAACTCAAAGCAGGGGTAGAGGTGGGGTGCTTCCAGGTCATAGGGAGATAAGAGAAAGAGACAAAAGGTTGCATTCTTTTGAGTCCTTGATCAGCCTTTCACTGAATACACAATTTTGTCTGGCTCAGTGAACCTGCATTTTTACATAAGCAATTGGGCAGAGGAAGCAACCAGAGATGCATTTGTATCAGGGGAGCAGAGGGACGGCTCTCTCTCCCTCTGTAAAGATCAGCTATCAGTTTGTATTGCCAGGGTGAAATTCACAGAACTGTTTTAGGGTAAAGATATTGAGGCCCATAAGAAATTTCTTTGTAGGCAAATTGTGAGGGAGGCGTGCAGCTTTTTCCATCTTTGCAGCTATCTTATTTAGGAGTAGAATGGGAGGCACGTTTGCCTGATGCAGTTTCTAGCTTGACTTTTCCCTTGGCTTAGTGATTTTGGGGTCCTGAGATTCATTTTCCTTTCACATGGCCAACAGGAGCCTCAGGATTCAGAAACCCACCAGATCCAGGGTCGTCATTGCTGCCGTACCGGCCATCACCTGAAGAAAAGACAAAAGCACTTAGTGCCAGCGACCAGCCAGCTCAGGCTCGAGCTCGGGCCTCCGCGAGACGGATGGCAGTGCTGGCCCTTCCAATCCCACCTATGCGACAAGACCCCCACCAGTGGATCACCCGTAGGCTTCTACTGGACTGCAATGAGGCCTGCTTTCTTATGCCTACCACCTGCAAAGCCCAGGCCACCAGGTGGAACTTTTTATTATTAAAATGGCAGCCACCTTGCCCTGAGCATGCCTCACATGCCGGGCTCTTTAGACACAGTATTCTATTTCACCTCTTTGCTACCAGTGGTGCAGCTGCACTAGCGGCCTCACCATAAGTGGGGGGTGGGGTGGGGTGCTGTGCCGGGACAGCCCGACTTTGAGTGCCACCACCACGGGTCTCTGACGTAGCCACTGCCTCAACTATAGCTGAAGTTGCTCTTGGAACATAAACAAATGTAGGCTCACAATCCCTTATCCACTATTTTGAAATTCAAAAGGATCTGAAGTATCACAGAAATGGAGAACAGATGAATGCTGGCAGGGGCTGGTGAGAGTTGGGAGGGAGGGAGTTGGCTATGATTATAAATGAGCAACAGTCAGGAGCCTTGTGGTGACAGACTGTTCTGTATATTGACTATGGTGGTGGTCACACAAATCACACACGATAGTACTGCAGAGAGTTAAATTCACACACGCACACACACACGCACGCACCCCTTCCACAGACAGCTACTCCCTGACAAGCCACTGGTGCCATTTCAGTACCTTAATTAGCGTTGAGTTCACCGTTCATGCCACCCTCTTCTCAGGGCCGAACACTCATTAATGGAGGGAGACTGTGTTCCCAGAGCCCGGGGTTCTCAGGGGAAACCGCCCTGGGATATTGAAGGCAAATGAGCTCCAACATTTCCTTCACCAATCAAAGAGTCAGGAGGAATGGAGGTTCATGGGTTGTAAAAATGTACCACTCTGGCAGGGTGGGGGGGTATTGATAGTTGGGGAGGCTGTGCACATGTGGGGGTGGGGGAAACATGAGAACTCTCTGTACCTTCCTCTCTATTTTTCTGTGAAACTGAAACTGCTCTAAAAAATAAAGCCTATTAAAAGAAAAAGATTCATGTTGGTGTGCTGCACCCATTAACTCATCATTTACATTAGGGACATGTACCCTACAACTTAAAGTATAATAAAAAAAAAAAAATATATATATATATATATATATATAAATAAAAGATTCCTGGGGAAAAATGAGGTTTGTTATGTTCCCACCTAAGGCTGAATCCTTGAGCTCTATGCAGTGTATAAAGATCCCTGATTGGATATGAATGGTTATTAACAAAGAGCACCAGCATTAAAAACAAAACAAAAAAAAAACAAAAAAATACACACATACAATCATTGCTGTTGGAGAAAGCATAACCAACAGGAAGATGGGGGTCACTGTGTGCAGCCAGATCAACAGAGAGGTCCCCTCCGCTATGCTGGAGGTGGCTGTCGTGATGGCATCCTCTGCTAATGTATTCATGTCACTAGACTTCCATTTTTCTGGACTCTGAGTAATTCAACCTATTCTTTCACCTCAAGGCAGAAGGAAACTGAGTGTTCTCAGGTCTCCTTTCCCTTAGGAGTACTTGGCCACAAGGATTCCCAGCAACTTAAATATCACAAGACTGCGGAGCAACAGGCTGTGAGAAGAAACATAAACAGGTCGAACCCCTTCCTAATTTCCCCCCAGGGACAAATGGACAGAAGGGCTGACTCTCCCAGACTTTCAAAAAGACTCAAAGCTCAATAGTTCACAGCTCCAGCAATTCCTATCTGACCATTTGTGATTGTTGGAGGTCCTGTCCTAAAAAGATGACAAAAATGTGCTTCTCTTCCTCCTCAAAAAAAGTGATCCCATCCTGTGGGCAAGTCTTCTCAGATGGGCATGTGAACTGAAACTACTGTGAGGCTAAGAAACATCTGGAAGAAAAAACAGCCAGTCATCTTAGATCCTTCTGTCCTTTCTCACTGCATGAACCTGAAGTCAGCCACACAGGCCACTGGAGTTAACCAAGCCGAGGTCATCGCTTTGAGCCACGCTGGGCTACCGAGCTTCGCTTACTTCCTCTAGGCACAGGCTGAACCCCGTTACTTTACAAAATGCACACTGTGCAAAAGATGGTATTGGTGATGAGTCATGGGCATAAAATAAAATTACCCAACCCAATACCATCCGTGAAGATCAGTTCCCAGTAAAACTAAAGTGGATGAAGGCGTAAAAGCACTATAGAAAAATTTAGGGGTAAGGAATTTCTATTAGCTTGGGGTAAAAAATGACTTTCTAAATATGATCCTAAAGCCAGAAACTGAAAATGGAAAAGATCAGATCAAAAGTGAAAACTTCAGTACTAAAAGTGCAAGCAACAAAAGAAAAACTAAATTGGGCTTTGTCAAAATTAAAAACTTGTGTGCTTCAAAGGACATCATCAAGAAAGTAGAATGACAACCCACAGAATAGGAGAACATATTTGCAAAATATGTATCTGATAAGGAGCTAGTATTGAGAATATATAAAGGACCCCTTCAGCTCAATAATAAAAAGGCAAATCATTCAATCTAAAAATGGGCAAAGGACATGAATAGATGTTTCTCCAAAGAGACATACAAATGGCCAATAAACACATGAAAAGATGCTCAACACTGTTGGTCATTGGGGAAATGCAAACCAAAACCATAATGAGACACCATCTCATATCCACTAGGATAACTATAATCCAAAAAAAGAAAAAGGAAAGAAGACAAGGGGAAGGGAGAGAGGGAGAGAAAGGAAGAAGTGTTGGTAAGGATGTGAAGAAATTGGAACCCCTAAACATTGCTAGCAGGCATGTAAAATGGTGCAGCTGCTATGGAAAACAGTTTGATTGCTCCTTAAGAAGTTAAACATGGAGTTACAACATGACTAACAATTCCATTTCTAGATATATACCCGAGGTAACTGAAAACATATGTCCACATAAAAATGTGCACACACATGTTCATCGCAGTATTCATAAAAGCTATAAACAACCCAAAGGTTCATCAACTGATGAATGAATGAATAAAATGTTTATGGAATATATAAGGGCTTCCTAATCTCTAATGTAAAAGGAGTCCTTAAAATATATGAGAAAATATGCAGAAATATGCAGAAATGAGAAAATATGCAGACCCCAGTAAAAAAAAAAAGCGGGCAAAGAACACAAACAGGCAATTCACAAAATATTTTAAGAGTGTCTAATAAGACATTGAAAAAGTGTTTCACTTCCTTTTAGATTCAAAGAAATGCATATTTAAACAGGATAGCATTTTGCTCTGAACAAATCTGCAAAGATAACAAAACTATAATGCCCAGTGGAGGTGATAATTTGAGAAAACAGGCACCTGTTTACTTACTAGTGGTGGAAATGGAGGTTGGCACAACCTTAATGGAATATCATTCAGCAGTACCACTCAAAGTGTCGCATCTTTAAAAGTGTCTGCTTTCTGTACCCAGCCATTTGACTTCTGGGAAGTTATCTGACTAGGGTTGTGCACATTTGGCTAAGACAATGTTCATCACAGCACTGTGCAGAGCAGCAAAAAGCTGAGGGGAATCTCTGTACAAAAATAGGGTCCTGGTGAAATAAATTATGGTATATCATAATATAATGTAACCACTGACACGGTATTTTAGAAGACCCTTTAATGACAGAGAATGATATTCAGTGTATTATTGAATGAAAAAAATGGTTTCAGGATAGCATGATCCCATTTTTATTTTTTTAAAAATCACAAATATTTACAAATATATACTTGTGCATAGAAAAAGTACTCCGAGCACGCAGTCAGAAATATTACTAGTGATTCTTCCTGGATCATGAAACAACAAACAAGTCTTTTTCATGTAATTTGTAAGAAGTTTTAACTCTGCAAGCCCCATGCAAATCTATCCACCCCTCTTTCCCACAGCTGGAGAGAGAGCTCAAAGAGGCAATTTCACAGGTCACTGGCGGACTCTTCAGTTTCAGTATGTTTTGTATTCCCACCTGCCTTCTGAGTTCACAATTATATGCCAAAGAGACTACAGTAGCTTTCTAGTAGACCAGAAGTCTCCCTGCACAGTGTATCACATGCTGCAATTTGCTTTGAGTATAGATACCTATGCATATAAGTAGCTGTATGGACTGCCATAACTCTAGGGACTGCTGCCGTTGCTATAGCCACACCATAGCAATAGGGACCGTCACTGTAGCAATAGTGACCACTGCCATAGCAGGTCTCATAGCTATAGGAACCTCTCTAGCTATAGCAACCACCATAGCTACAGAGGCCCTGTAGAAAGGAGGCATGACCTCACTGAGAAAGTTGTGAATAAGCCCTGCGATCAAAGGAAGCGTCAGACCCTCAGCATCTCACAGACAAAAGACAATGCTATACGCATACATGGCAGCCTTGATTCCTACGTAGCCATACATCTGGGGGAGGCGGGGATGCACCACACGGAGCTGCCCTTCTCTGACAGCAGCACAACCTGGGCTCACCGTGAGTGCCTGACCCACCTGGTTGCCAAGGGCATGGAGAGTAACGTAATGGTAGGAAGATTATAACTGCTGGGGGAGATGTTCAAGTATTTAAAGACATCTATAAGTGTTCTAGACTCTTCTAATAGACATAGCTAGGGCTTTTAGATATTTTAGAAATGTATTTTCATTATCTAAAAAAATGGCCAAAGTGCAAAATAAAAACAACTTTTAAAAAAATGAATAAACAAAGAGAAGAAAATCTTGCATCAAATACCCCATAGTTACCAAGTCAAACTGAACTGAAAAATCTACCAAAACATGGCTGCCTATGCTAGCCACTGGGGAGGGCACTCCTCACTGTTCCAGGAAGTCTCCAAGGCCCAGATTTTATCCATCCCCCACCACAGGGATGGGAATGCCCTCCCTCTAGGTAATATAATGGGTATCCCCTTCCAATCTGATACAGACCCTTAAAACTCTCCTTGTCTTATGTCAAGCTCCTGAGATACCAGCAAGGTGGTCATCTAGGACAAAAGCCATGTTCACGCCGTGTTCCCAGGTACGTGTTTGGGGAAGGGGAGTCTAAGGGAGCAAGTGGGTCTCTTCACATCACAGAACACCAGAGCTGGGGAGCTATTCCTCACATCTGAAACATCCTATTTCTTTACATGTTATGAAAGCTGAAATGAATGTGGAAATAGGTCCAAAGAAGAGAACTCTCAGGTATCTCTTCTTAGAACTAATCCCATCACAAAGACCCCACCTTCAAGACCTCACGTCACCCAAAGGCCCTACCCTCCAAATAACATCCTATTGGGGGTTAGGGTTTCAACACATGAATTTTCAGGAGACACAAACATTTAGTCCATAACAGAAAGGGATCATGAGAGGGCCCAGATACTTGAAGACAATGACTGTAAACACAGTGAAAATGGAAGAGAAATGTTTTCTTCAAAAACCCAAGAGGGTAAATGGATAGATAAAATGTGGTCTAGCCACACAATGGAATATTCAGCCATAAAAAGGAAGGAAATGCTGGTGCGTGCTACAACACAGATGAACTTTGACACTGTGCTGAACGATGAGAACACATGGACACAGGGAGGGGAATATCACACACCGGGGCCTGTCGGGGGGTAGGGGGGTAGGGGGCTTGGGGAGGGATAGCATTAGGAGAAACACCTAATGTACGTGACAGGTTGATGGGTGCAGCAAACCACCATGGCACGTGTATAACTATGTAACAAACCTGCACGTTCTGCACATGTATCCCAGAACTTAAAGTATATCTCTCTCTCTATATATATAAAACCGGGATCAACAGGCTACATTTGGAGGGAACTAATACTCAAAGTTACAGTCAACCAACTGATCATAGTCAGTACCGTCCCCTTTAACCCTGTGAACTACAAGTGAGGGCGTTCACGCTTCACACTTGGGGACATCTCCAGATAGCCTCTGTATGCAACCCAGACACATGGGTAAGAGAATGCCTGTATGTCTTTAGAAGGAGGGTTTTTAGTCTTGGCTCAGTGTTTAAGAACTGCATGCTTTGGCCTTTAAAAAAATGCCCTCTTGGTGTAAAAATGTGCCCAATTTGATTCGAACATTTTCAAAATAATTTTTTTCTGATTAAGAAAAATGAGGCAGTGTTTCAGCCCTGTGAACCCACAGTAGTTATGAACAAGCAGTGTATAGCTGAGTGAGCCCAGCATATGGGCTGCTAAACGCAGGAGGTGGTGATCCAAAAAAAGGAATCAGTACAGTGAAATGCTGGGTGCTGCAAAGCAAGTTCCACCTTTAGACCCGGAAGGAGAAGCTCAGGTAGTGCTCCTCTCCTTCTGGTGTTCTCTGCAGTGCATGGAGGGTTCGCACTTGGAGCAGACACAAGGCTCACCGTGAAGACATCCATTTCGTACCACCCAAGGCTCCAAGTGGCACCCTTGAAAGAGCTGTCACGAAAACTCTAGCTTTGAGCAGACTCAGAAGTTTGGGAAAGGTCTGCAGATAACGAAGGAGAGGGTAAAACACCTAGCCCGAGCAACGGAGTAGACACTGCTTAGGGGATCCTTAAGGAGCACAGAAGGAAGACTCTCCTTCTGGGGATAGGGAGAAAGGAAAGCAGCAAATGGCCTCTTTCCCCAGCCAGCAGTGCCCTTGCCCCCATTTGGTTCCTTGTGTTAATTTATCAAGAGTCTTCTGACCAACAGGCCAGTGAGGGTGATCCGGGAGTGCTAATAACACCCCTCCCCGCTTCTCCTCCCCTCCGGGTTCTTTACCAACTGAGAACAGATGTAAGGAGCCAGAGAAAGATCAAAGGTAAGGCATCTGCTTGATGAAGAGGCTAAAGTACAGCAGCACCCTCAAGAGCAGGGCTTCTGTGTACTAGTTAGAGGACATGACCTGAGGCCACACAGAAGCTACGTGTTACTTCTCTCCCTTTTCCCTTCTCACAAAAATCATCCCAGAGCTCATGTGGGGGAAAGCTGGGCTTATAGAGCAGACACAGGGTTCACCTACTATGAGAGTGCACACTTCCCCAGCTAGCGATGTGGTGGGCCCTGGCTCTCGCACTCCTTTGAGGTTCCAGGAGAAAGCAGCAGGTCATGCCATGATCCCACCAGTAATGTGGCCCAGAGGATCAGCAGGCTCACCCTGGCTTCGCCAATCAAAAGTATCACTCTAGCCTTCACAGGGAGGTGTGACAGAGAAGGCAGAGAGCAAAGCTGGGTGTTTGCTCCACAGTCCTCATGCCAGCAAACCTGCATGGAGGTGTCAGGGATACACAGGAAGCCCAGTCTAGCAGAAGCAAAAAAGATAAACACCACCCGCTGTGGTTCAGAATGACATGTGCTATCCTGTACCAGCGGAGTGACAGAAGCTCTAGGAGAGCCCAGGGGCAGGAGATGGAAGCTGTGCTGCAGGGCGGAGAGTGGGCAGGGAGACAGGACCACAGATGGGGGCAGCCTCCTGAGAGGAGGGGATCTCCAGCATGGGTAACTTAGCACTTGCTTGAGGATGACTGGGAATTTACATGGTGGAAGGCAAGCAGTTTAGACCGAGGAATGTCATCTGCAGGCACTGGCATATGTACCTACTGGCCTTTCTCCATGTTTGAAGATCACAGGAACCTGGCGGTCTAGGGCAGAAAGAACATGTCAGCAGACTAAGGGGCTTGAACTTATCTCGTAAGCAGTGGGGAACCACTAAAGAGGCTTTTGTTGTTGTTCCTGCTTCTTTAATTTTTTTCACCAACATCTAATTAAGAAAAATTTCAAACATACAAAAAAGTTTAAAACTTCTTGCAGTGAACACCCAAATTCCCAGCACGCAGACCTGTAATTAACATTTTGCATCATTCACTTTATCACGTCTGCCATCCCTCTTGTCAATCGATCTTATTTTTGTAACACATGTCAAAGTTACAGACATCAGTATCCTTCAACCTATGGTTACCTAGCATTTTACATTTGCTTACGATTCCTTTTTTAAGGTAAAACTTACATACAGTGAAACACATAAATCTTCCACGTACCAGTGGATAACTTTTGACAGATGCACACAACTATGAAACCGAGACCCCTATCAAGACACAGAGCATAACCATCATGCCAGAAAGTGACACCCAGTTGATCTTATTCACACACCTAACCCCCGCAGCCACAGATCTCATTTCTATCATTATAGCTTAGTTTTGGCTGTAGTGGAACTTCATATAATTGGGCTCAAATAATACGTACTCTTTTTTCATTAGCCTCTTTTACTCAGCATATTGTTTTTGACATTTATCCATGCTGTCGTATCAGTAACTCATCCCATTGCAATAAACATATAAATGTATCACAGTTTGTCGATCAATTCTCCTATTGATACCTGGGTGTTTCCAAGTTTTGTTTGTGTTTTCTGCTATCGTAGATCAAGCAATGAGCATTCTTTTATAAGTCTTTTGTTTTGTTGTTGGAAGCGGGCAGAACATAGCTCTCATTTCTCTTGAATAGGGAATGAAATTGCTGGGTCGCTAGGTAGGTCTATGTTCAGCTTTAGAAGAAACTTGACATCCCTACCAATGATGTATGAGAACTGCAGTCACTCCACATCTTCATCAACATTTGATACTACCTTTTAAATTTTAGTTATTCTGGAGGATGTGTTGTGGTATCTCATGGTGGTTTGATTTGTATTTCCCCAAAGAATAATGATTTTGGTTTTTTTTTTTAAAAAATTTTAGGTTCAGGGGTACATGTGCAGGTTTGTTATACAGGTAAATTGTGTGTCATGGGGATTTGTTGTACAGATTATTTCATCGCCTAGGTATTAAGCCTAGTATTCATTAGTTATTTTTCCCGATCCTTTCCCTCCTCCCACCCTCCACCCCTTGATAGGCCCCAGAGTGTGTTGTTCCCCTCTATGCGTCTATGTGTTCTCATCATTTAGCTCCCACTTATAAGTGAGAACATGTGGTATCTGGTTTTCTGTTCCTGAGTTAGTTTGCTTAGGATAATGGCCTCCAGCTCCATCTAAGTTGTTGCAAAGGACGTGATCTCATTTTTTAAGGCTGTGTAGTATTTCCTGGTATATATGTACCACATTTTCTTCATCTAGTCCTCTGTTGATGGGCACTTAGGTTGATTCCGTGTCTTTGCTACTGTGAATAGTGCTGCACTGAACATACACATGCATGTGTCTTTATGATAGAGCAATTTGTGTTTGGGTATATACTAAATAATGGCATTGCTGGCTCAAATGGTAATTCTGTTTTAAGTTCTTTGAGAAATCACCAAACTTTTTTCAACGCTGGCTGAACTAATTTACATTCCCATCAGCAGTGCATAAATGTTCCCCTTTCTCCACAACCTCGTCAGCATTTATTTTTTGACTTTTTGATAACAGCCATTCTGACTGGTGTGAGAAGGTATCTCATTGTGGTTTTGATTTGCATTTCTCTAATGATTAGTGATGTTAAGCTTTTTTTCATATGCTTGTTGGCCGCATGTATGTCTTCTTTTGAGAAAAGTCTGTTCATGTCTTTTGCCCGCTTTTTAATGGGATGGTTTGTTTTTTGCTAGTAAATTTGTTTAAGTTCCTTATAGATTCTGGATATTAGACCTTTGTTGGATGCATAGTTTGCAAATATTTTCTCACATTCTATAGGTTGTCTGTTTACTCTGTTGATAGTTTCTTTTGCTGTGCAGAAGCTCTTTAGTTTGATGAGGTCCCATGTGTGGATTTTTGTTTTTGTTGCAATTGTTTTTGGTGTCTTTGTCATGAAGACTTTGCCTTCTGACAAAGGTCCTATGTCCAGAATAGTATTGCCTAGCTTGTCTTCAGGGTTTTCATAGATTTGGGTTTTACATTTAAGTCTTTAATCCATCTTGAGTTGATTTTTGCATATGGCAAAAAGGTAGGGGTCCAGCTTCAATCTTCTGCATATGGCCAGCCAGTTATCCCAGCACCATTTATTGAATAAAGAGTCCTAACCAACCCAAATGTCCATCAATGATAGACTGGATTAAGAAAATGTGACACACATACACCATGAAATACTATGCAGCCATAAAAAAGGATGAGTTCATGTCCTTTGCAGGGACATGGATAAAGTTGGAAACCATCATTCTGAGCAAACTATCACAAAGGCAGAAAACCAAACACCGCATGTTCTCACTCATAGGTGGGAACTGAACAATGAGAACACTTGGACACAGGGTGGGGAACATCACACACTGGGACCTGTCGTGGGATTGGGGGAGGGGGGAGGGATAGCACTAGGAGATATACCTAATGTAAATGACGAGTTAATGGGTACAGCAAACCAACATGGCACATGTATACATATGAAACAAACCCGCACGTTGTGTACATGTACCCTAGAACTTAAAGTATATATATATATATATATATATATATATATATATATAAAAGGAGTCCTTTCCCCACTGCTTGTTTTGTCAATTTTGTTGAAGATCAGATGGCTGCAGGTCTGAGGCATTTTTTGTATGTTCTCTATTCTGTTCCACTGGTCTATGTGTCTGTTCTTGTACCAGTACCATGCTGTTTTGGTTACTGTAGCAGGACACAATACAAAAAGAAAACTTCAGGCTGATATCATTGATGAACATAGATGCAAAAATCCTCAACAAAATACCAGCAAATTGAATCCAGCAGCATATCAAAAAGCTAATCCAACACGATCAAGTAGACTTTATCCCTAGGATGCAAGATTGGTTCAACACACATAAATTATTTTGAACATCATGTAACTTCTTTTGTGATGTGTCTGTTCAAATCCTATGCTCATTTTTTAATTGGATTGTTTGTCTTTTCATTGTTACACAGTATTTTTTAAACAGAGGAATGACAGGGTCACATTCATGTTCTTGATGGTTCTCTCTTGCGGCTGCAAGGAGGACAAGCTGGAGCAAAGATACCAGTTAAGCGGTTAAGGTCAACACTCTTAACCGCTTAGCTGGTCATCCCAAGGGAGGGTGAAGATGGCCTGGGCTTGAGGGGAGATAAAGAGAAAGAATAATCTAGATTCAAAAGATACCAGGGAAGAGACTTCTGGCATGAGACAGTAAGGAGATCAACAAATCCTCTCCTCAAAAAGCAACTATAAACCTGGACAAAAAGTTAGTCATTTCAGGAAAGTCATTTGATTTCAGTAAAAACAGCTTGAGTCCACGGCATTTTTACCCCAGGCTGCTCTCATTTTTCCCTTCCCTAAGTCTGTCGGCAGACTGTTCAACCGGAGCAAAAACCAGCAATAGTGTATGACTGCTAGGTCATATGGCAAGTCTATGTTGAACTTTACAATAAACTGTCAAGCTCTCTTCCAAGGTGGCCGTACCATTTTGCATTCTCACAAACAATGAATGAGCGTTCTTGTTGCTCTGCATCCTCATCAGCAATTGATATTATCAGCTTTTTGGATTTTAGACATTCTAACAGGTGCATAGTGGTATCTTGTTTTCATTTGTATTTCCCTAGTGAGAAATGACGTTGAATATCTTATTTTCCTATTTTATATTCTTCTTTGGTGAAGTCTCTTCATATTTTTTACCCATTTTAAAATTGGGGTTGAGTTCTTATTGTTGACTTTTATGAATTCTTTTTTTCTTTTTTTTTTTTTTTTGAGACAGAGTCTTGCTCTGTCACCCAGGCTGGAGTGCAGTGGTGTGATCTCAGCTCACTGCAACTTCCACCTCCCAGGTTCAAGCGATTCTCCTGCCTCAGCCTCCCGAGTAGCTGGGACTACAGGCACGTGCTACCATGCCCAGCTAATTTTTTGTATTTTTAGTAGAGACAGGGTTTCACCGTGTTAGCCAGGATGGTCTCGATCCCCTGACCTCGTGATCCACCCGCGTCGGCCTCCAGAAGTGCTGGGATTACAGGCGTGAGCCACCACGCCCGGCCTATGAATTCTTTATATCATCTGAATACAAGTCCTTTATCAGGTATATGATTTTGCAAATATTTTCTCCAAATCTGTGGCTTGTCTTTTTCTTTTCTTCATAGTGTTGTTCATAGAACAAAAGTATAAAGTATTATGTGTATGTCTACACAGAAACCTGTATGTAATGTTTAAAAATGTTTATAGCTGGGCGCAACGGCTCCCACGTGTATCCCAGCATATTGGGAGGCCAAGGCAGAAGAATCACCTGAGCCCAGGAGCTCGAGACCACCCTGGGCAACATAGCAAGACCCCATCCCTACAAAAATTTTAAAAGTTAGTCAAGTATGGTGGTGCGTATCTATGGTCCCAGATACTCAGGAGGCTGAGGTGGGAGGATTGCTTGAGCTCAGGAGGTCAATGCTTCAGTGAACTGTGTTTGCATTACTGCACTCCAGGCTAGGCAACAGAGTGAGATCCTATCTCAAAAAAAAGTTTTATTTATAGCAGTTTTATTCATATTCACTCCAGACTGGAAGCAACCAAGATGTCCTTCAGCAGGTGAATGGATAAACAAAGTGGTACATCCATACAATGGGATATTGTTCAATGCTAAAAAGAACAAACTACCAAGCTATGAAAAAACATGAAAAAACTTTAAATGCATATTGCTAAGTGAAAGAAGCTAGTCTGAAAAGCCTATATACTGTATGGCTCCAATTCTATGGCATCCTGGATAAGGTAAAACCACAGAGAAGTAAACAAATCAGTGGTTGCGCTAATAGAAACTAGACTAGGGTTGAGGGAAGGGGGAGTGGCTGACTATCAAGGGCATGTACAGAAGTCCTTGCATGGTGAAGAAACTGTTCTGTATGGTACTTGGGTGGTGGACATGTGACTCTATGCATTTGCCAAAACCCACAGAACTATATGTTACAAAGAGTGAACTTTAATGCCTACAAGCAGAAGAACAAAACATCAACCAGGTGGGTGGGGGACTCCCAGGATGGAATGCAGACTATGACAAATGAATCTAACTCCATTATAAATGGGTGGCATTACTGTACTGAATGGATGAGGAAGGTAAAGGAACCGACCTAAGTAACTTTGAAAAACAGTATTTTGACTGGGAACTGTAAGGTAAAGACAAAAGAAACTGAACATAAACACTGGACTCTAGTTGGTAAAGTTGTTTCTCCTGGGGGTATGAGTTAGCAATTCTGATGCTCTATACGTGTATACCTGAATTGAGTAAGACAGTAAATGAATGACGGGTAGTAGGAGCTAGGTGTCTCACTGTCAGAGAGGAAAGTTATAGGTAAGTGAGAAAGGAAGATCGAAATAATCCTTCTGGCACTGGATTACAGTTGGAGATATAAGTATGAAGTCATGTTTAGGTTATATACCTGCTGACGGTTAAAAGAAATTATTTTGGATATGTGTATATATATGGTGTTATGTACTGAACATTTGTATCCCGTCTCTCAAGGTCATATGTTGAAGTCCTAACCTCCAATGTGATGATATTAGGAGGTGGGGTCTTTGGGAGTTAATTAGGTAATGAAGGTCGACCCCTCATGATAGGATTAGAACCCTTATAAGAAGAGACACCAGAGCTTTCTCCCCACTCTGTCCTCTCCACCAATCAGGGACACAACAAGAAGATAGCCATCTCCAAAAGAGGATGCAGATCCTCACTGGATACTGTATCTATCCATGACTTGGTCTTGGACTTCCCAGCCTCTAGAACTGTGAGAAACAAATGTCTGTTGCTTAATTATCACCCAGTCTGTGGTAATTTGTTATAGCAGCCTGAAGTAAGACACATGGGTTAGTATATATACATATATTTCCTATTTCCTATCTCTGTCTGCTTAGACAGTCTAGAAGTAGCGATATACCACTAAGCAATGAATACTCAGATCTTGGTTTCTAATACCATTCTCTTTCCCAGTGAAAGAGAATGACATACAGAATTGGACACCAAGGAAATAAATCCAAGAGGCAGCAGTGTTCAGAAAGAAGCAGTGAATGAGACTCATGAATGAGACCAGTCAATGAGTGAGAAAGGGCCCAGGAGGAAAGAATGTTAAGGAGAAGGTGATCATCAAAGTCAAATGCTACAGAGGCCACACAGGACAGAGGGCTGTGACCATCAGGAAGCCATTGGGAACCACAGTGGGAGTAGGGGCTTGCATACTCTAGGGTATACATGGCAGGGGGGCCATGAGGAGTTGAAACATTGGCCTCAAATTTCTCAAAGTGCTATGGAAAGCAGTCTGTTGGCAGAAATGGGGGACAATCAGAGTCCTGCCCAGGCTGGGCAGGAAGGAAATAAGGGCGGAGGAGGAGGGCTTATAGGCCATCACCTTCTTAGAGAAAGGCAATAGGACCTGTTGACAAAAGACTGTCATCGTTACCTATAGGCAAAATGTGGGGCTTCTACAGGGTAAGAGGTCTTCCTGAGAAAAAAAATCCATAACAAATAATGTATTGTTTCAAAAATACACTCCAAAATGTAGCTGAATCTATGTGCCTAAGACCCAAGCCTGAAAAATGCATTAATTAGGATTCTTTTCATGCTGAAGATCATAATTTATTGAAATGTGATGTTTTACCTTTGCTCACAGCATTAGCATATTTTTGTGTAAAGGACAGTGTCTGAGAATTCCATGGTGTGCTTATCATAACCATGTTTCAGTTTCACACTTGTCCTTTTTTCCACGACCCCCTTTATCTTCTTTTCCTGACACCTATAATGGCAGAGGGTATAACTTAAGCTAACAATTGATTATTCTTTACAAGAGAAGTTCAAATATGAGCCTAATTAAAGAATTCCTGAACACTTCTTCCTTGCTAAAACATGCACTTTTAATAAGGAAAAGCCCCTGACATGCCATTCAGACTTTCATTCATGTGTGTGCTTACACGTGTGCCTACTGCTCTCATTTCACCATCTGGAAATACCACTTATCACCCAGAAGTAATTGGCTAATTTGCTGGATTTGCCCTTTAAATGTTCCATGTTATCCTGACACCTGTAGGTTTCATTTAGAGGCTTTTTGTGCTTTTTAGTAGAGATGACTCTGTCTGGAAAGGTGTTTCGAAGGATAAATTTAACCATGGTATCCTTTAATCGGAAGAGAACACTATTCCCATACGAAAGGCACACCGTTCTTGCAAGAAAAGAGCAAACACTAGTAACCACAGCCAAGACTGTGGGGAGTGTATCAGAGTTACAACCAGATACACCCATAACTTGTCACACTTATAACCGGGTGTAACAGCAATTTGCCATTGCAACAGGTTACAACCAGGGTTACCACAATTTACCATCATAACATGTTGCTATCACAACAGATTATAATCACAAGTTACAATCACGACAGGTTACAACCACAAGTTACAATCACTAGCCTGCCTTGCCACATCAACAAATCTGGCTAATATTCCCTCCAGACTTGATGTATACTATGATAAAAGGTTGAAATCTTTGGTAGTTTGGGGAATTAACACTATCTGGCCTTGGGGAGGACATGACTATTCTGGGGTAACATGAGGGAACTTCTTTGTGGCGATGGAACAGTTCTGCCTGCTAATTATGGTAATGGTTACTCAAATCTACACACATAACATTTTATAGACCTACCCATACTCGCTCACACACGCATATCTGAATGCATGCAAAATCTGATGAAATCTGAACAAGGTCTGTAGCTGACTTAACAGTACTGTACTAATGTTGACTTCCTGGTTTTGACAATGACTATGGTTATATAAGGAGAAGCTAGGTGAAGTATACACATGAACTCTCTTGAACTATTTTTACAACTTCTTGTGAGAACCATTTCAAAATAAAAAGGTATTTTAAAAGATATCTGACTTGCTATGGGTCTCTTAAAAAAAATGCTCGTCATGATGACTTTGCTCCTCCCATCCCAAGAGTGAGTGAGTCTCTTGAGGTTGAGAGGGCTGCTTTCAGAGTCCACTGGCCCCCAGTTATTATCATTGGTGGTGTTGCCTTGGCAAATAGGCTTCAGCCAGCATGAAACGTTAACCTATCAGCACTGCTGCTTAAGGAACATCAGGGGAAATGTGGGGCTTTTCCAAGATGGCTTATAAATCCCCCCCTTGAACTGCATGGCTCACATCATTCCAAATGAACCCCAACTGGCAGGCTGGGATGTCTGGGAACTACCACTCATTTCCCAGAGGCTCAATTAATCTGGTTGCTGCATAATCACCTTTTTCACCAGAATAAGGGTTGTGTTGGCACAAATCAATGCTCCTACCTTTACCCTTGTCAGGTTTGTATTCTCCACCCCCTACTATGTCTTCAAGATCCTTGTCTGAAAAACCTGGAGAAAATAAAACATACATTTCAACAACAAGAAAAAAAAATCAGCAACAAGAAACTTGTGCTAATGTTGCCCAAAATTCAGAAAATGATTCCCAGTTCCACTTAAGAATGCCCTTCATGAAATTCTAAGAGGTCCCCCCAGACCCCCTCCCACTGGTGTACATGTCCCGCATAATGTCCCACCACTCTGAGTGTGAGTGGAACCATGGATAGGATGGCTATATCACTCCCGTGATTAGGTTAGATTACATGCCAAAGGTGAAGGGATTTTGCAGAGGTGATTAAGGTACCAAATCAATTTGACTTTGCATTCATCAAAAAGGAGATTATCCTAGATGGGCATGACTTAATCAGGTGACATCCTCAAAAGCAGGTTCAGGCCTTCTCTGAGCTCAGACATGAGAAGCAACAGAGTCGGTCGGTCTCTCCTCCTTTCTCCCCCTACCAACCCGTCTGTTGGTCATTCTCCTGCTAGTCTTGAAGCAGCAAGCAGTCATTATTCCTATAGCTGCAAGGGAATGTACTGTCAACAAGCAATTGAGCTTGGAAGGGAACCCAACTTCAGACGAGACCCCAGCCCTCACCAACACCTTGACTGCAGCTATATGAGCTCCTGAGCAGAAAACTCAGCTTAGCTGTTCCTCAACTCCGGACCAAAGGAAACAGTGGGATAATAAATGGGTGTTGCCTTAACTCAGAGTTTCTGATTTTTGTTATGCAGCAAGGAAACTGACACAAGGAAGCAGAAAATTTATGAACGGGTAAAAGGTCCACTGAAAGGACAAGATAGTCCCACGGAACCAAGTGTGGAAAGTTCACTGATAAGAGTTTCACACTCCACACTACGCTTAACCTGTAACAAACAACCGCTTTTGTTGGGGCCAAGTTTTGGTGTCCTATCCGAGAAGATTATCCACAAGGATCTGAAAAGTCTGTGAAAATATTCCTCCCTTTCCCCACTGCCTATGGGTGTGAGGCCAGATTTCCTTCATATACTTCAACCAAAACAACATCTCACGATGGAATAAAGTGCCTGTGAGAAGCCAGCTGCTTCCATCCAGCCAGACATGAGAGAAATCTGCAAAAATGTAACAGCGTGCCGCTCTCCTCAATACAAGTTTTTGTCTTGCCAAGCATAGTTATTTCTCATAAAAATGTTATTTATGTTAAATGTATGGGTTTAATGTTGTTCATTTTAGATTGATTAATAAAGTCTTTCAGTTTTAAATTCTAAGATGATGAGTATTGATAAACGTGACCCACATAAGCAAAATCTCTCTTGAGATCTCAATGATTTCAGGAGTCCCCAGACCAAAAAAGTTTGAGTACCACCATTATAGGGTTCTCCAGTGGCTTGAAGTGCCTCCAGCTCTGCCAGGCCCAAGCTGGCTCTGGCTCTGTGGGATGATGTAATTAATGAGACAGAACCAGACCAGGTGGGACTCACCTCCTCCTCCAGCAATTGGTTTCCTGCGGCCATCATCTCGATCATTTCGATCATCCAGGGCATCAGCCAAGTCAAAATCATTTCCTTCATGGGGTCCCAAAATAAAAGAAATACTCAATTAGTTCATCTATGGGTAGCTCATTTGGATCCTGTCTCAGAGGGAGCCCCATGGGATCCTTGCCTTACTACTCTCCTCAGAGCGGCCACCTTACCTAAAGTATTTGCTGGAGCTCTGGTGGTTACTGGCCTCTTGGTCGTGGTGGTTACATGGTTCCATCTCTCTAAAAGGGGAAGGGAGGACAGCAAAGGGAGCACATTTAGGAACAAAATGCAGCAGCCATTCATGGCTCAGGGAAGTCACATCATGAATATTCTTGTCTTGGTCCTTGAGGCTCCTATAGGACCTCTGCAGAATCACTTTGAGACGGATGACAAAGAGATATAAAAGGCTTAAATGAGGTGGGTTCTGTTCACTTTTCTTCAGGGGATGGGGGTTATGAGGCAGACATAGTCCCACATGTGGCCAGGTAAGTGGCAAAGCTGGGACTTGAGCCCAGATCTGCGGGAGATGACCACATGGACCGAGGAGTTCTAGAGCTTGAGCTCCAAGCCTTGGTTCCACCACTGTCAACCTGGCACTTGAACTATAGCTAATCCTGCCCAGGGATGGACAGATTGAGGATGCATTCCCAGTGGACTGTGGTAGTATCTTATACACGGAAAGTGCTTACAACACACACATATATAATTTTATATAACTGTGGTTACTATTATAAACATCAGGTCTCTGGGCTCAACCAGATTCCTTTCAAATATGGACTTCTTTCACACCAATTACACAGATGGCATTCATGAATTTTCCAAATGATTCTTCTCTTGAACTTCAGAAGACTGTGCTGTAACTGTTCCCACTATTGAAGTTAATAGAGGGAAAAGACAGAGACAGTGCTGTATACAGCAAGCACCTGGGAGAGAAACAGCGATGTATCTGGGGAAAAAACCTAAATGAGTTTTACAGAGCAATAATGTGATATCCAAACTGCCTAGGGACATTTAAAATGTATTGCCTATCATTTTTCGATAGACCTTTGGTGTTGTCTGTGGATCAAAGAAATGTAGGTCTGAATCTTCTGCAAAGAAAATACAAAAACAATACAGTAAGTCAAGTCATAACCCAACAGTTCTCAGATGGAATGAAGAGGGATATTATAAAATGATAAAAGGATCAATCCACCAGGAAGACGTAACAATCCTGAATGTGTGTGCACCTAACAATAGAGTGTCTAGACACATTAAGTAAAACCTGATAGAGCTAAAAGGAGAAATAAGCAAATGCACATTTATAGTTGGGGACTTCAACACTCCACTCTCAGCAATTGGTAGAACTACTAGACAGAAAATCTACAAGGATATTGAAGGAGTGAACAATAATCAACCAATGGGATTTAATTGGCACAACAGGACACACCAGCCAATTACAGCAGAGTAAACAATTGTTTAAGCACTCACAGAATATTCACCTGAGATCATATTCTGAACCAGGAAATAAACTTCAACAAATTTAAAAGTATTGAAATTATGCAGAGAGGTATCATTGATTATACTTAATTCAAATTAGAAACAGAGAAGAAACAACAGAAAACAAGAAAATCTCTAAACATTTGGATATTAAACAACATATTTCTAAATAAAACAAGGGTCAAAGAAAAAGTTTCAAAGGAAATTTTAAAAAATACATAGAACTGTGTGAAAATGAAAACACAACATAGCAAAATATGTGGGATCTAAAGCAGTGCAGAGAGAAGTTTATAGCACTCAATGCATAAGTTAGACATGAAGAAGAGCCTCAAATCAATAATCTAAGTTACTAATTCAAGATGCTAGAAAAAGAAGCTAGCTAGATACTAGAAAAACAAAACCAAAGCAAGCAGATGGAAAAAATAAACACAAGAGCAGAGATCCATGAAACTGAAAATAAGAATGCAATACTAAAAAAAAATCAATAAAACCAAAAGTTTATTTATACAGTAAAAAGGGATAAACCGCTAGCCTTACTAACAAACATAAAAGTTAAAAAAGATGATATGCCAATAAAAGGACTGAAATGGGACACTGTAGATCTTGTAACCATTAAAAGAATAATAATGGAATAATATGAACATTTTTTAGCTCACATATTTGACAACTTGGAAGAAATGGACCAATTTCTCAAAAACCACCAACTATCAAAATACAACCTAATCCTGTGTTCATGGATTAGAAGACACTAAATTGTTAAAATGGCAATGCATACTATCTAAAGCAATCTACAGATTCAATGGAATCCCTACCAAAATCCCAATGACATTTGTTGCAGAAATAGACAAATTCATCCTAAAATTCACATGGAATTTCAAGGAATCTCAAACAGCCAAAACAATCTAGAAAAAGAACATAGAAGAGTCACACTTCCTGATTTTAAAACTTACTACAAAACTACAAATATCACAACACGTGTGGTACTGACATCAAGAACAGACATACAAACCAATGAAATATAATAGGAAGCCCAGAAATAGGCCGGGTGCAGTGGCTCACGCCTGTTATCTCAACACTTTGGGAGGCTGAGGCAGGTGGACTGCTTGAGCCCAGGAGTTCAAGGCCAGCCTGGCAACATTGTGAAATCCCATCTCTACAAAAAATACAAAAAATTAGCCAGGTGTGGTGGCGTGCACCTGTGGTTCCAGCTACTTGAGAGGCTGAGATAGAAAGATTGCTTGAGCCCAGGTGGAGGCTGCAGTGAGCCGTGACCACACCACTGTACTCCAGCATAGGCGACAGAATGAGACCCCGTCAAAAAAAAAGAAGAAGAAGAAGGAGAAGAAGGAGAAGGAGAAGAAGGAGGAGAAGGAGGACAGAACACAGGAAGGGAGGGAGGGAGGGAGGAAAGGAAGGAAGGAAGGGAGGGAGGGAGGGAGGAAAGGAAGGAAGGAAGGAAGGGAGGGAGGGAGGGAGGGAGGGAGGAAAGGAAGGAAGGAAGGAAGGAAGGAAGGAAGGAAGGAAGGGAGGGAGGGAGGGAGGGAGGGTGGGAGAACAAAGGGAGGGAAGAAGGGAAGGAAGGGAAAGGGGAGAAAGGAAAGGAAAAGGGAAAGGAAAGGAGGAAGGAAGGAAGAAAGCAAGCCCAGATATAAACCCTTGCATATACGGTCACTAGATTCTCAACAGTATGTCAAGACCATTCGATCGGGGAAAGGACAGTCTTTTCAACAAATGGTGCTGGGAAAATTGGATAGCCACATGCAAAGGAATGACTTCGGACCCTGACCTATACTACATACAAAAATTAACTCAAAATAGATAGAAGATTCTTAGACATGGTGGCATGAAAAAAAGAAATAGTTCAAAGACCTAAATATAAAAGCTAAAACTATAAAACTCTCAGGAGAAAATATTATGAAAAAGTTTCATGATACTGGATTTGATGATGATTTCCTGGATATGATACAAAAGCACAGGCAACATCAACAACAAAAACAAAATAAATAAATTGATCTTCATCAAAATTTAAAACTTTTTTTGAGACAGGGTCTCACTCTGTCACCCAGGCTGGCTGGAGTGCAGTGGCACAATCATGCCACTCAGTGCAACCTCCGCCTTCCAGACTCAAGTGATCCTCTTATCTTAGCCTTCTGAGTAGCTGGGACTACAGGCGTGCACCACCATGCCCAGCTAATTTTTGCATTTTTTGTACAGACAGGGTTGCCCCATGTTGGCAAAGCTGGTCTCAAACTCCTGGACTTAAGCCATCCACTTGCCTTGGCATCCCAAAGTGCTGGGATTATAGGCATGTGCACCATGCTCAGCCTAAAATTAAAAACTTTTGTGCATCAAAGGACAATATCAAGAGAGTAAAAAGATAACTCACAAGAATGGGAGAAAATATTTACAAATCTTACATCCAATAAGGGATTAATATCCATACTATATAAAGAACTTATACAAGTCAACAACAACAAAAACCCTGATTTTAAGGCTAGGCACAGTGGCTCATGCTTGTAATCCCAGAACTTTGGGAGGCTGAGGCAGGTGGATTACTTGAGTCCAGAAGTTCAAGACCAGCCTGGACAACATGGTGAAACCCTGTCTCTACCAAAAAAAAAAAAACAACAACAAAACACAAAAATTAGACAGGTGTGGTGGCACACCTGTAGTCCCACCTCCTCAGGAGGCTGAAGTAGGAGGACTGCTTGAGCCCGGAGATGGAGGTTGCAGTAAGCTGAGATCATACCACTGCACTCCAGACTGGGTGACAAAGCAAGACCCTGTCTCAAAAAAAAAAAAAGGAAAAAAACCAAAAAAGTGGTTTTAAAATGGGCAAAGGACTTGAATAGACATATCTTCAAAGAAGATATACAAATGACCAATAAGCACATGAAAAGCTGCTCAGTGTCACTAGTCATTAGGGATATGCAAATAAAAACTGCAATGAGATACCAGTTTGCACCCATTGGGATGGCTATTATTAAAAGAAAAATGAAAAATTACAGGTATTGGTGAGGACATGAAGAAATTGGAACCCTGGTATATTGCTGGTGGGAATGTAAAATGGTGCAGCTGCTGTGGAAAACAGTTTGGTACTTCCTCAAAATGTGAAACAGAGTTACCATATGATCCAGCAATTCCACTTCTAGGTCCATACCCATATGAATTGAAAGCAGAGACTCTAACAGAAATCTGTACACCAATGCTCCTAACAGCATTATGCACAACAGCCAAAAGGTGGAAACAACACAAATGGCCATCAACATATAAATGGATAAGCAAAATATGGTATATACATATAATGCAATATTATTCAGGCTTAAAAGAAAGAAACTCTGGTACATGCTGCAACATGGATAAACCTGGAAAACATTACATTAAGTGAAATAAACCAGACACAAAAGAACAAATATTGTGCAATTCTGCTTATAAGAGGTACCTAGAATGGGCAAATTCTTAGAGACAGAAAGTATAGCAGAGGTTACCAGGGGCTAGGAGTAAGGAGAAATGAGGAGTTACTGTTGTAGGGGTATAGGGTTTCTAGCTGGGCTGATGAAAAACTGTTGGAAATGATCATGGTAACAGCTGCATAACATTGTGAATACCGATGATCCTCCATATCCATAGGTTCCACATCCAGAATCATGTGTTTGACCAACCATGGATCAAAATATTCAAAGAACAAAAAACAAAAAATAATACAACTATAAAAATAATATAAATTTTTAAAATACAGTATAATAACTATTTACATAGCATTATATTGTATTAGGTATTATAAGTAATCTGGAAATGATTTAAGCTATATGGGAGGATATGTGTAGGTTACATGCAAATACTATGCCATTTCATATCAGAGAATTGAACATCAAAGGATTTTGGTATTTGCAGGGGGTCCCAGAACCAATGCCCAGCAAATACTAAAGGAGGGACAAATGTCTACTAAGTACCACTGAATAATACAGTTAAAAATGGTTAAAACAGTAGATTTTATATGTATACTTACCACAATAATAAAAAACTCAGCTGGGTGCAGTGGCCCACACCTGTAATCCCAGCACTTTGGGAGGCCGAGGTGGGTGGATCACCTGAGTCAGGAGTTCGAGATCAGCCTGACCAGCATGGAGAAACCCTGTCTCTACTAAAAATATAAAATAAGCCGGGTGTGGTGGTGCATGCCTATAATCCCGGCTACTCGGGAGGCTGAGACAGGAGATTTGCTTGAACCTGGGAGGCGGAGGTTACAGTGAGCCGAGACCACGCCATTGCACTCCAGCTTGGGCAACAAAAGTGAAACTTCGTCTCAAAAAAAAAAACAAAAAAACCCCAAAAAAACAAAACCTCAACCTCCAGGACTTGGTGATTTACCTGGAGAGTTCTACCAAACATTTAAAAAGGAATTATCACCAATTGTATACAATCTCTTCCAGAAAGGAGACAAGAGGAAATACTTCCCCACTCATTTTGTAAGGCCAGTATTACCCTGGTAACAAACACAGATAAAGACCTGTATTAGTTCGTTTTCACACTGATATAAAGATACTGCCTGAGACAGGGTAATTTATAAAGAAAAGAGGTTTAATTGACTTACAGTTCCTCATGGCTGGGGAGGCCTCAAAAAACTTACGATCATAGTGGAAGGCAAAAGGGAGATTGGCATCTTCTTCACTTCACAAGGTGGCAGGAGAGAGAGAGGAGCAAAGCGGGAACTGCCAAACACTTTAAAAATCATCAGCTCTTGTGAGAACTCACTCACTATCGTGAGAACAGCATGGGGAACCATCCCTATGATCCAATCACCTTCCACCAGGTCCCTCCCTAGATGCCTGGGGATTACAATTCGAGATGAGATTTGGATGGGGACACAGAGCCAAACCAGATCAAGACCTTATTAAAGAAAAAAAAAACATATAGACTAATGTCTCTCATCAATTTACATGCCAAATCTTCAACAAAATATTAGCAAACAGAATAGAATGTATAAAGAGAATTAAACAGCATGAAAAATGGAATTTATTCCAGTCAGGCAAGTTGGATCAATACTTGAAAATCAACGTAATCTACCCTGTCAACAGGCCAAAGAAGACAAATCACATATCAATGGACATGAAAAAATCTAACACTCATTTATGGAAAAAAAATACTTTCAGCAAATTAGAAATAAAGGGGAACTATCTCAACTTCATAAAGAACATCTAGAAAACACCTATAGCTATCGTCAGACTTAATGGTGAAAGACTGAATGCTCTTTCTTTAAGGTCTGAAACACCAAGGACATCACTCTTACCACTCTTATTTAATATGGTACTGAAATGTCTAGCATTGCAATATGAAAAAATATATACAGATTGGAAAGGAAGAACTATATATGTTTCTATTTGCAGATGACATGATCATGTACATAGAAAATTCCAAGAAATCTACAAAAAATTTCTAGAATAAGTGAGTTCAGCAAGGTCTCAGGATACAAGTTCAACAATATTGATCACATATCATAGCAGTGAACATATCAAACCCAAAATTAGCCATTCACAATTGCTCCAAAGAAAATATTTAGGATGGGACGGTGGCTCACGCCTATAATGCCAGCACTTTGAGAGGCCAAAGTGGGCAGATCACCTGAGCTCAGGAGTTTGAGACCAGCCTGGGCAACATGGTGAAATCCCATCTTTACTAAAAATACAAAAGTTAGCCAGGTATGGTGGTATGTGCCTGTAGTCCCAGCTACTTGGGAGGCTGAGGTGGGAGAATCTTGCTTGAGTCAGGGAGGTGGAGGCTGCAGTGAGCCAAGATCACACCACTGCACTCCAGTCTGGGCAGCAGAGCGAGACTCAGGCTCAAAAAAAAGAAAAGACAATTTTTTTTTTTTTTTTGAGACAGAGTCTCGCTCTGTCGCCCAGGCTGGAGTGCAGTGGCGTGATCTTGGCTCACTGCAAGCTCTGCCTCCCAGGTTCACGCCATTCTCCTGCCTCAGCCTCCTGAGTCGCTGGGACTACAGGCACCTGCCACCACGCCCAGCTAATTTTTTGTATTTTTAGTAGAGACGGGGTTTCACCGTGTTAGCCAGGATGGTGTCGATCTCCTGACCTCGTGATCTGCCCGCCTTGGCCTCCCAAAGTGCTGGGATTACAGGCGGGAGCCACCGTGCCCAGCCTTTTTTTTTTTTTTTTTTTTTTTTTTTTTTTCTGAGACAGAGTCTCACTTTGTCGCCCAGGCTGGAGTGCAATAGCGAGATCTCAGCTCACTGCAAACTCCACCTCCCGGGTTCAAGCAATTCTCCTGCCTCAGCCTCCTGAGTAACTGGGATTACAGATGCGTGCCACTACACCCCGCTAATTTTTGTATTTTTATTAAAGACAGAGTTTCACCATGTTGGTCAGGCTGGTCTCGAACTCCTGACCTCGTGATCTGCCCGCCTCGGCCTCCCAAAGTGCTGGGATTACGGGCGTGAGCCACCATGCCCGGCTAGAAAAGAAAATATTTAAACATACATTTAAACATGTACCGGATCCTCTATACCAAAATTTACAGTGTTCTCAAGAAAAGACATCAAAGAAGACATAAATCAATTGAGAGACATACCGTATTCATGGATTAGAAGACTCCACAAAGTAAAAATGTCAACTGTCCCAAAATGGATCTATGTTTAATACACATCCTATCATAATCCCAGTAAGTTTTTTTCTAGACTAGGCAAAGACAAACTTAATCTAAAATTATATGAAAAGGCACAGGCCCTAGAAGAACCTTAAAAGAACTTGACAAAGCAGAATAAAGTGGAACAAATCACTCTAACCAATATTAAAGCTGAATTTATAGTTATAGTAATCAGGACTGTGGCAGAGGGACAGACAGACAGATCAATCAAACAGAATGAAGAGCCCAAAAAGACCCCAAATACACTCAAGTGATTCTTGATAAAGGTACAAAAGCAATTTGATAAAGCATAGTCTTTTGAACAAACGGTGCTGGAGTAATTGGGCATCAATAGGTAAAAACAATGAATCTCAACCTAATCCTCACACCTTATTAAAAATGAGCTCAAAATGGATGATCATCTTTACTTAAATATAAAGTTATGAAACTTCAAAAGAAAACATAAAAAAAATCTTTGGGACTGAGAGCTTGGTAAAGAGTTCACACAATTGACAACAAAGCCACGTTTCATAAAAAGAAAAATTGATACATCCACCTTGTGAAAATTAAAACATTTCCTCTGTAAAAGACCTGTTTAAGAAGATGAAAATATTCCATTTTCAACAATGGACAAGTCATCCAGACAGAAAAATCAATAAGGAAACAGCGGGCCAGGACAACACTCTAGACCAAATGGACCTAACAGACATACACAAAACATTCTATCCAACAGCAGCAGAATTCACATTCTTTTCAAGCACACATGGAACATTCTCCAGGATAGGTCACATGTTAGGTCACAGAAAAGGTCTTAATAAATTTAACAAGATTGAAATCATATCAAGTGTCTTTTCCACCCACAATGGTACAAAACTAGAAGTTTGAACAGAGAATTGGAAAATTCACAAATGTGTGGAAATTGAACAACATTCTCCTGAACAACCAACGGGTCAAAGAAGAAATCAAAAGGGAAATCAAAAAAATTTTTGAGACAAATAAAAATAGAAACACAACATACCAAAACTTATGAGATGCAGCAAAAGCAGTCCTGAGAGAGAACTTTATAGCAATAAATGCCAACCTAAACAAAAAACAAAGATCTCTCCAGGCACGGTGGCTCATGCCTATAATCCCAGCACTTTGGGAGACCATGGTGGGCAGATCACGAGGTCAGGAGTTCGAGAACAGCCTGGCCAAGAGACCAGCCTGGCCAACATGGTGAAACCCCATCTCTAGTAGAAACAGATGAAATAAGTAACAGAAGAACAATAAAGTCTATAAAAACAAAAGATGGTTTTTGAAAAGATCAACAAAATTGACAAACCTTTAGCAAGATTGACAAAGAAAAAGAGAGAGGACTCATTACTGAAATGAGAAATGAAAGAGAGGATATCACTAATGACTTAATAGAAATAAAAAAGGATTTTAAGGGAATATCATTGACAAAAGTATGCCAATAAATTGGGCAGCCTAGATGAAATGGACAAACTCCTGGAAAGATATAAACTACTGAAGCTGACCCAAGAAGAAATAGAAAATCTGGCCAGGCGTGGTGGCTCATGCCTGTAATCCCAGCACTTTGGGAGGCCGAGGCAGGAGGATCACCTGAGCACATGAGTTCGATACCAGCCTAGGCAACATGGTGAGACCCTGTCTCTATTAAATTAAATAAAACAAAATAAAAATAAAACTAAAACTCTACTAAAAATACAAAAATTAGCCAAGTGTGGTGGCAGATGCCTGTAATCCCAGGAGGCGGAGGTTGCAGTGACCTGAGATGGCGCCATTGCACTCCAGCCTGGGCAACAGAGCGAGACTCCGACTCAAAACAAACAAACAAACAAACAAACACAAAGATCTCAAATAAACAACCCAGCTTTACAACTCAAAGAAAATTAGAAAAAAAACCAAAACTGAACTCATAGAAGCATAGAGCAGAATACTGGTGGCCAGGGGCTGGGGTGGGGAGTAGGGAGATGCTAGTCAAAGGGTGCAAAGTTTCAGTTAGACAGGAGGAATAAGTTCTGGAGATTTATTATAGAGCAGGGTGACTATAGTTAATAATAATATATTATATACTCAAAAATTGCCAAGAGAGTAGATCTTGAATGTTCTCACCACAAAAATATGTTGGTAATGTCTTAACAAACTAAACCTATAACAACCACACAACCCAGCACTCACACAACTTAGCATTTATCCCACAGAAATGAAGAGTCATATTCACATAAGAACGTGTATGTAAGTGCTTATAATAGTCAAAAACTGGGAGCAACCCAGATGACCTCCAAAAAGCGAATGGTTAAACAAACTATGGTACGTCCACACCATGAAATACTGTTCAGTGAGGAAAAGCAACAAATTATTGATATATACGGTGACTCGGAAGGATCTCAAGGGAATTATGTTGAGTGAGAAAAGCCAGTCCCAAAACAGTATATACTCTGTGATTCCATTTTTGAAATTGCCAAATGCTACAGATGGAGAACAAATTAATGGTTGTCAGGGGTTAGAGACAGGCAAGGAGTGGGTGGCAAGAGGGAGTGTCTGTGTTTATAAAAGGGCAACAAGAGGGATCTTTGTGGTGATGAAATAGTTCTGTCTAGACTGTCATGGTAGATACACATACCCACACAAGTGATAAAACTGCATAGAAGTAAACACACACACACACTCAGTAGAAGTAAAACTGAGGAAATCTGAATAAGATCACCAGACTATATCAATGTCAATATCTTGGTTGTGATCTTATACTATAGTTTTGCAGGATGTTACCACTGGGGGAAACTGGGTATGGGGTGCATAGGATCTCTCTGTATTATTTCTTACAACTTCATGTGAATTTACAATTACCTCAAAATTAAAAGTCAAATTACCACGATTTGAGCATCAAGGTAATTTCGTGTTTTTTGAGACTGGGTTTCACTCTGTCACCCAGGCTGCAGTGCAGTGGCACGATCATAGCTCACCACAGTGTAGAACTCCCAGGCTCAAGTGATTCTCCCACCTCAGCCTGCTGAGCAGCTGGGACTACAGGCATGCACCACTACGCCCAGCTAATTTTTTCATCTTCTGTAGAGACGGGGTCTTGCTAAGTTGTCCAGGCTTATCAAGGTAATTTCTGATGCAAAAAAAGGTCTGACATGCAAATGGCTGGTCTGCAGAGACTCAGGAATATCTATTAATTGACACTAAAAATAAAACAACAAATCATGTAGACCTGACTTCGGAAAAATGGCAGTAGAAGGCCGGGCGTGAAGGCTCAAGCCTGTAATCCCAGCACTTTGGGAGGCCGAGGTGGGCAGATCACCTGATGTCAGGAGTTCAAGACCAGCCTGGCCAACATGGTGAAAACCCGTCTCTACTAAAAACACAAAAATTAGCCGGGCGTGGTGGTGGGAGCCTGTAATCCCAGCTACTTGGGAGGCTGAGGCAGGAGAATCGCTTGAACCCTGGAGGCAGAGGTTGCTATGAGCTGAGACCATGCCATTGCACTCCAGCCTGGGCAACAAGAGCAAAACTGCACCTCAAAAAAAAAAATGACACCGGATAAGAACATCTAGGAATGAGATGGTATACACAGGCAACTTTCCAGAGAACTAAAGCTTGTTCCTTCCTATGGCCAATGGTTTGTGTAACACTGATAACCTTCCAGATAGCAAATCTTTACAGAGCAATAGTAAATCTTTACAGAGCAAATAATACAGTTCTGTCACTTTGACATGAGTATACAGAATACCACCTTTCTTGGGGCCCTGAAGTTACAACTTTTCTGTTATTGCACTGTGCTTACCTCTTAAAGAGAAGTCCCTTTTTCAGCTTTCTAGATTTTTTAATCTAATCTTCCATTCAGTAGGAGAGCTGCCAAGCAGACCAGCAGGCACTATATATCAAAGCTTGTACTTTTGATTTTGAGGTATTCCAACAACTCTTTGGGGCAGGTTGACCTGTTCATGAATAGAGGATTTTCCAGGGTTTCTTTGGCCAAAGCACACCAATTGACCCTAAACTCGTCTTTTGGGTCATCAGTACCTTCTCTATGCAGACACTTCTCATGGCAACATGTTGTAGAAGAAAAGGCCCCCAAGGTAAAGCCAGGATCCCTGCACTTCAGGCCAGTTGTGCTGCTGGCTTGCAGCGCGACCTTGGACAAGTCCCTCTCATCCAAACAATGAGGGGAAAGGCCTCTCTAGTTCTCCAGTTCTAATCTAGAGTTCTTCCTCATTAGTAAAGATCACTTTAATTTTTAAGGTTTATTATAAAGGTAATACTTGCTCAATATAAAAAATACCCAGTGGTGTAGATTATAAGAAAAAAAGGCAGCCTCAAATCTATCCCAAGAGGGGGCTGCTCTGTACCTTTTCAGATCTGCCTGCAGGCCTGTGTGTGTGTGCTCACATCCACTTATATTTGATAGAAATTGATTCATACTACATACATCCTGTTCTGTGACTTGCCTTTTTCATGTCAGTTCCAGAGCTCTACCTTATTTTTTGCAATGGCTTCAGAGTATGAATGGTTTAGAATCTGTATATTTCACTAGTGGGATTTAAGGGTGTTTAATTTTTGGCTGGTACAAAACACAAGAAATCACAAACATCATTTAAAATGTACCACTGCACACATGCATACGTATACCTACAGGGAAAATGCTTTGAAGTAGAACTGCTCATTCAAATATTTTACTAAACTGCCCTCTCAAAAGGCTGCATTAATTTATATTACTTTCTACAGAAGTAAAACTGAAAAGGTGTAGCTTCATACAACAAAAGACATCTAAAGCAACCTTCCTGCCTGCTGTAGCACCACAATACATGATTGCTGTACACTGATATCGAAAACATCACTGACCTGAATGAAAACATACTGATGCCACATGGCTGTGTAAGGTCATCTCCACAAATGGTTGTTCTCAAAGAGTGTTTCAAGGACCCCTGGGCTCCATAGATTATGAAAAACTATTTTCATAATCATGCTTTTATGGGGTTGGCACTTGCACTGTGGTGCAAAACCAACAATGAGTAAACCTGCTGGCCCTTAGCATGAACCGAGGCAGTGGCACCAAATGGTACTAGGAGTCATCAGATTCTTCACCACTATACAATGGCAGTTGAAAGAGAATGCCAGTCTTACTTAAGCATGTCCTAGATAAACATGGTAGACAGAATTCTAAGATGGCTGGCAAAATTCCCACCCCCAAGGTATACACCCTGCATAATCCTCACTCATGAGCATGGGAGGGACCCATGAATAGGCTGGATATAACTGCTGTGATCAGATTATGACATAGCAGAGGTAAATGGATTTTGCAGATGCACTTAAGATGTCTTTGACGGGACTCTGAATTACTCAAAAGGGAGATTATTCTGGGTGATTCTAACATAACCAGGTACAGCCTTGAAAAGAGGGGTTTTACGCCTTCCCTGAGAAGACACTACAGGCAGCAGAAATTTTTGTACACTTGCCAATAGTAAAGAAGGAAGCAGCCGCGAGTTCCGTGATTATCCTGAATTATCTGGGTGGGGCCAGCAAAATCATAAGAGTCCTTATAAGGGAAAGGAAGAGCAGGAGAGTCAGAGAAGGAGATATGATGATGGAAGCAAAGGTAAGAGTCAGAGAGAGATTTGAAGCAAAGGTAAGAGTCAGAGAGAGATCTGAAGATGCCACACTGCTGACTTTGAAGATGAAGGAAGTAACCACAAGCCAAGAAATGCAGGTGGCCTCTATAAGCAGGAAAAGGCAAGGAAATAAATTCTCCCCTAGAGTCTCCAAAAGGAATGGAGCCTGGCTAGCACCTTGATTTTAGCCCAGGAAGACCCAATTTTGGATTTCTGACCTCAATGATTATAAAATAACAAGTTTATGTTGTTTAAGCAATCAAGTTCATGGTAACTCATTACAAAAGCAATATGAAGTAATATAATATCAAACTTCAGACAAGACCCCTAGCCCCAGATGACATCTGAATTGCAACCTTGTATAAGACACTGAGCAGAGGACCCAGCTACGTAGGACCCATACTCCTGACCCAGGGAAATTATAAGAGTGAATGAATACTACTTTAACTTGCTAATTTTATGGTAACATGTTATAAAGCAATACAAAATAAATATCAAAAAGCAGAAAAATAATTTTATTAGAGCTCAACCATGAGACTGGTGGTGATATTAGCAAACATGAGTTTTGAGTATTGGATAAGGAAAAGTGTCATCATTCAGAAACAACACAACTCACTCAGGGCATCAGTATTTTCCAAACAACCTGTACAGGATGTTACAAAATGGTGAATGGACAAAAGATCCATTCATAAGATAAAATAGTCCAATGGGGTTCAATAGTAATGAATGGGGAAAGGTCACTGATGTTACTTAACCTTAAACAATAACTTGCCAATTTTGATGTCTAAATGTGCATTTGAACATTAATAAAAACAAGAGAAAGTGGGAGTGGTTATATTAATATCAGATAAATGAGATGTCATAGCTAGGAAAATATTTTAGACAAAAAGTAACACAACACAATGATAAAAGAATCAATCCACTAGGAAGACATAATGATCCTAAATTTGGATGTATCAAAAAACAGAGACTCAAAATATATGAAACAAAAGTTGATAGAGCTAAAGGGAGAAACAAATCCATAATTATCGTTGGGGAAATTCCATACCCTATTGCCATCATTAATTGGATTAGTGGACAAAAAATTCACCAAAGATGTACAACTGACCAATACAATAACTATCGAAATCGAAGTGACATATAGAGAACATTCCACCCAACAACAGCAGAATTTGCATTCCGCTCAAAGGCACTGGGAACATTCTCCTGGATAGACCTTCTGATATGCCACAAAACAAGCCTTAATAGATTTAAAAGAATTAAAAGCAAAGAAAGTGTGCTCTCCAATCATAATTGGAAATCAATGACAGAAATAAATTAGGGAAATTCACAAATATGTGGAAACTAAACAACACACACCAAAATAACCAATAGGTCAAATAAGAAATCAGAAGGGAAATTTTAACTTTGAGAAGAATGTAAACAAAAACACAATCCACAAAAACTTATGAGATACAGCAACAGCCATGTTTAGAAGCAAATTTACTACTGTAAAGGCCTATAGTAAAAAAGGAGAAAGATTTGTAATCAGTAGCCTAACCTTTCACCTCAGAAACCAGAAAATGGAAACCAAACACAGAGCAAGCAGAGTGAAGGAAGAAAAAAAGATGAGAATAGAAGAAAAATATATGAAAGTAGAAAAAAATGAAATAAATAACAGAAGAACAATAAAGTCTATAAAAGCAAAAGATGGTTTTTGAAAAGATCAACAAAATTGGCAAACCTTTAGCAAGACTGACAAAGAAAAGGAGAGAAGACTCATTACTGAAATGAGAAATGAAAGAGAGGATATCACTAATGACTTAATAGAAATAAAAAGGATTTTAAGGGAATATCATTGACAAAAGTATGCCAATAAATTGGGCAGCCTAGATGAAATGGACAAACTCCTAGAAAGATACAAACTATTGAAGCTGACTCAAGAAGAAATAGAAAATCTGGCCAGGCGTGGTGGCTCATGCCTGTAATCCCAGCACTTTGGGAGGCTGAGGCAGGAGGATCACCTGAGCGCAGGAGTTGGATACCAGCCTAGGCAACATGGTGAGACCCTGTCTCTATTAAATTAAACAAAATAAAAATAAAAATGAAACTCACCAATAAAAACACAATAACCCAATTTAAAATGGACAAAGGATTTGAATAGACATTTCTCCAAAAAACATAAACAATATTCAATAAAGCACATGAAAAGATATTTGATTTCATTAGCATTAGGGAAATGCACATCAAAACCACAATAAGACAATAAGACACAACTTCACGCCCACGAAGATGACTGCAATAAAAGAGACTTAAGACTCTACTTTCAGGGATCATTTCTGTAGTTTGTTATTAGAGAAGATTCTCTGAAGGTGTAGAGCATCAAAAATAAAATAAAATTTTAAAAAGGAAATAGAAAATCTGAATAGACCTATAATAGATAGAATTAATAATACAAAAAACTTCCCCAAAAGAAAAGCCCAGAGTCAAATGCCTTCACTGATAAATTCTATAAAATATTTAAATAATTAACAGCAATTCTTCAGTAACTCTTCCAGAAAATAAGAGGAGACAACACTACCTAAATAATCCAATGAAATCAGTAGTGCACTGATATGAAAACCAGACAAAGACATCACAAGAAAAACTACAAACCTATTTCTGTTAGTAATATAGATGCAAAAATCCTCAACAAAATATAAGGATACCAAGTGCAACAAAAACAGTTATATTCCAAATGATTTTTTTAAGGCTCAAAAACAATTCAACGGGCAGATAGTCTTTTTAACAAATGGTCCTAGAACAATTAGACATTCACAGGCAAGCAAGCGAAGTTTCAGGAAAAAAAACATAGGAGAAAATCTATAAAACCTAGGTATAGGCAAAGAGTTCTTAGACTTGGCATCAAAAGCATGATCCAGGCCAAGTGCAGTGGCTCATGCCTGTAATCCTAGCACTTTGGGAGGCTAAGGTGGGTAGATGGCTTGAGCCCAGAGTTCAAGACCAGCCTAGGCAACATAGTGAGACCCTATCTCTGCAAAAAATACAAAAATTAGCCAAGTGTGGTGGTGTGCAACTATAGTCCCAGCTACTTGGGAAGCTGAGGTGGGAGGATCACTTGAGCCCGGGAGGTCAAGGCTGCAGTGAACCACGATCATGCCACTGCACTGCAGCCTGGGCAACAGAGTGAGACCCTGTCTTGGACACACACAAAAAAAAGTATGATCAATAAAAGGAAAAATTGACAAACTGAACATCATCAAAATCTAAAACTTCTGCAAAGGACTCTGTTAAGAGGATAAAAAGACAAGCTACAGAATGGAAGAAAATATTTGCAAACCATATATCTGACTAAGGACAAATGTCTACAATATTTAAGGAACTCTCAAACTCAATAGTAAGAAAAACAAAAAATCTAATTAGAAAATGGACCAAAAACATGAACAGACATTCCACTGAAAAGGATATACAGATGGCAAACAAATACATGAAAAGGTGTTCAATATCATTAGCCAGAGAAATGCAAACTAAACCACAATAAGATATTACCACACACTTATAAAATGGCTAAAATGGAAATAGTGATAGCACCAAATACTGGTGAAGATACAGAGAAAATGGCACTGACACAATGAATTAGGGATTGCAAAATATTACAGTCTTCATGGAAAACTGATCATTTCTTACAAAACTAAACATGTAACTACCATGTGATCCAGTCACTGCACTCTTGGGCATTTATTCATAAAGAAAGAAAAATTTATGTTCACACAAAAATACTATACATGACAGTTTACAGCAGCCTTGTTCATAATAGCCAAAAACTGGGGTCAATACATCAAGTAAACAAACTGTGGTACATCCATCCCATGGAATACTCCTTGGCAATAAGAATGAATGAGCAATTAATACACCCAACAATATGAATGGATGCCAACTGAATTATACATGAAAAAGGCCAATTCCAAAGGGTTATCTACTTTATAATTACATTTACATAACATTTTTGAAATACAACTTTTTTTTTTGCCTCCCCCCAAAACTGAATGCCATGAAATGACAACATTTTACAAATGGAAAACAGATCAGTGGTTGCCAGGGGTTAGGAAAGGGATGGGGAAGGGGAAATAGAACTGTAGGAAGGTGGGTGTGGTTATAAAATGTAATCATGGGATACTTATGGTGACGGAACTGTTTGTATCTGACTGTGATGATAGATACACAAACCTACACACGTGATAAAATTGCAGAGAAGACACACACACATGTGAGTGTAAACAAAACTAGGAAATTTGAATAAATGCATAGATTATATCTATGTCAATATATGGCTATGATAGTAGAGTACAATTTTCAAGATGTTGCTATTAGGGGAAACTGGGTGAAGGGTACAAGGGGTCCTTCTCTATTATTTCTTACAACTACACACGAATCTATGATTATCTAAAAATGAAAGTTTAAATTTTAAAAAGTAGGTAAACAGAAAGTTGAGAATCAAGGGTCATTTTGTCAAAAAAGTTTTGACACTTAAATGGCTGAACTTCAGCAGCGCAGGGAAACCTAGAAAATAAGTGAACATGGTTTTAAGCTACTAAGTTTATGATAGCATGTTCAGCAGCACTGGAAAACTAACATGAGGAAGTTAAAAATGTTTTAATTGTATGAGAGCACGACCTTTTAATATTTTCTAACAAAACAGGAAGTACATTTCAAGCATTTATGTGGCACATGGAAATACAAAAGTTGACATAAAAAAACTGCTTTATGTGATTATTTCCATTCTGAGCAGTATGAGCCATTCCTCTCAAAGAAGATTTTTTCCTTGAAAAAGTGAATTGAAGAGTAATTAATCAATATTTAAAGATTTTTTAAAACCAACTATGGTTTTGCCAACTTTAATATCTGTTAGATGTTTTCTTGAAAATGAATGAGCCTGTCAATTTAAAGAAACCCACTCATGGTATTTGTTGCCAATGATAAGATTTCAAGGAAAAGTTAGAACTTCAAAAACATCTTTTTCTACCACTGTGAGTTTAACAGTTTCCCCAATGCATATTTTTTTCAAATGAGATGGGTGATGATATGAACAAATATGACTTTCAGTTTTACACAATGACACATGGCATTACTTGGAAGCTCGAAAAACCTCAAGGCACTAATATTTTCCAAATGACCAACATGCAATGTTACAAAACCATGAATGGGTAAAAGATCCATTGAAAGGACAAGACAGTCCCACGGAACCAAGTGTGCAAAGTTCACTGACAGAGTTTCACACTCCACACTACGCTTAACCTGTAAGAAACAACCGCTTTTGTTGGGGCCAAGTTTTGGTGTCCTATCCGAGAAGATTATCCACAAGGATCTGAAAAGTCTGTGAAAATATTCCTCCCTTTCCCCACTGCCTATGGGTGTGAGGCCAGATTTCCTTCATATACTTCAACCAAAACAACATCTCACGATGGAATAAAGTGCCTGTGAGAAGCCAGCTGCTTCCATCCAGCCAGACATGAGAGAAATCTGCAAAAATGTAACAGCGTGCCGCTCTCCTCAATATAAGTTTTTGTCTTACCAAGCATAGTTATTTCTCATAAAAATGTTATTTATGTTAAATGTATGGGTTTAGTGTTGTTCATTTTAGATTAATAAAGTCTTTCAGTTTTAAATTCTAAGATGATGAGCATTGGTAAACGTGACCCACATAAACAAAAATCTCTTGAGATCTCAATGATTTGGGGAGTCCTGAGACAAAAAAGGTTTGAGAACTACTGTTACAGGGTTCTCCAGTGGCTTGAAGTGCCTCCACCTCTGCCAAGCCCAGACTGACTCTGGCTCTGTGGGATGTTGATGTTGTAATTAATGAGACAGAATCCTGTAGTAGTTTCAACCAGCAAAGACTTACCTCTTCCTCCTATACCCGGTTTCCTGCGGCCATCATCTTGATCATCCAAAGCATCAGCCAAGTCCAATCCACTACCTTCAGTGGGCCCCAAAACATAAAGGAAACAGCCAACTGATTAACAACTGGGTATAAGATTCCAAAATAAGCAAAATGCCCATGGGTTCAACTGATCAATACCAACAATGGGTTAAGACAAAGAGACTTATATTGGAATCCAATTCTGTGTACAGACATTGATAATGAAAATATCTGCAGGATAGAAAAAGTTACTACTTTCTGACTTTGCAGTATACCACCAGTTTTTCAATTAATTTATATTCCTAGGTATTTTCTGCTTAGGCTAGCAGTCGGACCATTTTAACAGTATACTCACTGACTGTAGGTATTAACCCAAAATTCAAAACCAGGTACACAGAGTCCATAAAGAGGACAACCAAAAGGGAGAGGTCATGTGGTCATGAAGCACCCCTTTGAATGTGGAAATGTGAAGAAATGAGGGCAAATCATAAAGCAGCAGTGACTTTCTTGCATCATCAGTGTCTCTTCGGAAGAAAGGTAGCTCTCTACCGCACAGAACGTATTATCATGCCCCCGACTACTGGTAACAAGTTGCTGGATGGGAGCAATGACTGGGATCCCAGCCACACCGTCACATTTTTCTTTACATCAGTGAAGATGTCTAAATCGTAAAGTGGCCCATCTGAAGAAAGGGTCAAGTGACAACAGGAAAGAGTTGTTAAGAAGAACCAAGTCCCAAAATCCTTTACTGAAAGATGACACTGTAAAATAAATGCCATTCCAAAATGTTCCATCTGCCTAAAGAAAATGCTTGATCGGCTTCATAAAACCTAAACAATTACATTTTCCCTGATTTTAGAAAATGAAACGGCTAAAAAGGGGAAGAAGTCCAAATGCATTTTCCTCTTGAAATTTTCCCAGGCAGGACTTTTCATAAAACACACAGAAGGCATAGTGATCAGCCAGGTATGCACTCTATTATAAAGTTAAACTCAGTGTTCACATGGATGCCTTGATTGTTTCTGCACACATGGGGCTTAAAACTGTAGGTAGTTCACTTGCATGCTACCCCAGAGGGAACTCCAGAGGGCCCTTCCTCACTGCCCTCCTTAAGGCAGCCACATTACCTGGAGGTTTTGCCGGAGCTCTGGTGGTTCCTGGCCTATTGGTTGTGGTGGTGGTGGTGTGGTCCCATGGCTCTAAAAGGGAGAGGGAGGACAGCAAGGGGAGCACGTTTAGTAACAAAACACAGCAGCTACTTTATGACTTGGGGAAGTCACATTGTGAGTAGAATATCCTTGTCTTGGTCCTTGAGGCCCCTCTAGCTAGGAGCTCCAGAGAATCACACTGAAAAGGATGACAAAATGATATAGGTTTAAATGAGAAGAGTTCTGCTCACTTTTCTTTGGAGGCTGAGGGTGGTGAGGTGGACATGGTCTCACATGTGACCTGGTGATTAGTGAACCTGGGCTTGCACCCAGATCTGCTGGAGATGGCACGTGGTCCAGGGAGTTCCACAGCCTGAGCATGATCCTTGAGGGCTCCAAGCCTTGGTTCCACAACTATCAACCTGGCACTTTAAACATAGATAATCCTGCTCAGGGATAGACTGAGGTTACATTCCTAGTGGAATATGGGAGTATTTCATAAACTGAAAGTGGTTACAAGACATGCACACAATATTTTATATAAGTGTAGAACACTTTTACACCATTGGTGGGACTGTAAACTAGTTCAACCCTTGTGGAAGTCAGTGTGGCGATTCCTCAGGGATCTAGAACTAGAAATACCATTTGACCCAGCCATCCCATTACTGGGTATATACCCAAAGGACTATAAATCATGCTGCTATAAAGACACATGCACACGTATGTTTATTGCGGCACTATTCACAATAGCAAAGACTTGGAACCAACCCAAATGTCCAACAATGATAGACTGGAATAAGAAAATGTGGCACATATACACCATGGAATACTATACAGCCATAGAAAAGGGTGAGTTCATGTCCTCTGTAGGGACATGGATGAAATTGGAAACCATCATCCTCAGTAAACTATCGCAAGAACAAAAAACCAAACACCGCATATTCTCACTCATAGGTGGGAATTGAACAATGAGAACACATGGACACAGGAAGGGGAACATCACACTCTGGGGACTGTTGTGGGGTGGGGGGAGGGGGGAGGGATAGCTTTAGGAGATATACCTAATGCTAAATGACGAGTTAATGGGTGCAGCACACCAGCATGGCACATGTATACATATGTAACTAACCTGCACATTGTGCACATGTACCCTAAAACTTAAAGTATAATAATAATAAAATAAAAATAAATAAATAAATAAATAAATAAATAAAAATAAAAGTGGTGACCCCAAGAGGCTTGCAGCACACTTCTGGGTCCCTTAAGTTGTATTATATAAGTAATTTAATAAAGACAATGAGCTAATTGACGATTTAAAAAAAATTATCCACATAAAGTTAACATATTAAGATCCTCAAAAGCAAATAACAATTAGCAAATAAAAAAAAATAAGTGTGGTTACTACTGGAAATATTAGGTCTTTTGAGCTCAACCACATTCCTTAAAAATTGTAGATAACTTTCACAAGAATTATACAATGTGCATGAAGTTTTTCCAATAGTTTCTTTTCATAAACATCAAGACTATGTTGCACATATTCTCACTATTGAAAATATCAGAGAAAAAGATTTAAGGAATGGGAAAGGCAAAGGTGAAACAGGTTTAGCTTTGAATACAGCGAGTACCCAATAATTATTGACTATTCAGAAAACAAACAGCAAAAATAGAAATAAGTTGAGGTCAGGTGTAGTGTCATGTGCCTGTAGTCCTAGCTACTTGGGAATATCAGGGAGGAGAATTGCTTAAGCCCATAAGTTTGAGGCTATAATGCACTATGATCATGCCTGTGAATAGCCACTGCACTCCAGCCTGGGCAACAAAGCAAGACCCCATCTCTAAAAAACATAAGTTGAAAGTAAAAGAATGGAAGAAGATATACTATGCAAACAACAACCATAAGAGAGCTGGAGCAGCTATACTAATATCAGATAAGATTTACATTATAACAAAAATTGTTAATGGAGTCAAAGAGTGACAATTTATAATTATTTATAATGATGAAAGGATCAATCCAAGAGGAAGACATAATAATTTTAAATATATATGCACCTAACAACACAGCCCCAAAATACATGAAGCAAAAAATTGCAAAATTGAAGAGAACAGATGATTTAACAAAAATAGTTGGAAATTTCAATATCTTCTTTTCAATCACAGAAGAAACAAGTAGGCAGATATATATATATATATATATATGACTTGAACAACTTTATAAACCAACTAGACCTAACAGACACCTATAGAACATACCACCCAATAGCAAAATACACATTCTACTCAAGTGCATGTGAAACATTCTTCAAGGTAGACCATATGTAGGTTACAAAATAAATCTCAATAAACTTAAAAAGACTGAAGCCATACAAATTATGCTCTTCAGCACAAACAAATTATGTTCTTCAGCACAACAGAATGAAAGTAGAGATCAGTTTCAGAAGGGTATTTGGAAAATTCACAATTATACGGAATTAAAGAGCACACTCCTAAACAACCAATAGGTCAAAAAAAACCACAAGGGAAATTATGAAATACTTTGAGATCAATGAAAATGAAAACACAACATACCAAAACTTATGTGTTACACTGAAAGCAGTGCTTAGAGGGAAATTTATAGCTGTAAATGCCTACATTAAAAAAAGAGAAAGATCTCAAATCGATAACCTAAACTTTCACTTTAATAAACTAGAAAAAGAAGGCTTTGCAGACACTGCCATCGTCAACCCCGGTCCAGTCCACTGTGTTCTTTGACACCGTCGCTGTCTAAGGTGAGTCCTTGGGCCAGGTCTCCTTCAAACTGTTTGCAGACAAGTTCCAAAGACAGCAGGAAACTTTTATGCTCTGAGCACTGGAGAGAAAGGATTTGGTTATAAGGGTTCTTACTTTCCTAGAATTATTCCAGGGTTTATGTGCTAGGGTGGGGACTTCACATGCCATAATAGTAATGGTGGCAAATCTAACTACCAGGAGAAACTTGATGATGAGAACTTCAACCTGAAGCATACAAGTCCTGGCATCTTGCCCACAGCAAATGGTAGACCGAATACAAATGGTTCCCAGTTTTTCATCTCCACTGCCAAGACTGAGTGGTTGAATGGCAGGTATGTGGTCTTTGGCAAGGTCAAAGAGGCCATGAATGCCACAGAAGCCATGGAGCACTTTGGGTCCAGGAATGGCAAGACCAGCAAGAAGATCACCATTGCCAAATATGGACAACTCTAATAAATTTGACCTGTTTTATCTTAACCACCAGACTATTTCCTCTGTAGCTCAAGAGAGCACCCCTCAATTCCATTTGCTCTCAATATCCTATAATCTTTGTGCACTCACTGAAGCTCTTTGGGTTCCATATTTTCCTTATTCCCTTCCATGTCTAGCTGGATTGCAGAGTTAAGTTCATTATTATAAAATAAAACCTACATAACAATTTTAAAGAGTAACTAGAAAAAGAAGAGCAAACTAAACCTAAAGCAGGCAGAGGAAGAAAACACCAAAGATTATAGCGGAAATAAAATGAAAGAGAGAAGAGAAAAATAAAGAACAAAAGAGGAAAGATCTCTTAAGATCAACAAAATTGATAAACTGTAGAAGACTTACCAAGATAAAGAGAGAGAAGACCCAAATCGCTAATTTCAGGAATGAGAGGACATTACTACCAACCTTAGAGAAATAAAAAATTATAAAGGAATATCTTGAACAATTATAATCCAAATAAATTCAATAACCTAGATGAAACAGATAACTTCCTATTAAAACACAACTACCTAAACTGACTTGAGAAGAAATAGAAAATCTGACTAGACTTATAGCAAGAGATTGAGTCAGTAACCAAAAACTTCCCACAAATAAAATTCTGGAACCAGAAGTCTTAATTGCTGAATTCTACCAAACATTTAAAAAAGAACCAACACCAATTAATCTCAAACTCTTCAAATAAGTAAATAAACAAACAAACCAAGAGAAGAGAACACTTCCTAACTCATTCTATCAGGCCAGTAGTATGTTAATACCGAAGTCAGACAAATACACATAAAAACTACAGAATACAGTTATGAATATAGGGGCAAAAATCCTCTTATGAATGTAGAGGCAAAAATCCTCAATAAAATACTAGCAAACCAAATCCAGCACCATATTAGGACTGACCATGACCAAGAGGGGTTTATCTCAGGAATGTAAGAGTAGTTCAACACAGTAAAATCAATCAATGTACTATCCCATATTAATAGAATGGAAGGAGAAAAAAAAAAAAAAGATTACCTCCATAGATGCAGAAAAGGCATTTAACGAAAGTCAACCACCATTTCATGATAAAAACACTCAATGAATTAGGAATAGAAGAGAATTTCCCATTTTGTTCTGCTTACTTCATCAGAGTCTACTCTCTATGTGCTTTTTAATGATAATTAGGCTTACTCTATTGGATTTTTAAAAGCATTTAGATGGTTTATTTTGGCCTCATCTGTTAACTTCCTAGAAATAAAAGAGAATTTCCTCAACCTGATAAAGGGCATCTGTGAAAAATCTGCAATTGACAGCATACTTACAGGTGAAAGACTAAAAGCTTTTTTCCTAGAATCAGCAACAAGACAAGGATGTCCACTCTTACCACTCTTATTCAACATTGTAATGGAAGTTCTAACTAGAGCAATTAGTCAAGAAAAAGAAAGAAACTCTTTGAGATTAGAAAGGAAGAAGTTCAACTATCTCTATTCACAGATGCTATGATTTTATATATAGAAAACCCTAAAGAATCCACATCAATAAAAAAAACTATTAAAACTAATGAGTTCAGCAAAGTTGCAAGATATAAGATCAACATGAAAATCAGCTGTATTTCTATACACTAGCAATGATCAATACAAGGAGCAAAAGAAGAAAATAATTTCATTTATAATAGCAATAAAAAGAATAAAACTGTTAGAAATAAATTTAACCAAGGAAGTATAAAGACATGTACACTAAAAGTTACAACACACTGTTAAAAAATTAAAGACCTAAATTAATGGAATGAAATCCTACGTCCATAGATTACAAGACTCAATACTGTTAAAATGGCAATATTTCCCAAATTAATCTGCAGATCCTGTGCAATCCCCATCAAAATACCAACTGCCTTTTGTGCAGAAATGGACAAGCTAATCCTAATATCCACATGGAATTGCATGGGACCCTAAATAGCCAAATCGATCTTTAAAAAAAGAGCAAAATAGCAGTCACACCTCTCAATTTCAAAACTTACTACAAAGCTACAGTAACCAAAATAGTGTGGAACTAGCTTAAGAATACACATATAGATCAATGTTATAGGATTGAGAGTCTAGAAGTAAACCTTCATATTTATGGTCAATTGATTTTCAACAGGATGCCAACACCATTCAATGGAGAAAGGACAGTCTTCTCAACAAATGGTGCTCAGACAGCTGGATAACCATATGTTAACAAAACTGGACCACTACTTCTCACCATATACAAAAATTAACTCAAATGGACCAAACATCTAAATATATGAACTAAAACCACTCTTAGAAGAAAACATATGGGTAAATCCTCATGACCTTTGATTTGGCAATGGATACTTAGCAATGACATGCAAAGCATGGGCAACAAAAGAAAAAACACATAAATTACACATTAATCAAAATTTAAAATTTTTGTGCATCTAAGGACATTATCAAGAAAGTGAAAAGACAATCTACAAAATAGGAGAAAATTTGCAAATCATACATATGATAAATGTATAAAGAGATCATTAGTCATTAGTCTTTAGGGAAACGCAAATGAAAACCACAGTGAGGTCCCACCTCACAGACACTAGGATGGCTTTCATTTAAAAAAAATAAATAAACAAGTTGGCAAGGATGCAGATAAATTGGAACCCTCATACATTACTGATGGGAATGTAAAATGCTTCAGCCACTGTGGAAAACAATTTGGCAATTCCTCAAAAAGTTAAACAGAATGACCATAGTAACCAGAAATTCTACTCCTAGGTATATATCGAAAAGAATTTAAAACAGGTATTCAAATAAGTACGTGTATATAGCATGTTCATAGTAACATTATTCATAAGCTAAGAGGTGGAAACAACCAAATGTCCATCAACTGATGAGTGGATAAACAAAATTGTGGTATGTCTACACAATGGAGTATTACTTAGCCATAAAAAGGAATGAAGTACTTATACATGCTACAACATGGAAGTGCCTCCAAAACATTATGCTACACAAAAGAAGCCAGGCACAAAAGGCTACATGCTGTCCAGTTCCATTTATATAAAATATCCAGGATAAATTCACAGATACAGAAAGTAGGTTGGTGGTTATTTGGGGTTGGGAGGATAAAAGAATAGAGAGAAACTGCTTGATAGGTAAGGGATTTTTGCTGTGAAGTGATGGAAATGTTTTGGAACTGGATAAAGGAGGTGGTTGTACAACATTAAGAATATCCTAAAATGCCACTTAATTGCTCACTTTTAAATGAAGGGTAAAAGATACAAAGTAGCAGATATGTAAGATGAACAAGTCTAGTGATCTAATGTAAAACATGAGGACTATAGCTAATAACATTGTACTGTATTCGGAATTTTTGCTAAATGAAATATTGCTCTTCTTGTCCAACAAAAAAAATGGGTAATTATGTGAAATGATGGATATATTAACTTGCTTCACTAGAGTAACTATTTACCAAGTTGTATATGTGTCTCATAATATCATGTTATATACCTCAAATATACACAATAAATTTTAAAAATAAAATGGTTAATTTTACATTGTATGATTTTACCTCAATAAATTATTTTTTTAAAGAAGGATGTCTGATATGGTTTGGCTGTGTTCTCTCCCAAATCTCATCTTGAATTGTAGTTCTCATAATCCCCACGTGTCATGGGAGGGACCCAGTGGGAGGTAATTGAATCATGGGGGAGGTTACCCTCATGCTGTTCTTGTGATAGTGAGTTCTCACAAGATTGGATGGTTTTATAAGGAGCTTTTCTCCCCCTTCACTCTGCACTTCTTCTTGCTGCTTCCATATGAAGGACATGTTTGCTTCTCCTTCGACCATGATTGTAAGTTTCCTGAGGCCTCCACAGCCATGCTGAACTATGAGTCAATTAACTCTCTCCTTTATAAATTACCCAGTTTCAGGTATGTCTTTATTAGCAGCATGAGAATGGACTAACACAATGTCTTAGTCTTTTTTCTGCTGCTTATAACAGAATACCTGAAACTGGGTTGGTTGGTTGGTTATTTATTTAGTTATGTATTTATTTATTGTTGAGGCGGAATCTCACTCTGTCGCTCAGGCTGGAGTGCAGTGGTGCAATCTTGGCTCACTGCAACCTCTGTCTCCCAGGTTCAAGTGATTCTCCTGCCTCAGCCTCCCAAGTAGCTGGGATTACAGACATGTGCCACCACGCCCAGCTAATTTTTGTATTTTTAGTAGAGACGGGGTTTCACCATGTTGGCCAGGCTGGTCTCAAACTCCTGACCCCAAGTGATCCACCTGCCTCACCCTCCCCAAGTGCTGGAATTACAGGTGTGAGCCACCACGCCCAGCTGAAACTGGGTAATTTATAAAAAAGAGGAATTTATTTCTTACAGTCATAGAGGATGAGAAGTCCAAGGTTGAGGTGCTGCATTTTGTGAGTGAGGGCCTTCTTGCAGGTGGGGACTCTCTGCAGAGCCTCAAGGTGGCACAGGACATCAAATGCCAAGTGGGGCTGGTTGCTAGCTCAGGTCTCTCTTTCCCTTCTTATAAAGCCACTAGTCCCACTCCCATGATAACCTACTAATCCATTCACCTATTAATCCATGAATGGGTTAATTCATTCATGAGGGCAGAACCCTCATGACCCAATCACCTCTTACTCAGGAGGCTGAGGTGGGAGGACCACTTGAGCCTAGGAGTTCAAGTCTAGCCTAGGCAACATAGCGAGACCCTGTCTCATTTGTAGAAAAAAAAGAAGAAGAAGAAGAAGAGGAGGAGGAGGAAGAGGAAGAGGAGGAGGAGGAGGAGGAAGAAGAAGAGGAGGAGGAAGAGGAGGAGGAAGAGGAAGAAGAAGAAAGAAGAAGGAAGAAGGAAGAAGGAAGAAGGAAGGAGGAGGAGGAGGAGGAGAAGAAGGAAGGAGGAGGAGGAGGAGGAGGAGGAGAAGGAGGAGGAGGAAGAAGAAGAGGAGGAGGAAGAGGAGGAGGAAGAGGAAGAAGAAGAAAGAAGAAGGAGGAGGAGGAGGAAGAAGGAAGGAGGAGGAGGAGGAGGAGAAAGGAAGAAGAAGAAGAAGAGGAGGAGGAGGAGGAGGAGGAGAAGAAGAAGAAGAAAGAAGGAAGAAGGAAGAAGGAAGAAGAAGAAGAAGAAGAAAGAAGAAGAAGAAGAAGAAAGAAGAAGAAAAGAAGAAGAAAAGAGAAGAAGAAGAAAGAAGAAAGAAGAAGAAGAAAGAAGAAAGAAGAAGAAGAAAGAAGAAAGAAGAAGAAGAAAGAAGAAGAAGAAGGAAGGAAGAAGAAAGAAGAAGAAAGAAGGAAGAAGGAAGAAGAAGAAAGAAGGAGGAGGAGGAGGAGGAGAAGGAGGAGAAGAAGAAGGAGGAGAAGAAGAAGGAGAAGAAGGAGGAGAAGAAGGAGGAGAAGAAGAAGAAGAAGAAGAAGAAGAGGAAGAGGAAGAAGAAGAAGAGGAAGAGGAAGAGGAAGAGGAAGAAGAAGAAGAAGAAGAAGAAACCTTGCCTGTCAATACTGCCACATTGGGAATTAAATTTCAACATGAATTTTGGAGGGGAAAAACTTCCAAACCATAGCAAGGGGGTTGTTGCAGTTAGCTGTTTTAGTAAAAACTGTATTTGGAAGTTGAGAATATGGGAAGTCTTTCCCTTAAAATGATAATGTTTGCACACTACTCCTTAGGAAGATTTTGGGTACCCTAACTCATACCTCACTGTGAAGACCACACACCCCAGTGAATGGATATTTATGGTAAGAGAACCACATGTGATAACCTGTAGTCATTATGCATGCGTATCTATGTATATATTTAATCTATCTCATCATCAGTTTAGAGATAATTTTGTCTCTAATTTCCATTTGACTTTGTACCAGTAAAATGCAAGAGTATAACTTGTCTAAATGAGTTTGTTTATGTATAATTATATTATGATATAGATAGGTAAAAAAGAGAAATTACTGAAACCATTATTTGAGCAAGTTCCAGAAAAGCAATTGCCACTTATGTAAATATTAGCTTAAAATTTGCATGACTCAAACAACTCTTGTGTAAAAGTATTTGTTTATCTGTCTTAAAGAAAATTAACTGACCATAAATATAAAGGTTTATTTTCAGACTCTCAATTCTATTCCATTGACCTATGCGATGCCAGTACCACACAGTCTTAATTACGGTACCACATAGTTCCACACAGTCTTGATTACTTGTGCAGTTCTGCCCTGCAATTCCAGTTCTGGAAACGTCTCGTTTCTCTGAAGATCTGCAGGTGCCATTCAAGAGACAGCAGTCCCTACATGCATGTGGAATCAGTTGTTGTGTCAGAGCCCAAGCTTGTATTGATGTAGAACAAGAGCTTCAATTTATGCACATTTTTAGAAACTATTAACTACAGATTTTTGTGTTGTAAGTCTTTAAATGGGATTTCTTATTCGTAATTGAGATGAGAAGAGTCTACTTATCAAGGACTAAGAATAGTAGGTCAACTTCATCAAAACACTTAGCTCCTAAAATAAAGAGACCCATTTCTGTGAAGCCTTTCTCAAAATGACAAACTCAGAAAAAATTCTTAGCTGCTCAGCAAATGCTTCCAGCAATATGGCACTCTGACCAGGAGTGATTCTCTGTAATATCGTGCTGTACCGAAACAGTAAAAACAGGGTGGGTTCCCCCAGGTGTGGCTTAATAATGGTAACTGCTTGGTCTGAATGTATATGTCCCCCGCACCCAGCCCCAAATTCATGTTGAAACTTAACCCCCATACTGATGGTATTCAAAGGTGAGGACTTTGGGGAGGTGATTAGGTCACAAAGGGCACCGTTCTCACAAATGGGATTAGTGCCCTGATAAAAGAGGCTTGAGGCAGCCCTTTTGCCCCTTCTGCCATGTGAGAACACAGCTAGAAGGCACCATTTATGAAGCACAGAGCAGCCCTCACCAGACACTGAATATGCCAGCACCTTGATCTTGGACTTCCCAGCCTCCAGAGCTGTGAGCAATATATTTCTGTTATTTATAAAGTATCTAGTCAAAGGCATTTTGTTATGGCAGCACAAATGGACTAATACAGGGCCCATGGTATTCCCAGGGAATGGGGACATTCATAAGAAGCTTTATTTGGCAGAATCAGAAGTGTGTTCCCCCATGAGATGATTACACACACAGAGAGAAAGGAAGAGATGGTGAGAGTGGTGGAGGACTCTGAAAGCAACATGGATGAGCCTTGAAAACATTACACTAAGTGAAAGCAGCCAAACATAAAGTCCACATATTGAATGATTCCATTGATATGAAATATTCAGAATAGGGAAGTCCATGGAGACAGAAAGAGATTAGTGGTTGCTTGGGGGTGAGGGGTGGAAACAAGAAGAATTGGGGGATTGGGAAGTGATAGGTAAAGGATACAATGTTTCTTTTTGAAGTAATAAAAGTGTTCTAAAACAGACTGTAGTGATGGTTGTGCAACCTTGTGAATATACTAGTAAGATCCTGTGTGATCTGTCCCCTGACAACTTCTCTGTCTTTTCTCCAACATTCTCCAAACTCCAGCCACACAGGCTGCCTTCCGGGCCACAGAGTAAGCCTGGCTCTTCTCTGCCTCAGAACTCTTACAGCTGATCTCTTGGCCTCGAAGTCTCCTTCCTCACTTCCTTGCACATTACCTCTCCTCAGAGATGCCTTCACCACTTAATTTTAAAGTAGCTGCCCCTAATCTTGGGCGCTTGCTATCCCATCACCCCCTTGAATTTGGTTGAGAGTACTCAGCAATATCTGAAAATATTTTAGGTACTGTATGTCTCCTTCCAGAGAAAACAATTCATAAGGGCAGTGACCTCTTCCACATTGTTAGGCCTAGCACCTAGCAGCAAGCCGGCACTCAAAAAACATTGGTGAATAAATAAATAAAGGTCATTTACGATACAATCTCTGGCCTAGGTGGTTCAGGGGTTTTTAAAACAAGCAGAGGAATGCACAACGTGCAGAGAAGAACATTCTCTGCAAGATAAGTATCTGGACCAAGGTGAGGTGGAGAGGCCTATCTCTTTGAAACCTCAGTTACGAGAAACATAAGCTAAGATAGAAAAAAGGGTGGCAGCATGATGTGGTCTTGTGGGCTGTCATTCAAACACATACATCACATACAGGTGGTTCTAGGGGTTCCCAGAGACACTGGCTGATGGGTGCTGATGAGGAAGATCAGATGGGTCAGCACAAGACTCAAAAAGGGATTTTATATATTAAAAAGTCCCTGTCGATTGGAGGTATGATATGCTGAGATTTTAAAAGTTCCCATCAAGAAGTTGACAAATTTATTGAAAGTCTATTTATATTTATCAAGTTTGTTTTGGTCCTGTTTGTTTTGGAGATGTTAAATGATTTCATTAAAACCATCATTGCTAATAAATTAAGTGTATTTATTTTCCTGGGGATCTAAGAGGACACCTGCATGCAGAGGACAGCATGAATATCCAGGAAAGACCTGAGAATGCCCAAACCGCTCACCTCACACTGTACACAAAAATTAACTTCTAAGAGACTTATACTTCCAGGTTTATGATCAATTTGGAGTTAATTTTTGTGTATGGTGTGAGGTAACGGTCCAACTTCATTCTTTTGCATGTAGATATCCTATGGTCCTAAGCACTGTTTGTTGAAGATTGACTGTTCTTTTCACTTTGAATAGGTCTTGGCGTCTTTGTCAAAAATCAACTGACCATAGATCTAAGGGTTTATTTCTAGACTCTCAGTTCTATTCCATTGATCTCTAGCCAGTAGCCCACTATCTTGATTATTGTAGGTCTATAGTCAGTGCTACAATTGATAAGTTCTCCATCATTTTCTTGTTTTTCAAGATTGTTTGGCTATTCTGAGTCCTTTGAATTTCCATATGAATTTTAAGGTCAGCTTATCCACTTCTGCAAAAAATCCATCTGGGATTTTGTCAGGAATTGTGTTGAGTTTGTCACCCGATTTAGGTCTGCTTGACTCTTACACCACAGGCCCAGCCACAGTCAGTCCTTCCAATCAAGTCAGTCAAAGAACAACAGTAAGGCTAATGCTTACTGAGCACTCACCTTGTTCCAAGGACTGTGCTGAGTGCTTCACATGGCTCCTCCCATGTCATCCTTACAGTGATCCTAGGAGGTAGGGCTTCTTATTATCTTCATGTAAGAGATAAGGAAACTGAGGTGCAGACAAGTCAGGTGACTTACCCAAGGTGACAGTTCAGAAGTGGCAGAGGTAGAGTTTAGACCCAAGAAGTCTGACTCCAAAGCCCTTGACTTTCTCAACTCAATATATAATACAAAGAGATCTTAATAAACCCATTTTTAAAAGGCAAGCAATCTGGCAGAAAAATGGGGGAAGAATGTGAACAATTTACCAAAGAGGCAAATGCAAATGGCCAGTAAATATATGATGCTCCATTTGACTACAATCAGGGGAATGCATAATAAGCAATGAGATATTATTTTGTCCATCATATTGGTAAAATATTTTTATTGATAAAATTCAGTGTTGGCGTGGGTCTGGGAAAACAGGTACTATTATAACAACATCAGTGACAGTGCATAATGGCAAATCCACTTTGGAAAACAATTTGGCAGCGTTTTTTATAATATAAAAAACACATATCTTTGGTCCTAGCAGTCACAATGCACTTAGGCACAAAGGACATGGACAAGAATGTCCACTGTAGCCCTATTTGTAATTGCATAAAAAGGAAATAAACCACGTGTCTGCCAGTAAGGAAATGGCAATACAGGTCATGGCCAAATCCACACTACTGGAACGCTGGCTCCACAAGGCACAGGTTTATGTGTGATTTGTCCATGGCTGTAGCCCCAAAGCCTAAAACAGTAACTGATACACAGCTGGCACTCAGACATTTACTGAATGCATACTATGGCATACCGTGCAGTGCTTAAAACGAATAAGGGATGTGTGTATATATATATGCGCACATATATGTATGTGTATATATATTATATATCTATAAATATATATTTCCTTATTTGGAAAAAGGATCTCTGCAGATGTAATTAAGTGAAAGATCTCAAGATGAGATCATCCTGGATTATCCAGGTGGGCCTTAAACCCACTAACAAGCATCTTTGTAAGAGAAAGGAGAGAGACACAGAAAGGGGAACACCACGTGACAACAGAGGCAGAGATTGGAGTGATGCAACCACAAACCAAGGAACACCTAGAGCCACCAGAAGTGGGGAAAGTCAAGGAAAGATTCTTCCCTAGAGCCTTCAGAGAGAATGTGGCCCAACCAACACCTTGATATAGAACTTCTAGCATCCAGAACAGTGACAGAATAAAGTTCTGTTGTTTTAAGCCATCTAGTTTGTGGTACATTCCTAAGGCAGCTGGAAAAAACCAACATAGACATGTTCTCTAAGGATTTCAATACACATTAAATGAAAGAGCCTCACACCTGTTAACATTAAAAAAACAAAAAAAAAGACCAAACAATTTCTATCTGTAGATGCACCTAACAGCATTGAAAACTAATTGGGATCAACATGCCCCAAACTGACTACAGTAGTTCTCATGTCAGTTAGAAGGGAGAAGGGTCAAGGGAAACCTTGGCTTTACTTTATAAGTAGTTATCATTTTTTAAAAGAATGGTTTAAGGAGGCCAGGCGTGGTGGCTCACACCTGTAATCCCAGCACTTTGGGAGGCTGAGGCGGGCGGATTGCCTGAGCTCAGGAGTTTGAGACCAGCCTGGGCAACACGGTGAAATCCCCTCTACTAACATACAAAAAACTAGCTGGGCGTGGCGGTACGCACCTGTAGTCCCAGCTACTTGGGAGGCTGAGGCAGGAGAATTGCTTGAACCTAGGAGGGGGAGGTTGCAGTGAGCTGAGATTGCGCCACTACACTCCAGCCTGGGTGACAGAGCGAGACTCTGTCTCCAAAATAAATAAATAAACAAATAAATAAAGTTAAAAAATGAAAAAAAAAAGGAAAATTGATAACAAAGCTTAGCATTTGAGAAACTACACAGACTCCATTTTAAGAAAAGCCATGACTAGGTGTGGTGGCTAATGCTCATAATCTCAGTATTTTGGGAGGGCAAAATGGGAGAATCACTTAAGGCCACGAGTTCAAGACCAGCTTGGACAAAACAGTGAGATTCTGTCTCCACAAAAAAATTTAAAAATTAGCCAGGTGTGGTAGCACACACCTATAGTTCCAGCTACTTGGAAGGCTGGGATGGAAGGATCACTTGAGCCTAGGAGTTTATGGCTACAGTAAAGCTAAGATGGTGCGTGCCACTGTACTCCAGCTTGGGCAATAGAGTAAGATCCTGTGTCAAGAAAAAAAAAAAGCCATTATAAAATCAATCTAAAAGGAGAAACAAATCTTTTATTCACTTCAAAGTGCCTTTTTTTCTGAGTTAAGGAAGACAGCCCTTGGAGGCCACTGCTGATATGTCACACCAGTAGGGGCTATGACTTGAGCTACAGAAACTGATATATCAGTTATCACACATTGTTAGGTATTCTTAACAAAGGATTTAAATATTCAAATTTTATTTTAAATAATACAACCATTTCTTTTCTTTTCTTTTCTTTTCTTTTTTGAGACGGAGATCTTGCTTCATCACCCAGGCTGGAGTGCAATGGTGTGATCTTGGCTCACTGCAACCTCCACCCCCCGGGTTCAAGCAATTCTCCTGCCTCAGCCTCCCGAGTAGCTGGTATTATAGGCATGCAATACCACACCCGGCTAATTTTTGTATTTTTAGTAGAGACAGGGTTTCACCATGTTGGCCAGGCTGGTCTCGAACTTCTGACCTCAAGTGATCCTCCCACCTTGGCCTCCCAAATTGCTGGGATTACAGGCGTGAGCTACCGTGTCCGGGCACTATCCATATTTCATCTGATCAAGTAAAATATATCATTTTTCTTGCGCATATATTCTGAGTGGATGATACACATTAATCACTACTGTTTGTTTTTAATAGTTTATTTGATTTACTACTCACGCTTTACTGAGGAAGTTTCTTTCACTGCATCCTCCAGGTTAAAATCATCAAAGTCCCCAGATCCTAAAAATTAAAAAAAAAAATTAAACTATCTTTGCATAAAACAAAGTAATAATGAAATATCCTCTAGAAATGGTCATTTCCCTTTAGAAAGTGAAGGAATAACAAAAGGTATTCCATGCAAATAGAAACCCAAAGTGAGTGGTGGTAGCTATACTTACATCAGACAAAATAGAGGCCAGTATTGTTAGCAAACTACTATAGGAACAGAAAATCAAGTACCACATATTCTCACTTATAAGTGGGACTAAATGATGAGAACACATGAACACATAGAGGGGAACAACACACACTGGGGCCTATTGGAGAGTGGAGGGTGGGAGGAGGGAGAGGGTCAGGAAAAATAACCAATGGGTGCTAGGCTTATTACCTAGGTGAGGAAGTAATCTGTACAACAAACCCCCATGATACAAGTTTACCTTTATAACAAACCTGCACATGTATCCCTGAACTGAACATAAAAGTAAAAAAAAGAAAAATAGACTTTTAAAGTCAAAAACTGTAAAAAGAGACAAAGAAGGTCATTATATGCTAAAGGGGTCAATTCATTAAGAAAGTATAACAATTGTAAATATATGCACACCCAACATTGAAGCACCTAAATATATAGAGCAAATATTAATAAATCTAAAGAGAGAGAGAGACTGCAATGCAATAATAGTAGAACACTTCAATACCTTACTTTCAACATTGAACAGATCATCTAGACAGAAAATCAATAAGGAAATATTGGACTTGAACTACACTTTAGACCAAATGAACCTAACAGATATTTACAGAACATTCCAACCAACAGCAACAAAATACACACTCTTCTCAAGTGCACACGAAACATTCTCCAGGATAGATCATATGTTAGGCCACAAAACAAGTCTTTACAAATTTAAGAAGACTGAAATCATATCAAGTATCTTTTCTGACCAAAATAGCCAGAAACTAGAAATAAACAACAGAAGAAATCTTGGAACACTCACAAATATGTGGAAATTAAACAATCAACAGGTCAAAGAAGAAATTAAAAGGAAAATTTAAAAATATCTTGAGACGGCCAGGTGCAGTGGCTCACGCCTGTTATCCTAGCACTGTGGGAGGCCAGGCCAAGGTGGGTAGATCACTTGAGGTCAGGAGTTTGGTACCAGCCTGGCCAACATGGTGAAACTCTGTCTCTATCAAAAACTACAAAAATTAGCTGGGTGTGGTGGTGCATGCCTGTAATCCCAGCTATTCATCTCAATAGATGCAGAAAAAATCATTTGATTCATTCAATAGTGAAGAGTTAAAAGCTTTTCCTTTAAGATCAGGAACAAGACAACAATGCCCACTCTCACTACTCCTATTCAACAGAATAAGTTATATCCAGAGCAGTTAGGCAAGAACAAGAAATAAAAGGCCTCTCTGTAGGAAAGGAAGAAGGTAAATTGTCTCTCTTTGCAAATGACATGATCTTATGTGTAGAAAAGCCTAAAGACTCCACCAGGGCCGGGCGTGGTGGCTCACGCCTGTAATCCCAGCACTTTGGGAGGCCGAGGCGGGCAGATCACGAGGGCAGGAGATCGAGACCATCCTGGCTAACACGGTGAAAACCCGTCTCTACTAAAAATACAAAAACAAAAAATTAGCTGGGCATGGTGGCGGGTGCCTGTAGTTCCAGCTGCTCAGGAGGCTAAGGCAGGAGAATGGCATGAACCCAGGAGGCAGTGCTTGCAGTAAGCCGAGATCGCGCCACTGCACTCCAGCCTGGGCGACAGAGCGAGACTCTGTCTCAAAAAAAAAAAAAAAAGACTCCACCAGAAAACTATGAGAACTGATAAACAAATTTAGTAAAGTAGCAGGTTACAAAATCAACATACAAAAATCAATAGCATTTCTATATTTGAACAATGAACTGTCTGAAAAAAAGAAACAATCCCATTTATAATAACATCAAAAAAGAAAATACTGAGTAGCAAACTTAACCAAGGAGGTAAAAGACCCGTACCTCCTAACCTGTACCTTGAAAACCATAAAACAATGATGAAAAATGAAAAACACAAATGAAAATATATCCCATGTTCATGTATTAGAAGAATATTGTTAAAATGTCTATACTGACCAAAGTGATCTACAGATACGATGTAATTTTTATCAAAATTCCAATGTCATTTTTCACAGAAATGGAAAAAAATCCTAAAATTTGTATGGAACCAGAAATGACCCCCAATAGCCAAAGCAATCTTGAGCAAAATGCACAAAGCTGGAGGCATCACACTTCTTGATTTCAAAATATATTATAAAGCTATTGTAATCAAAACAGCATGGTACTGGCATAAAAACAGACACATGAACTAATGGAACAGGATAGAAAGCACCAAAATAAACTCAAATATTTACAGTTAATTGATCTCCAACAAGGACAGTCTCTTCAGTAAATGATGTAGAGAAACTGGATATGCACATGTGGAAGAATGAAACTGGACCCCTATCTCATACCATATACAAAAATTAACTCAAAATGAATAAAAGACTTAAATGCAAGACCTGAAACTGCAAAGCTACTAGAAAAAAACACAGGGAAAAAGTTGCACAACGTTAGTCTGGGCAACCATTTCCTAGATAAGACTCCAAAAGCACAGGCAACAAAAGTGAAAGTAGACAAATGAGACTGAATAAAACTAAAAAGTTTCTGCACAGCAAAGGAAACAGAGTAAAAAGACAACCCATGGATTAGGAGAAAATATTTGCAAACCATACATCTGAAAAGGGGTTAATATCCAAAATATATAAGGAACTCAACTCAATAGCAAGAAAACAAATAACCCAGTTAAAAATGGGCAAAGGCAAAGGAGCTTCTCAAAAGAAGAGATATGAATGGTCAACGGGTATATGAAAAAATGCTCAATATCTCTAATCATCAGGGAAACACAAATTAAAACCAAAATGTGGGCTGGGCACAGTGGCTCATGCTTGTAATCCCAGCACTTTGGGAGGCCAAGGCAGGCAGTTCACGAGGTCAAGAGATTGAGACCATCCTGGCCAACATGGTGAAACCCCGTCTCTACTAAAAATACAAAAATTAGCTGGGCGCGGTAGCATGTGCCTGTAGTCCCAGCTACTCGGGAGGCTGAGGCAGGAGAATCTCTCGAACCAGAGATGCAGAGGTTGCAGTGAGCTGAGATCGCGCCACTGCACTCCAGCCTGGTGATAGAGCAAGACACCATCTCCAAACAAAACAAAACAAAAACAAAAACAAACAAAAATGTGATGTCATCTTACATCTGTTAGAATGGCTATTATGAAGAAGACAAATGATATTTGTTGGTGAGGATATGGAGAAAAGGGAACACTTGCACAAGTTGTTAGGAATGTAAATTAGTATAGCCATTTTGGAGAATGGTATGGAGGTTCCTCAAAAAAACAAAAAATGAAATTATCATATAATTCAGAAATCAGTCCCAGTTCTGTGTGTGTATTAATATCCAAAGGAATTGAAATCACGATTTTAAAGAGATATCTGTACTCCCATGTTCATTTTGGTTTTACTTACACTATCAAAGGTATGGAAGCAACCTAAGTGTCCATTAACAAATGAATGGATAAAGAAAATGTGGTACATATATAAATGGAGTACTATACATCCTTTAAAAAGAAGGAAATTCTGTCACTCATGACAATGTGGATGGAACTGAAGGACATTATGCTAAGTGAAATAAGCCATGCACAGAAATACAAATATTGTATGATCTCACTTAGATGTGGAATCTAAAAAAGTTGATCTGACAGAAATAGTAGAAAGGTAGCTAACCAGAGGCTGAGGGGAGGGAGAAGTATGGGGAAAGGGAAAGTGTTGATTAAAGAACACAAAGTTTCAGTTAGACAGGAGGAATTAAGTTTTAGCAACCTATTGCACTGCATGGTGACCACAATTAATAATAATGTATTGTATATTTTAAAATTGCTAATAGACTTTTACAATTCTCACTACAACAAAATAAGTTTGTGAGATAATGGATATGTTAATTAGCTTGAATGAATCTTACTACACACATTGTACCCTATAAATACATACAAAGATTATTTGTCAATTAAAAATAAATGTTAAAAATTATTTTTATTAGCCCGGCATGGTGGTGCACGCCTGTAGTCCCAATTACTTGGAAGGCTGAGGAAGGAGGATCGCTGGAGGCTAGGAGTTTGAGGTTACAGTGAGTGTGTATTGCTCTCTAGCATGGGCGACAGAGTGAGGCCCTGTCTGTAAAAAGCAACGATAACAAAACAAAGATTTTAAAATTTAACTGTCTTTGTATGAAACAAAATAATACTGAAATTCTCTCCTGAAATGGTCATGGCCCTTTAGACAGTGTCATGAATGTAACTCCACAAAAGGGAAATCTGTCAAAGCCACTCAAAGATATACTGAGCTGATAGCCTTCCTCAAACAACCTATCTATCCCCACCAAAAATAAAAATTAAAAAATAAAAACAAAACAAAACCCCAAGCTTCAGTCCACTAGAATGTTGAAGGCTCAGGTGTTTCGAACATGAAGTACTATCTCACAGAAAACCTTCTCCATAGAGAAGTAAGAGGGGTCATTGGAGCCCACAGCTCCACTGATGAGGGGCCAAGTTCTTCCACCCCACCCCAGGTCTCACAAAGGCTACTCTATACTTTGTCAATCCAGGGTACCTTCTCTCCGATCCCCAGTACCCCACCTAGACTAGAGGCTCTGGCTAATCACACATAACTGAAAAAGCTCTGGGGAAAAGTTTTTCACAATAGAATTTGTCCTCACAAGTGGACCCATCTGCCCAACCTAGCGTCCTACTGAACTTGATAGCTACTGTTTCCTCTAGATGGGCACGTAGTTTGTCATAAGGGTGTATAGCTTATCAGTTCTCAAGCAAACCATTATGCATGCATACTGGAATTGACCTAAGTAAATGGATAGGGGATGGTGGGAGCCAGGTTTCTCACTATCAGAGAGAGAGGTTACAGATAAGAGGGGCAGGCTAAAATGACCCATACAAAAATGGATTAGAGTAGGAGACTTTAAGCTAAGTATGAAATCATATTTAGCTTAATTTTTTTTTTCCGAGATGGAGTTTCGCTCTTGTTGCCGAGGCTGGAGTGCAATAGCGCAATCTCAGCTCACCAGGTTCAAGCGATTTTCCTGCCTCAGCCCCCCAAGTAGCTGGGATTACAGGCGTCTGCCACCACGCCCAGCTAATTTTGTATTTTTGGTAGAGATGGGGTTTTTCCATGTTGGTCAGGCTGGTCTCGAACTCCCAACCTCAGGTGATCTGCCCGCCTCAGCCTCCCGAAGTGCTGGGATTACAGGTGTGAGCCACTGCACCCGGCCTAGCTTAATATTAACATAGTCATGTGTTGCTTAGCAACAGGGATACGTTCTGAGATGTGTTTGTTACACTTTTACCATTTTGTTATGCAAACATCATAGGGTGTCCTTACACAAATCTAGATGGTGTAGCCTACTACACACCTAGGCTGTATGGTAGAGCCTATTTCTCCTAGCCTACAAACCTGTACAGCATGTGACTGTACTGAATACTGTAGGCAACTATAACACCATGGTATTTGTGTATCTAAACACAGAAAAGGCACAGTAAAAATAAAGTATTATAATCTTATGAGCCCAACATTGTATATGTGGCCTGTCAACCAAAATATCACCATGTGGCACGTGACTATAAACAGATAGCTATATACAGAAATATTTATAGCCATGAGTATATATATGGGTTAGTATAAAGACATATATTCCCTTGCTCTGTCAACTGGACGGGGCTGGAAGCAACAACACTCCGTAGCAATGAGCACATCTAGCACCCAGGTCTTCGTCTCTAATCCTACTCTCCAAAAAGGGAACCAGGGGTCCTTGGCTGATTTGACTGGGACAGAAAATATGTAAGATGAGCTTGAATCTTGAAGCATCTTGAGGTGCCAGAAAGTAAGAAAGTATTATTATTTTTTTTTTTTTTGAGACGGAGCTTTGTTCTTGTCAGCCAGGCTAGAGTGCAATGGCACAATCTTGGCTCACTGCAACCTCCGCCACCCAGATTCAAGCAATTCTCCTGTCTCAGCCTCCTGAGTAGCTGGGATTACAGGCACCCGCCACCACACTTGGCTAATTTTTGTATTTTTAGTAGAGACAGGGTTTCACTATGTTGGCCAGGCTGGTCTCGAACTCCTGACCTCTAGTGCCGCCCACCTTGGCCTCCCAAAGTGCTGGGATTACAGGCGTGAGCCACTGCACCCGGCCTGGAAGTATTTTTAAAAATCACATCAATTGGTATCTGTCAAAGGGGCACAGGAACCAACTGAAAGAGCTCCCAGTGGCTATGGCTGGAATAAATTTTTAAAGACTTTTTTCAGGACGGATATTAGCTGGAACAATTTGAAGAACAAAATAAAGTAGTATTGGGTTATAACCCCAAGTATAACATAAGTATCTACGAGTCCATGCTGAATGAATAAGTGATTACATAAATAAACAAAAGAGAGAGAATAGACAAATCTCTCATACAGAATAATTCAAATTCATTTCTGTAGCTATCTGTCTCTCATGGAGGTGAAGCACAATTCACCACTCCCTACGTATTAGCCACACATAGTAACTTCCTTCCCAAGATTACAGTATGATAAAGGGGAAATAGAAAAACTTTACTCTTTACAGAGGAGAAACCTGACAAACACTACCTGAGCCGGGTGACCAAGGTCAACATGTACAATGATGAGTCCTGTTGACAGTATGTTCCCTTGATATAATGTGACAGGATGTGATGTGCATGGCACTTTGCCTCTGTGGTCTTTCTTTCAAAACCCCGTAACTCCAGTCTAATCATGACAAAAACATCAAATAACTCCTGACTGGGGGGTGCTGTACAAAATAGCTGACCAATCTTCAAAATCACCAAGGTCATTAAAACCAGAGTTTGAGAAACCGGCATAGCCTGAGAAGCTTAAGAAGACGTAAGGACTGACAGTCACATGGATTAGATTGGATCCTGGATTGGATTCTGGAACAGAAGAGGGCTTTACATAAAAACTGAGGAAATCTGAATAAAGTATAGACTTTAGTTAATAATAGTATATCTATATTGGTTCATTAACTGTGACAAATGCATCATGCTAATATAAAATGTTAATAGGGAAAACTGGATATGAAGCATATGGGAACTCTGTCCTAGCTTTGCAATTTTTCTGTATATCTAACTGTTCAAAAATAAAACTTATTTTAAAAAATCAATTTCTTATAGCAAAACCAATTAGGGGCAACTGCTAAATGAAGAGATCCAGGATATATAACCTCAAAACCCATTTAAGGGGAAAAAATAAAAGGACAATAGCAACAACCAAAACTCAGTCAACCCAACAAAAGTCACCAGAGGTTAAAAAAAAAAAAAAAAAGAACTATGATAAATAGAAAACAAACTTTTTGGGTTTTTTTGTAGAGATGGGGTCTCACTATGTTGCCTAGGCTGGTCTCCAACTCCTAGTCTCAAGCAATCCTCCGGCCTTGGCCTTCCAAAGTGTTGGGACTACAGGCATGAGCCACCATGCCCAGCGGAAAACATGAACTTTAACATAGGAATACGTATAATCATATCAGTAAAAAAAAAAAAAAAAAAATGGGGGGGGGGGTGTAAATAGGCTAAATCTCCCATTACAAGACAAATGAGATTAAAAGATATCTAACTATAGGCTATTGATAAAATGTACATTTAAAACAAAATGGCAAAAAAATGTAGAGAATGAACAAATATATACCAGGCAAACACTAACAGGAAGGAAACAGATATGATATTAATATAAGATAAAATTCAAGACCCAAAGCTCAAAGTAGGAAAAGAGCAATATTTTATGGAAATAAAGCATATAATATACCAGTAAATAAAAGTTATGGCACTTAATAACCTAGCTTCCAAAATTCTAAGGTAGACTTTTGCTTCTTGCT